>NC_000018.10:16876568-17202206 GCF_000001405.40 Homo sapiens
TGATTCTATTTTCCCACCTTTGTGCTTCCTGGTAGAAAAGGAAGCCTCAAGCTGTACTGGGAAGGAGAGCACCTCTCTTAGCATTTCTCCTAGCTGCTTCTCCTGGATGGTGGTGGGTGTCTCAAGCTAGTGGCTCCTGATTGATCCAAGGGAGGAAGGAGCTTACTTGAGGTATCTTCTGTTGCTAGATTGGGGGATTAGGTGTGCCCTCTACTGACAGAGTTGAACCTTTCTTTTCATAGAGCAGTTTTGAAACACTCTTTTTGTAGAATCTGCAAGAGGATATTTGCATAGCTTTGAGGATTTCGTGGGAAACGGGATTGTCTTCAGGTAAAATCTAGACAGAAGAGCATTCTCAGAAACTTCTTTGGGATGTTTGCATTCAAGTCACAGAGCAGAACATTCCCTTTGGTAGAGCAGGTTTGAAACACTCTTTTTGTAGTATCTGGAAGTGGACATTTGGAGCGCTTTCAGGCCTATGTTGGAAAGGGAAATATCTTCCCGTAACAACTAGGCAGAAGCATTCTCAGAAACTTATTTGAGATGTGTGTACTCAACTAAGAGAATTGAACCACCGTTTTGAAGGAGCAGTTTTGAAACACTCTTTTTCTGGAATCTGCAAGAGGATATTTGCCTAGCCTTGAGGATTTCGTTGGAAACGGGATTGTCTTCAGATCAAATCTAGACAGAAGCATTCTCAGAAACTTCTTTGGGATGTTTGCATTCAAGTCACAGAGTAGAACATTCCCTTTGGTAGAGCAGGTTTGAAACACTCTTTTTTTAGTATATGGAAGTGGACATTTGGAGCGCTTTCAGGCCTACGTTGGAAAAGGAAATATCTTCCCATAACAACTAGACAGAAGCATTCTCAGAAACTAGTTTCTGATGTGTGTCCTCAACTAACACAGTTGAACATTTCTTTAGACAGAACAGTTTTGAAACGCTCTTTTTGTGGAATCTGCAAGTGGATATTTGGCTAGTTTGGAGGATTTCGTTGGAAGCGGGAATTCATACAAATTGCAGACTGCAGCGTTCTGAGAAACATCTTTGTGATGTTTGTATTCAGGACACAGAGTTGAACATTCCCTATCATAGAGCAGGTTTGAATCACTCCTTTTCTAGTATCTGGAAGTGGACATTTGGAGCGCTTTCAGGCCTATGTTGGAAAAGGAAATATCTTCCCATAACAAATAGACAGAAGCATTCTCAGAAACTTATTTGAGATGTGTGTACTCAACTAAGAGAATTGAACCACCGTTTTGAAGGAGCAGTTTTGAAACACTCTTTTTCTGGAATCTGCAAGTGGATATTTGGCTAGCTTTGGGGATTTCGCTGGAAGCGGGAATACATATAAAAAGCACACAGCAGCGTTCTGAGAAACTGCTTTCTGATGTTTGCATTCAAGTCAAAAGTTGAACACTCCCTTTCATAGAGCAGTCCTGAAACACTCCTTTTGTAGTATCTGGAACTGGACTTTTGGAGCGCTTTCAGGGCTAAGGTGAAAAAGGAAATATCTTCCCATAAAAACTGGACAGAAGCATTCTCAGAAACTTGTTTATGCTGTATCTACTCTACTAACAAAGTTGAACCTTTCTTTTGATAGAGCAGTTTTGAAATGCTCTTTTTGTGGAATCTGCAAGTGGATATTTGGCTAGATTTGAGGATTTCGTTGGAAGCTGGAATTCATACAAATTGCAGACTGCAGCGTTCTGAGAAACATCTTTGTGATGTTTGTATTCAGGACAGAGAGTTGAACATTCCCTATCATAGAGCAGGTTGGAATCACTCCTTTTGTAGTATCTGGAAGTGGACATTTGGAGCGCTTTCAGGCCTATGTTGAAAAAGGAAATATCTTCCCATAACAACTAGACACAAGCATTCTCAGAAACTTGTTTGTGATGTGTGCCCTCTACTGACAGAGTTGAACCTTTCTTTTCATAGAGCAGTTTTGAAACACTCTTTTTGTAGAATCTGCAAGAGGATATTTGCATAGCTTTGAGGATTTCGTGGGAAACGGGATTGTCTTCAGGTAAAATCTAGACAGAAGCATTCTCAGAAACTTCTTTGGGATGTTTGCATTCAAGTCACAGAGTAGAACATTCCCTTTGGTAGAGCAGGTTTGAAACACTCTTTTTGTAGTATCTGGAAGTGGACATTTGGAGCGCTTTCAGGCCTATGTTGGAAAGGGAAATATCTTCCCGTAACAACTAGGCAGAAGCATTCTCAGAAACTTATTTGAGATGTGTGTACTCAACTAAGAGAATTGAACCACCGTTTTGAAGGAGCAGTTTTGAAACACTCTTTTTCTGGAATCTGCAAGAGGATATTTGCCTAGCCTTGAGGATTTCGTTGGAAACGGGATTGTCTTCAGATCAAATCTAGACAGAAGCATTCTCAGAAACTTCTTTGGGATGTTTGCATTCAAGTCACAGAGTAGAACATTCCCTTTGGTAGAGCAGGTTTGAAACACTCTTTTTGTAGTATCTGGAAGTGGACATTTGGAGCGCTTTCAGGCCTATGTTGGAAAGGGAAATATCTTCCCGTAACAACTAGGCAGAAGCATTCTCAGAAACTTATTTGAGATGTGTGTACTCAACTAACAGAATTGAACCACCGTTTTGAAGGAGCAGTTTTGAAACACTCTTTTTCTGGAATCTGCAAGAGGATATTTGCCTAGCCTTGAGGATTTCGTTGGAAACGGGATTGTCTTCAGATCAAATCTAGACAGAAGCATTCTCAGAAACTTCTTTGGGATGTTTGCATTCAAGTCACAGAGTAGAACATTCCCTTTGGTAGAGCAGGTTTGAAACACTCTTTTTTTAGTATATGGAAGTGGACATTTGGAGCGCTTTCAGGTCTACGTTGGAAAAGGAAATATCTTCCCATAACAACTAGACAGAAGCATTCTCAGAAACTAGTTTCTGATGTGTGTCCTCAACTAACACAGTTGAACATTTCTTTAGACAGAACAGTTTTGAAACTCTCTTTTTGTGGAATCTGCAAGTGGCTATTTGGCTAGATTTGAGGATTTCGTTGGAAACGGGATTACATATAAAAAGCAGACAGCAGCATTCTCAGAAAGTTCTTTGTGATGATTGCATTCAAGTCACAGAATTGAACATTCCCTTTCACAGAGCAGGTTTGAAACACTCTTTTTGTAGTGTGTGTAAGTGGACATTTGGAGCACTTTCCGGCCTAAGGTGAAAAAGGAAATATCTTCCCATAAAAACTAGACAGAAGCATTCTCAGAAACTTACTCGTGATGTGTGTCCTCAACTAAAGGAGTAGAACCTTTCTTTTCATAGAGAAGTTTTGAAACGCTCTTTTTGTGGAATCTGCAAGTGGATATTTGGCTAGTTTGGAGGATTTCGTTGGAAGCGGGAATTCATACAAATTGCAGACTGCAGCGTTCTGAGAAACATCTTTGTGATGTTTGTATTCAGGACACAGAGTTGAACATTCCCTATCATAGAGCAGGTTTGAATCACTCCTTTTGTAGTATCTGGAAGTGGACATTTGGAGCGCTTTCAGGCCTATGTTGGAAAAGGAAATATCTTCCCATAACAACTAGACAGAAGCATTCTCAGAAACTTATTTGAGATGTGTGTACTCAACTAAGAGAATTGAACCACCGTTTTGAAGGAGCAGTTTTGAAACACTCTTTTTCTGGAATCTGCAAGTGGATATTTGGCTAGCTTTGGGGATTTCGCTGGAAGCGGGAATACATATAAAAAGCACACAGCAGCGTTCTGAGAAACTGCTTTCTGATGTTTGCATTCAAGTCAAAAGTTGAACACTCCCTTTCATAGAGCAGTCCTGAAACACTCCTTTTGTAGTATCTGGAACTGGACTTTTGGAGCGCTTTCAGGGCTAAGGTGAAAAAGGAAATATCTTCCCATAAAAACTGGACAGAAGCATTCTCAGAAACTTGTTTATGCTGTATCTACTCAACTAACAAAGTTGAACCTTTCTTTTGATAGAGCAGTTTTGAAATGCTCTTTTTGTGGAATCTGCAAGTGGATATTTGGCTAGTTTTGAGGATTTCGTTGGAAGCGGGAATTCATACAAATTGCAGACTGCAGCGTTCTGAGAAACATCTTTGTGATGTTTGTATTCAGGACAGAGTGTTGAACATTCCCTATCATAGAGCAGGTTGGAATCACTCCTTTTGTAGTATCTGGAAGTGGACATTTGGAGCGCTTTCAGGCCTATGTTGAAAAAGGAAATATCTTCCCATAACAACTAGACACAAGCATTCTCAGAAACTTATTTGAGATGTGTGTACTCAACTAAGAGAATTGAACCACCGTTTTGAAGGAGCAGTTTTGAAACACTCTTTTTCTGGAATCTGCAAGTGGATATTTGGCTAGCTTTGGGGATTTCGCTGGAAGCGGGAATACATATAAAAAGCACACAGCAGCGTTCTGAGAAACTGCTTTCTGATGTTTGCATTCAAGTCAAAAGTTGAACACTCCCTTTCATAGAGCAGTCCTGAAACACTCCTTTTGTAGTATCTGGAACTGGACTTTTGGAGCGCTTTCAGGGCTAAGGTGAAAAAGGAAATATCTTCCCATAAAAACTGGACAGAAGCATTCTCAGAAACTTGTTTATGCTGTATCTACTCAACAAACAAAGTTGAACCTTTCTTTTGATAGAGCAGTTTTGAAATGCTCTTTTTGTGGAATCTGCAAGTGGATATTTGGCTAGTTGCGAGGATTTCGTTGGAAGCTGGAATTCATACAAATTGCAGACTGCAGCGTTCTGAGAAACATCTTTGTGATGTTTGTATTCAGGACACAGAGTTGAACATTCCCTATCATAGAGCAGGTTGGAATCACTCCTTTTGTAGTATCTGGAAGTGGACATTTGGAGCGCTTTCAGGCCTATTTTGGAAAGGGAAATATCTTCCCGTAACAACTATGCAGAAGCATTCTCAGAAACTTGTTTGTGATGTGTGCCCTCTACTGACAGAGTTGAACCTTTCTTTTCATAGAGCAGTTTTGAAACACTCTTTTTGTAGAATCTGCAAGAGGATATTTGCATAGCTTTGAGGATTTCGTGGGAAACGGGATTGTCTTCAGGTAAAATCTAGACAGAAGCATTCTCAGAAACTTCTTTGGGATGTTTGCATTCAAGTCACAGAGTAGAACATTCCCTTTGGTAGAGCAGGTTTGAAACACTCTTTTTGTAGTATCTGGAAGTGGACATTTGGAGCGCTTTCAGGCCCATGTTGGAAAGGGAAATATCTTCCCGTAACAACTAGGCAGAAGCATTCTCAGAAACTTATTTGAGATGTGTGTACTCAACTAAGAGAATTGAACCACCGTTTTGAAGGAGCAGTTTTGAAACACTCTTTTTCTGGAATCTGCAAGAGTATATTTGCCTAGCCTTGAGGATTTCGTTGGAAACGGGATTGTCTTCAGAGAAAATCTAGACAGAAGCATTCTCAGAAACTTCTTTGGGATGTTTGCATTCAAGTCACAGAGTAGAACATTCCCTTTGGTAGAGCAGGTTTGAAACACTCTTTTTGTAGTATCTGGAAGTGGACATTTGGAGCGCTTTCAGGCCTACGTTGGAAAAGGAAATATCTTCCCATAACAACTAGACAGAAGCATTCTCAGAAACTCGTTTCTGATGTGTGTCCTCAACTAACACAGTTGAACATTTCTTTAGACAGAACAGTTTTGAAACACTCTTTTTGTGGAATCTGCAAGTGGCTATTTGGCTAGATTTGAGGATTTCGTTGGAAACGGGATTACATATAAAAAGCAGTCAGCAGCATTCTCATAAAGTTCTTTGTGATGATTGCATTCAAGTCACAGAATTGAACATTCCCTTTCACAGAGCAGGTTTGAAACACTCTTTTTGTAGTGTGTGTAAGTGGACATTTGGAGCACTTACCTGCCTAAGGTGAAAAAGGAAATATCTTCCCATAAAAACTAGACAGAAGCATTCTCAGAAACTTACTCGTGATGTGTGTCCTCAACTAAAGGAGTAGAACCTTTCTTTTCATAGAGAAGTTTTGAAACGCTCTTTTTGTGGAATCTGCAAGTGGATATTTGGCTAGTTTTGAGGATTTCGTTGGAAGCGGGAATTCATACAAATTGCAGACTGCAAGCGTTCTGAGAAACATCTTTGTGATGTTTGTATTCAGGACAGAGAGTTGAACATTCCCTATCATAGAGCAGGTTGGAATCACTCCTTTTGTAGTATCTGGAAGTGGACATTTGGAGCGCTTTCAGGCCTATGTTGAAAAAGGAAATATCTTCCCATAACAACTAGACAGAAGCATTCTCAGAAACTTATTTGAGATGTGTGTACTCAACTAAGAGAATTGAACCACCGTTTTGAAGGAGCAGTTTTGAAACTCTCTTTTTCTGGAATCTGCAAGTGGATATTTGGCTAGCTTTGGGGATTTCGCTGGAAGCGGGAATACATATAAAAAGCACACAGCAGCGTTCTGAGAAACTGCTTTCTGATGTTTGCATTCAAGTCAAAAGTTGAACACTCCCTTTCATAGAGCAGTCCTGAAACACCCCTTTTGTAGTATCTGGAACTGGACTTTTGGAGCGATTTCAGGGCTAAGGTGAAAAAGGAAATATCTTCCCATAAAAACTGGACAGAAGCATTCTCAGAAACTTGTTTATGCTGTATCTACTCAACTAACAAAGTTGAACCTTTCTTTTGATAGAGCAGTTTTGAAATGGTCTTTTTGTGGAATCTGCAAGTGGATATTTGGCTAGTTTTGAGGATTTCGTTGGAAGCGGGAATTCATACAAATTGCAGACTGCAGCGTTCTGAGAAACATCTTTGTGATGTTTGTATTCAGGACACAGAGTTGAACATTCCCTATCATAGAGCAGGTTGGAATCACTCCTTTTGTAGTATCTGGAAGTGGACATTTGGAGCGCTTTCAGGCCTATTTTGGAAAGGGAAATATCTTCCCGTAACAACTATGCAGAAGCATTCTCAGAAACTTGTTTGTGATGTGTGCCCTCTACTGACAGAGTTGAACCTTTCTTTTCATAGAGCAGTTTTGAAACACTCTTTTTGTAGAATCTGCAAGAGGATATTTGCATAGCTTTGAGGATTTCGTGGGAAACGGGATTGTCTTCAGGTAAAATCTAGACAGAAGCATTCTCAGAAACTTCTTTGGGATGTTTGCATTCAAGTCACAGAGTAGAACATTCCCTTTGGTAGAGCAGGTTTGAAACACTCTTTTTGTAGTATCTGGAAGTGGACATTTGGAGCGCTTTCAGGCCTATGTTGGAAAGGGAAATATCTTCCCGTAACAACTAGGCAGAAGCATTCTCAGAAACTTATTTGAGATGTGTGTACTCAACTAAGAGAATTGAACCACCGTTTTGAAGGAGCAGTTTTGAAACACTCTTTTTCTGGAATCTGCAAGAGGATATTTGCCTAGCCTTGAGGATTTCGTTGGAAACGGGATTGTCTTCAGATCAAATCTAGACAGAAGCATTCTCAGAAACTTCTTTGGGATGTTTGCATTCAAGTCACAGAGTAGAACATTCCCTTTGGTAGAGCAGGTTTGAAACACTCTTTTTCTAGTATCTGGAAGTGGACATTTGGAGCGCTGTCAGGCCTATGTTGGAAAGGGAAATATCTTCCCGTAACAACTAGGCAGAAGCATTCTCAGAAACTTATTTGAGATGTGTGTACTCAACTAAGAGAATTGAACCACCGTTTTGAAGGAGCAGTTTTGAAACACTCTTTTTCTGGAATCTGCAAGAGGATATTTGCCTAGCCTTGAGGATTTCGTTGGAAACGGGATTGTCTTCAGATCAAATCTAGACAGAAGCATTCTCAGAAACTTCTTTGGGATGTTTGCATTCAAGTCACAGAGTAGAACATTCCCTTTGGTTGAGCAGGTTTGAAACACTCTTTTTTTAGTATATGGAAGTGGACATTTGGAGCGCTTTCAGGTCTACGTTGGAAAAGGAAATATCTTCCCATAACAACTAGACAGAAGCATTCTCAGAAACTAGTTTCTGATGTGTGTCCTCAACTAACACAGTTGAACATTTCTTTAGACAGAACAGTTTTGAAACACTCTTTTTGTGGAATCTGCAAGTGGCTATTTGGCTAGATTTGAGGATTTCGTTGGAAACGGGATTACATATAAAAAGCAGACAGCAGCATTCTCAGAAAGTTCTTTGTGATGATTGCATTCAAGTCACAGAATTGAACATTCCCTTTCACAGAGCAGGTTTGAAACACTCTTTTTGTAGTGTGTGTAAGTGGACATTTGGAGCACTTTCCGGCCTAAGGTGAAAAAGGAAATATCTTCCCATAAAAACTAGACAGAAGCATTCTCAGAAACTTACTCGTGATGTGTGTCCTCAACTAAAGGAGTAGAACCTTTCTTTTCATAGAGAAGTTTTGAAACGCTCTTTTTGTGGAATCTGCAAGTGGATATTTGGCTAGTTTTGAGGATTTCGTTGGAAGCGGGAATTCATACAAATTGCAGACTGCAGCGTTCTGAGAAACATCTTTGTGATGTTTGTATTCAGGACACAGAGTTGAACATTCCCTATCATAGAGCAGGTTTGAATCACTCCTTTCGTAGTATCTGGAAGTGGACATTTGGAGTGCTTTCAGGCCTATGTTGGAAAAGGAAATATCTTCCCATAACAACTAGACAGAAGCATTCTCAGAAACTTATTTGAGATGTGTGTACTCAACTAAGAGAATTGAACCACCGTTTTGAAGGAGCAGTTTTGAAACACTCTTTTTCTGGAATCTGCAAGTGGATATTTGGCTAGCTTTGGGGATTTCGCTGGAAGCGGGAATACATATAAAAAGCACACAGCAGCGTTCTGAGAAACTGCTTTCTGATGTTTGCATTCAAGTCAAAAGTTGAACACTCCCTTTCATAGAGCAGTCCTGAAACACCCCTTTTGTAGTATCTGGAACTGGACTTTTGGAGCGCTTTCAGGGCTAAGGTGAAAAAGGAAATATCTTCCCATAAAAACTGGACAGAAGCATTCTCAGAAACTTGTTTATGCTGTATCTACTCAACTAACAAAGTTGAACCTTTCTTTTGATAGAGCAGTTTTGAAATGCTCTTTTTGTGGAATCTGCAAGTGGATATTTGGCTAGTTTTGAGGATTTGGTTGGAAGCGGGAATTCATACAAATTGCAGACTGCAGCGTTCTGAGAAACATCTTTGTGATGTTTGTATTCAGGACAGAGAGTTGAACATTCCCTATCATAGAGCAGGTTGGAATCACTCCTTTTGTAGTATCTGGAAGTGGACATTTGGAGCGCTTTCAGGCCTATGTTGAAAAAGGAAATATCTTCCCATAACAACTAGACACAAGCATTCTCAGAAACTTGTTTGTGATGTGTGCCCTCTACTGACAGAGTTGAACCTTTCTTTTCATAGAGCAGTTTTGAAACACTCTTTTTGTAGAATCTGCAAGAGGATATTTGCATAGCTTTGAGGTATTCGTGGGAAACGGGATTGTCTTCAGGTAAAATCTAGACAGAAGCATTCTCAGAAACTTCTTTGGGATGTTTGCATTCAAGTCACAGAGTAGAACATTCCCTTTGGTAGAGCAGGTTTGAAACACTCTTTTTGTAGTATCTGGAAGTGGACATTTGGAGCGCTTTCAGGCCTATGTTGGAAAGGGAAATATCTTCCCGTAACAACTAGGCAGAAGCATTCTCAGAAACTTATTTGAGATGTGTGTACTCAACTAAGAGAATTGAACCACCGTTTTGAAGGAGCAGTTTTGAAACACTCTTTTTCTGGAATCTGCAAGAGGATATTTGCCTAGCCTTGAGGATTTCGTTGGAAACGGGATTGTCTTCAGAGCAAATCTAGACAGAAGCATTCTCAGAAACTTCTTTGGGATGTTTGCATTCAAGTCACAGAGTAGAACATTCCCTTTGGTAGAGCAGGTTTGAAACACTCTTTTTTTAGTATATGGAAGTGGACATTTGGAGCGCTTTCAGGCCTACGTTGGAAAAGGAAATATCTTCCCATAACAACTAGACAGAAGCATTCTCAGAAACTAGTTTCTGATGTGTGTCCTCAACTAACACAGTTGTACATTTCTTTACACAGAACAGTTTTGAAACACTCTTTTTGTGGAATCTGCAAGTGGATATTGGGCTAGATTTGAGGATTTCGTTGTAAACGGGATTACATATAAAAAGCAGTCAGCAGCATTCTCAGAAAGTTCTTTGTGATGATTGCATTCAAGTCACAGAATTGAACATTCCCTTTCACAGAGCAGGTTTGAAACACTCTTTTTGTAGTGTGTGTAAGTGGACATGTGGAGCGCTTTCTGGCCTAAGGTGAAAAAGGACATATCTTCCCATAAAAACTAGACAGAAGCATTCTCAGAAACTTACTCGTGATGTGTGTCCTCAACTAAAGGAGTAGAACCTTTCTATTCATAGAGAAGTTTTGAAACGCTCTTTTTGTGGAATCTCCAAGTGGATATTTGGCTAGTGTTGAGGATTTCGTTGGAAGCGGGAATTCATACAAATTGCAGACTGCAGCGTTCTGAGAAACATCTTTGTGATGTTTGTATTCAGGACACAGAGATGAACATTCCCTATCATAGAGCACGTTGGAATCACTCCTTTTGTAGTATCTGGAAGTGGACATTTGGAGCGCTTTCAGGCCTATGTTGAAAAAGGAAATATCTTCCCATAACAACTAGACACAAGCATTCTCAGAAACTTATTTGAGATGTGTGTACTCAACTAAGAGAATTGAACCACCGTTTTGAAGGAGTAGTTTTGAAACACTCTTTTTCTGGAATCTGCAAGTGGATATTTGGCTAGCTTTGGGGATTTCGCTGGAAGCGGGAGTACATATAAAAAGCACACAGCAGCGTTCTGAGAAACTGCTTTCTGATGTTTGCATTCAAGTCAAAAGTTGAACACTCCCTTTCATAGAGCAGTCTTGAAACACCCCTTTTGTAGTATCTGGAACTGGACATTTGGAGCGCTTTCAGGGCTAAGGTGAAAAAGGAAATATCTTCCCATAAAAACTGGACAGAAGCATTCTCAGAAACTTGTTTATGCTGTATCTACTCTACTAACAAAGTTGAACCTTTCTTTTGATAGAGCAGTTTTGAAATGCTCTTTTTGTGGAATCTGCAAGTGGATATTTGGCTAGTTTTGAGGATTTCGTTGGAAGCTGGAATTCATGCAAATTGCAGACTGCAGCGTTCTGAGAAACATCTTTGTGATGTTTGTATTCAGGACACAGAGTTGAACTTTCCCTATCATAGAGCAGGTTGGAATCACTCCTTTTGCAGTATCTGGAAGTGGACATTTGGAGCGCTTTCAGGCCTATTTTGGAAAGGGAAATATCTTCCCGTAACAACTAGGCAGAAGCATTCTCTGAAACTTTTTTGAGATGTGTGTACTCAACTAAGAGAATTGAACCACCGTTTTGAAGGAGCAGTTTTGAAACACTCTTTTTCTGGAATCTGCTAGACGATATTTGCCTAGCCTTGAGGATTTCGTTGGAAACGGGATTGTCTTCAGATAAAATCTAGACAGAAGCATTCTCAGAAACTTCATTGGGATGTTTGTATTCAAGTCACAGAGTAGAACATTCCCTTTGATAGAGCAGGTTTGAAACACTCTTTTTTTAGTATATGGAAATGGACATTTGGAGCGCTTTCAGGCCTACGTTGGAAAAGGAAATATCTTCCCGTAACAACTAGACAGAAGCATTCTCAGAAACTAGTTTCTGATGTGTGTCCTCAACTAACACAGTTGAACTTTTCTTTAGACAGAACAGTTTTGAAACACTCTTTTTGTGGAATCTGCAAGTGGATATTTGGCTAGATTTGAGGATTTCGTTGGAAACGGGATTACATATAAAAAGCAGACAGCAGCATTCTCAGAAAGTTCTTTGTGATGATTGCATTCAAGTCACAGAATTGAACATTCCCTTTCACAGAGCAGGTTTGAAACACTCTTTTTGTAGTGTGTGTAAGTGGACATTTGGAGCGCTTTCCGGCCTAAGGTGAAAAAGGAAATATCTTCCCATAAAAACTAGACAGAAGCATTCTCAGAAACTTACTCGTGATGTGTGTCCTCAACTAAAGGAGTAGAACCTTTCTATTCGTAGAGAAGTTTTGAAATGCTCTTTTTGTGGAATCTCCAAGTGGATATTTGGCTAGTTTTGAGGATTTCGTTGGAAGCGGGAATTCATACAAATTGCAGACTGCAGCGTTATGAGAAACATCTTTGTGATGTTTGTATTCAGGACACAGAGATGAACATTCCCTATCATAGAGCAGGTTGGAATCACTCCTTTTGTAGTATCTGGAAGTGGACATTTGGAGCGCTTTCAGGCCTATGTTGAAAAAGGAAATATCTTCCCATAACAACTAGACACAAGCATTCTCAGAAACTTGTTTGTGATGTGTGCCCTCTAATGACAGAGTTGAACCTTTCTTTTCATAGAGCAGTTTTGAAACACTCTTTTTGTAGAATCTGCAAGAGGATATTTGCATAGCTTTGAGGATTTCGTGGGAAACGGGATTGTCTTCAGGTAAAATCTAGACAGAAGCATTCTCAGAAACTTCTTTGGGATGTTTGCATTCAAGTCACAGAGTAGAACATTCCCTTTGGTAGAGCAGGTTTGAAACACTCTTTTTGTAGTATCTGGAAGTGGACATTTGGAGCGCTATCAGGCCCATGTTGGAAAGGGAAATATCTTCCCGTAACAACTATGGCAGAAGCATTCTCAGAAACTTATTTGAGATGTGTGTACTCAACTAAGAGAATTGAACCACCGTTTTGAAGGAGCAGTTTTGAAACACTCTTTTTCTGGAATCTGCAAGAGTATATTTGCCTAGCCTTGAGGATTTCGTTGGAAACGGGATTGTCTTCAGATAAAATCTAGACAGAAGCATTCTCAGAAACTTCTTTGGGATGTTTGCATTCAAGTCACAGAGTAGAACATTCCCTTTGGTAGAGCAGGTTTGAAACACTCTTTTTTTAGTATATGGAAGTGGACATTTGGAGCGCTTTCAGGCCTACGTTGGAAAAGGAAATATCTTCCCATAACAACTAGACAGAAGCATTCTCAGAAACTAGTTTCTGATGTGTGTCCTCAACTAACACAGTTGAACTTTTCTTTAGACAGAACAGTTTTGAAACACTCTTTTTGTGGAATCTGCAAGTGGATATTGGGCTAGATTTGAGGATTTCGTTGGAAACGGGATTACATATAAAAAACAGTCAGCAGCATTCTCAGAAAGTTCTTTGTGATGATTGCATTCAAGTCACAGAATTGAACATTCCCTTTCACAGAGCAGGTTTGAAACACTCTTTTTGTAGTGTGTGTAAGTGGAGATTTGGAGCGCTTTCCGGCCTAAGGTGAAAAAGGACATATCTTCCCATAAAAACTAGACAGAAGCATTCTCAGAAACTTACTCGTGATGTGTGTCCTCAACTAAAGGAGTAGAACCTTTCTATTCATAGAGAAGTTTTGAAACGCTCTTTTTGTGGAATCTCCAAGTGGATATTTGGCTAGTTTTGAGGATTTCGTTGGAAGCGGGAATTCATACAAATTGCAGACTGCAGCGTTCTGAGAAACATCTTTGTGATGTTTGTATTCAAGACACAGAGATGAACATTCCCTATCATAGAGCATGTTGGAATCACTCCTTTTGTAGTATCTGGAAGTGGACATTTGGAGCGCTTTCAGGCCTATGTTGAAAAAGGAAATATCGTCCCATACCAACTAGACACAAGCATTCTCAGAAACTTGTTTGTGATGTGTGCCCTCTACTGACAGAGTTGAACCTTTCTTTTCATAGAGCAGTTTTGAAACACTCTTTTTGTAGAATCCGCAAGAGGATATTTGCATAGCTTTGAGGATTTCGTGGGAAACGGGATTGTCTTCAGGTAAAATCTAGACAGAAGCATCCTCAGAAACTTCTTTGGGATGTTTGCATTCAAGTCACAGAGTAGAACATTCCCTTTGGTAGAGCAGGTTTGAAACACTCTTTTTGTAGTATCTGGAAGTGGACATTTGGAGCGCTTTCAGGCCCATGTTGGAAAGGGAAATATCTTCCCGTAACAACTAGGCAGAAGCATTCTCAGAAACTTATTTGAGATGTGTGTACTCAACTAAGAGAATTGAACCACCGTTTTGAAGGAGCAGTTTTGAAACACTCTTTTTCTGGAATCTGCAAGAGGATATTGGCCTAGCCTTGAGGATTTCGTTGGAAACGGGATTGTCTTCAGATCAAATCTAGACAGAAGCATTCTCAGAAACTTCTTTGAGATGTTTGCATTCAAGTCACAGAGTAGAACATTCCCTTTGGTAGAGCAGGTTTGAAACACTCTTTTTTTAGTATATGGAAGTGGACATTTGGAGCGCTTTCAGGCCTACGTTGGAAAAGGAAATATCTTCCCATAACAACTAGACAGAAGCATTCTCAGAAACTAGTTTCTGATGTGTGTCCTCAACTAACACAGTTGAACTTTTCTTTAGACAGAACAGTTTTGAAACACTCTTTTTGTGGAATCTGCAAGTGGATATTGGGCTAGATTTGAGGATTTCGTTGGAAACGGGATTACATATAAAAAGCAGACAGCAGCATTCTCAGAAAGTTCTTTGTGATGATTGCATTCAAGTCACAGAATTGAACATTCCCTTTCACAGAGCAGGTTTGAAACACTCTTTTTGTAGTGTGTGTAAGTGGACATTTGGAGCGCTTTCCGGCCTAAGGTGAAAAAGGACATATCTTCCCATAAAAATTAGACAGAAGCATTCTCAGAAACTTACTCGTGATGTGTGTCCTCAACTAAAGGAGTAGAACCTTTCTATTCATAGAGAAGTTTTGAAACGCTCTTTTTGTGGAATCTCCAAGTGGATATTTGGCTAGTTTTGAGGATTTCGTTGGAAGCGGGAATTCATACAAATTGCAGACTGCAGCGTTCTGAGAAACATCTTTGTGATGTTTGTATTCAAGACACAGAGATGAACATTCCCTCTCATAGAGCATGTTGGAATCACTCCTTTTGTAGTATCTGGAAGTGGACATTTGGAGCGCTTTCAGGCCTATGTTGAAAAAGGAAATATCTTCCCATAACAACTAGACACAAGCATTCTCAGAAACTTGTTTGTGATGTGTGCCCTCTACTGACAGAGTTGAACCTTTCTTTTCATAGAGCAGTTTTGAAACACTCTTTTTGTAGAATCCGCAAGAGGATATTTGCATAGCTTTGAGGATTTCGTGGAAAACGGGATTGTCTTCAGGTAAAATCTAGACAGAAGCATTCTCAGAAACTCCTTTGGGATGTTTGCATTCAAGTCACAGAGTAGAACATTCCCTTTGGTAGAGCAGGTTTGAAACACTCTTTTTGTAGTATCTGGAAGTGGACATTTGGAGCGCTTTCAGGCCCATGTTGGAAAGGGAAATATCTTCCCGTAACAACTAGGCAGAAGCATTCTCAGAAACTTATTTGAGATGTGTGTACTCAACTAAGAGAATTGAACCACCGTTTTGAAGGAGCAGTTTTGAAACACTCTTTTTCTGGAATCTGCAAGAGTATATTTGCCTAGCCTTGAGGATTTCGTTGGAAACGGGATTGTCTTCAGATAAAATCTAGACAGAAGCATTCTCAGAAACTTCTTTGGGATGTTTGCATTCAAGTCACAGAGTAGAACATTCCCTTTGGTAGAGCAGGTTTGAAACACTCTTTTTTTAGTATATGGAAGTGGACATTTGGAGCGCTTTCAGGCCTACGTTGGAAAAGGAAATATCTTCCCATAACAACTAGACAGAAGCATTCTCAGAAACTAGTTTCTGATGTGTGTCCTCAACTAACACAGTTGAACTTTTCTTTAGACAGAACAGTTTTGAAACACTCTTTTTGTGGAATCTGCAAGTGGATATTGGGTTAGATTTGAGGATTTCGTTGGAAAGGGGATTACATATAAAAAGCAGACAGCAGCATTCTCAGAAAGTTCTTTGTGATGATTGCATTCAAGTCACAGAATTGAACATTCCCTTTCACAGAGCAGGTTTGAAACACTCTTTTTGTAGTGTGTGTAAGTGGACATTTGGAGCGCTTTCCGGCCTAAGGTGAAAAAGGACATATCTTCCCATAAAAACTAGACAGAAGCATTCTCAGAAACTTACTCGTGATGTGTGTCCTCAACTAAAGGAGTAGAACCTTTCTATTCATAGAGAAGTTTTGAAACGCTCTTTTTGTGGAATCTCCAAGTGGATATTTGGCTAGTTTTGAGGATTTCGTTGGAAGCGGGAATTCATACAAATTGCAGACTGCAGCGTTCTGAGAAACATCTTTGAGATGTTTGTATTCAAGACACAGAGATGAACATTCCCTATCATAGAGCATGTTGGAATCACTCCTTTTTTTAGTATCTGGAAGTGGACATTTGGAGCGCTTTCAGGCCTATGTTGAAAAAGGAAATATCTTCCCATAACAACTAGACACAAGCATTCTCAGAAACTTGTTTGTGATGTGTGCCCTCTACTGACAGAGTTGAACCTTTCTTTTCATAGAGCAGTTTTGAAACACTGTTTTTGTAGAATCCGCAAGAGGATATTTGCATAGCTTTGAGGATTTCGTGGGAAACGGGATTGTCTTCAGGTAAAATCTAGACAGAAGCATTCTCAGAAACTTCTTTGGGATGTTTGCATTCAAGTCACAGAGTAGAACATTCCCTTTGGTAGAGCAGGTTTGAAACACTCTTTTTGTAGTATCTGGAAGTGGACATTTGGAGCGCTTTCAGGCCCATGTTGGAAAGGGAAATATCTTCCCGTAACAACTAGGCAGAAGCATTCTCAGAAACTTATTTGAGATGTGTGTACCCAACTAAGAGAACTGAACCACCGTTTTGAAGGAGTAGTTTTGAAACACTCTTTTTCTGGAATCTGCAAGAGTATATTTGCCTAGCCTTGAGGATTTCGTTGGAAACGGGATTGTCTTCAGATAAAATCTAGACAGAAGCATTCTCAGAAACTTCTTTGAGATGTTTGCATTCAAGTCACAGAGTAGAACATTCCCTTTGGTAGAGCAGGTTTGAAACACTCTTTTTTTAGTATATGGAAGTGGACATTTGGAGCGCTTTCAGGCCTACGTTGGAAAAGGAAATATCTTCCCATAACAACTAGACAGAAGCATTCTCAGAAACTAGTTTCTGATGTGTGTCCTCAACTAACACAGTTGAACATTTCTTTAGACAGAACAGTTTTGAAACACTCTTTTTGTGGAATCTGCAAGTGGCTATTTGGCTAGATTTGAGGATTTCGTTGGAAACGGGATTACATATAAAAAGCAGTCAGCAGCATTCTCAGAAAGTTCTTTGTGATGATTGCATTCAAGTCACAGAATTGAACATTCCCTTTCACAGAGCAGGTTTGAAACACTCTTTTTGTAGTGTGTGTAAGTGGACATTTGGAGCACTTACCGGCCTAAGGTGAAAAAGGAAATATCTTCCCATAAAAACTAGACAGAAGCATTCTCAGAAACTTACTCGTGATGTGTGTCCTCAACTAAAGGAGTAGAACCTTTCTTTTCATAGAGAAGTTTTGAAACGCTCTTTTTGTGGAATCTGCAAGTGGATATTTGGCTAGTTTTGAGGATTTCGTTGGAAGCGGGAATTCATACAAATTGCAGACTGCAGCGTTCTGAGAAACATCTTTGTGATGTTTGTATTCAGGACACAGAGTTGAACATTCCCTATCATAGAGCAGGTTTGAATCACTCCTTTTGTAGTATCTGGAAGTGGACATTTGGAGCGCTTTCAGGCCTATGTTGGAAAAGGAAATATCTTCCCATAACAACTAGACAGAAGCATTCTCAGAAACTTATTTGAGATGTGTGTACTCAACTAAGAGAATTGAACCACCGTTTTGAAGGAGCAGTTTTGAAACTCTCTTTTTCTGGAATCTGCAAGTGGATATTTGGCTAGCTTTGGGGATTTCGCTGGAAGCGGGAATACATATAAAAAGCACACAGCAGCGTTCTGAGAAACTGCTTTCTGATGTTTGCATTCAAGTCAAAAGTTGAACACTCCCTTTCATAGAGCAGTCTTGAAACACCCCTTTTGTAGTATCTGGAACTGGACTTTTGGAGCGATTTCAGGGCTAAGGTGAAAAAGGAAATATCTTCCCATAAAAACTGGACAGAAGCATTCTCAGAAACTTGTTTATGCTGTATCTACTCAACTAACAAAGTTGAACCTTTCTTTTGATAGAGCAGTTTTGAAATGGTCTTTTTGTGGAATCTGCAAGTGGATATTTGGCTAGTTTTGAGGATTTCGTTGGAAGCGGGAATTCATACAAATTGCAGACTGCAGCGTTCTGAGAAACATCTTTGTGATGTTTGTATTCAGGACACAGAGTTGAACATTCCCTATCATAGAGCAGGTTGGAATCACTCCTTTTGTAGTATCTGGAAGTGGACATTTGGAGCGCTTTCAGGCCTATTTTGGAAAGGGAAATATCTTCCCGTAACAACTATGCAGAAGCATTCTCAGAAACTTGTTTGTGATGTTGTGCCCTCTACTGACAGAGTTGAACCTTTCTTTTCATAGAGCAGTTTTGAAACACTCTTTTTGTAGAATCTGCAAGAGGATATTTGCATAGCTTTGAGGATTTCGTGGGAAACGGGATTGTCTTCAGGTAAAATCTAGACAGAAGCATTCTCAGAAACTTCTTTGGGATGTTTGCATTCAAGTCACAGAGTAGAACATTCCCTTTGGTAGAGCAGGTTTGAAACACTCTTTTTGTAGTATCTGGAAGTGGACATTTGGAGCGCTTTCAGGCCCATGTTGGAAAGGGAAATATCTTCCCGTAACAACTAGGCAGAAGCATTCTCAGAAACTTATTTGAGATGTGTGTACTCAACTAAGAGAATTGAACCACCGTTTTGAAGGAGCAGTTTTGAAACACTCTTTTTCTGGAATCTGCAAGAGGATATTTGCCTATCCTTGAGGATTTCGTTGGAAACGGGATTGTCTTCAGAGAAAATCTAGACAGAAGCATTCTCAGAAACTTCTTTGGGATGCTTGCATTCAAGTCACAGAGTAGAACATTCCCTTTGGTAGAGCAGGTTTGAAACACTCTTTTTGTAGTATCTGGAAGTGGACATTTGGAGCGCTTTCAGGCCTACGTTGGAAAAGGAAATATCTTCCCATAACAACTAGACAGAAGCATTCTCAGAAACTAGTTTCTGATGTGTGTCCTCAACTAACACAGTTGAACATTTCTTTAGACAGAACAGTTTTGAAACACTCTTTTTGTGGAATCTGCAAGTGGCTATTTGGCTAGATTTGAGGATTTCGTTGGAAACGGGATTACATATAAAAAGCAGTCAGCAGCATTCTCAGAAAGTTCTTTGTGATGATTGCATTCAAGTCACAGAATTGAACATTCCCTTTCACAGAGCAGGTTTGAAACACTCTTTTTGTAGTGTGTGTAAGTGGACATTTGGAGCACTTACCGGCCTAAGGTGAAAAAGGAAATAATCTTCCCATAAAAACTAGACAGAAGCATTCTCAGAAACTTACTCGTGATGTGTGTCCTCAACTAAAGGAGTAGAACCTTTCTTTTCATAGAGAAGTTTTGAAACGCTCTTTTTGTGGAATCTGCAAGTGGATATTTGGCTAGTTTTGAGGATTTCGTTGGAAGCGGGAATTCATACAAATTGCAGACTGCAGCGTTCTGAGAAACATCTTTGTGATGTTTGTATTCAGGACACAGAGTTGAACATTCCCTATCATAGAGCAGGTTTGAATCACTCCTTTTGTAGTATCTGGAAGTGGACATTTGGAGCGCTTTCAGGCCTATGTTGGAAAAGGAAATATCTTCCCATAACAACTAGACAGAAGCATTCTCAGAAACTTATTTGAGATGTGTGTACTCAACTAAGAGAATTGAACCACCGTTTTGAAGGAGCAGTTTTGAAACTCTCTTTTTCTGGAATCTGCAAGTGGATATTTGGCTAGCTTTGGGGATTTCGCTGGAAGCGGGAATACATATAAAAAGCACACAGCAGCGTTCTGAGAAACTGCTTTCTGATGTTTGCATTCAAGTCAAAAGTTGAACACTCCCTTTCATAGAGCAGTCCTGAAACACCCCTTTTGTAGTATCTGGAACTGGACTTTTGGAGCGATTTCAGGGCTAAGGTGAAAAAGGAAATATCTTCCCATAAAAACTGGACAGAAGCATTCTCAGAAACTTGTTTATGCTGTATCTACTCAACTAACAAAGTTGAACCTTTCTTTTGATAGAGCAGTTTTGAAATGGTCTTTTTGTGGAATCTGCAAGTGGATATTTGGCTAGTTTTGAGGATTTCGTTGGAAGCGGGAATTCATACAAATTGCAGACTGCAGCGTTCTGAGAAACATCTTTGTGATGTTTGTATTCAGGACACAGAGTTGAACATTCCCTATCATAGAGCAGGTTGGAATCACTCCTTTTGTAGTATCTGGAAGTGGACATTTGGAGCGCTTTCAGGCCTATTTTGGAAAGGGAAATATCTTCCCGTAACAACTATGCAGAAGCATTCTCAGAAACTTGTTTGTGATGTGTGCCCTCTACTGACAGAGTTGAACCTTTCTTTTCATAGAGCAGTTTTGAAACACTCTTTTTGTAGAATCTGCAAGAGGATATTTGCATAGCTTTGAGGATTTCGTGGGAAACGGGATTGTCTTCAGGTAAAATCTAGACAGAAGCATTCTCAGAAACTTCTTTGGGATGTTTGCATTCAAGTCACAGAGTAGAACATTCCCTTTGGTAGAGCAGGTTTGAAACACTCTTTTTGTAGTATCTGGAAGTGGACATTTGGAGCGCTTTCAGGCCCATGTTGGAAAGGGAAATATCTTCCCGTAACAACTAGGCAGAAGCATTCTCAGAAACTTATTTGAGATGTGTGTACTCAACTAAGAGAATTGAACCACCGTTTTGAAGGAGCAGTTTTGAAACACTCTTTTTCTGGAATCTGCAAGAGTATATTTGCCTAGCCTTGAGGATTTCGTTGGAAACGGGATTGTCTTCAGAGAAAATCTAGACAGAAGCATTCTCAGAAACTTCTTTGGGATGCTTGCATTCAAGTCACAGAGTAGAACATTCCCTTTGGTAGAGCAGGTTTGAAACACTCTTTTTGTAGTATCTGGAAGTGGACATTTGGAGCGCTTTCAGGCCTACGTTGGAAAAGGAAATATCTTCCCATAACAACTAGACAGAAGCATTCTCAGAAACTAGTTTCTGATGTGTGTCCTCAACTAACACAGTTGAACATTTCTTTAGACAGAACAGTTTTGAAACACTCTTTTTGTGGAATCTGCAAGTGGCTATTTGGCTAGATTTGAGGATTTCGTTGGAAACGGGATTACATATAAAAAGCAGTCAGCGGCATTCTCAGAAAGTTCTTTGTGATGATTGCATTCAAGTCACAGAATTGAACATTCCCTTTCACAGAGCAGGTTTGAAACACTCTTTTTGTAGTGTGTGTAAGTGGACATTTGGAGCACTTACCGGCCTAAGGTGAAAAAGGAAATATCTTCCCATAAAAACTAGACAGAAGCATTCTCAGAAACTTACTCGTGATGTGTGTCCTCAACTAAAGGAGTAGAACCTTTCTTTTCATAGAGAAGTTTTGAAACGCTCTTTTTGTGGAATCTGCAAGTGGATATTTGGCTAGTTTTGAGGATTTCGTTGGAAGCGGGAATTCATACAAATTGCAGACTGCAGCGTTCTGAGAAACATCTTTGTGATGTTTGTATTCAGGACACAGAGTTGAACATTCCCTATCATAGAGCAGGTTTGAATCACTCCTTTTGTAGTATCTGGAAGTGGACATTTGGAGCGCTTTCAGGCCTATGTTGGAAAAGGAAATATCTTCCCATAACAACTAGACAGAAGCATTCTCAGAAACTTATTTGAGATGTGTCTACTCAACTAAGAGAATTGAACCACCGTTTTGAAGGAGCAGTTTTGAAACACTCTTTTTGTGGAATCTGCAAGTGGATATTTGGCTAGCTTTGGGGATTTCGCTGGAAGCGGGAATACATATAAAAAGCACACAGCAGCGTTCTGAGAAACTGCTTTCTGATGTTTGCATTCAAGTCAAAAGTTGAACACTCCCTTTCATAGAGCAGTCTTGAAACACCCCTTTTGTAGTATCTGGAACTGGAAATTTGGAGCGCTTTCAGGGCTAAGGTGAAAAAGGAAATATCTTCCCATAAAAACTGGACAGAAGCATTCTCAGAAACTTGTTTATGCTGTATCTACTCAACTAACAAAGTTGAACCTTTCTTTTGATAGAGCAGTTTTGAAATGCTCTTTTTGTGGAATCTGCAAGTGGATATTTGGCTAGTTTTGAGGATTTCGTTGGAAGCGGGAATTCATACAAATTGCAGACTGCAGCGTTCTGAGAAACATCTTTGTGATGTTTGTATTCAGGACACAGAGTTGAACATTCCCTATCATAGAGCAGGTTGGGATCACTCCTTTTGTAGTATCTGGAAGTGGACATTTGGAGCGCTTTCAGGCCTATGTTGAAAAAGGAAAAATCTTCCCATAACAACTAGACAGAAGCATTCTCAGAAACTTGTTGGTGATGTGTTTCCTCTACTGACAGAGTTGAACCTTTCTTTTCATAGAGCAGTTTCGAAACACTCTTTTTGTAGAATCTGCAAGAGGATATTTGCCTAGCTTTGAGGATTTCGTTGGAAAAGGGATTGTCTTCAGATCAAATCTAGACAGAAGCATTCTCAGAAACTTCTTTGGGATGTTTGCATTCAAGTCACAGAGTAGAACATTCCCTTTGGTAGAGCAGGTTTGAAACCCTCTTTTTGTAGTATCTGGAAGTGGACATTTGGAGCGCTTTCAGGCCTATGTTGGAAAGGGAAATATCTTCCCGTAACAACTAGGCAGAAGCATTCTCAGAAACTTATTAGAGATGTGTGTACTCAACTAAGAGAATTGAACCACCGTTTTGAAGGAGCAGTTTTGAAACACTCTTTTTCTGGAATCTGCAAGAGGATATTTGCCTAGCTTTGAGGATTTCGTTGGAAACGGGATTGTCTTCAGATCAAATCTAGACAGAAGCATTCTCAGAAACTTCTTTGGGATGTTTGCATTCAAGTCACAGAGTAGAACATTCCCTTTGGTAGAGCAGGTTTGAAACACTCTTTTTTTAGTATATGGAAGTGGACATTTGGAGCGCTTTCAGGCCTACGTTGGAAAAGGAAATATCTTCCCATAACAACTAGACAGAAGCATTCTCAGAAACTAGTTTCTGATGTGTGTCCTCAACTAACACAGTTGAACATTTCTTTAGACAGAACAGTTTTGAAACACTCTTTTTGTGGAATCTGCAAGTGGCTATTTGGCTAGATTTGAGGATTTCGTTGGAAACGGGATTACATATAAAAAGCAGACAGCAGCATTCTCAGAAAGTTCTTTGTGATGATTGCATTCAAGTCACAGAATTGAACATTCCCTTTCACAGAGCAGGTTTGAAACACTCTTTTTGTAGTGTGTGTAAGTGGACATTTGGAGCACTTTCCGGCCTAAGGTGAAAAAGGAAATATCTTCCCATAAAAACTAGACAGAAGCATTCTCAGAAACTTACTCGTGATGTGTGTCCTCAACTAAAGGAGTAGAACCTTTCTTTTCATAGAGAAGTTTTGAAACGCTCTTTTTGTGGAATCTGCAAGTGGATATTTGGCTAGTTTGGAGGATTTCGTTGGAAGCGGGAATTCATACAAATTGCAGACTGCAGCGTTCTGAGAAACATCTTTGTGATGTTTGTATTCAGGACACAGAGTTGAACATTCCCTATCATAGAGCAGGTTGGAATCACTCCTTTTGTAGTATCTGGAAGTGGACATTTGGAGCGCTTTCAGGCCTATGTTGGAAAAGGAAATATCTTCCCATAACAACTAGACAGAAGCATTCTCAGAAACTTATTTGAGATGTGTGTACTCAACTAAGAGAATTGAACCACCGTTTTGAAGGAGCAGTTTTGAAACACTCTTTTTCTGGAATCTGCAAGTGGATATTTGGCTAGCTTTGGGGATTTCGCTGGAGGCGGGAATACATATAAAAAGCACACAGCAGCGTTCTGAGAAACTGCTTTCTGATGTTTGCATTCAAGTCAAAAGTTGAACACTCCCTTTCATAGAGCAGTCCTGAAACACTCCTTTTGTAGTATCTGGAACTGGACTTTTGGAGCGCTTTCAGGGCTAAGGTGAAAAAGGAAATATATTCCCATAAAAACTGGACAGAAGCATTCTCAGAAACTTGTTTATGCTGTATCTACTCAACTAACAAAGTTGAACCTTTCTTTTGATAGAGCAGTTTTGAAATGCTCTTTTTGTGGAATCTGCAAGTGGATATTTGGCTAGTTTTGAGGATTTCGTTGGAAGCAGGAATTCATACAAATTGCAGACTGCAGCGTTCTGAGAAACATCTTTGTGATGTTTGTATTCAGGACACAGAGATGAACATTCCCTATCATAGAGCAGGTTGGAATCACTCCTTTTGTAGTATCTGGAAGTGGACATTTGGAGCGCTTTCAGGCCTATGTTGAAAAAGGAAATATTTTCCCATAACAACTAGACACAAGCATTCTCAGAAACTTGTTTGTGATGTGTGCCCTCTACTGACAGAGTTGAACCTTTCTTTTCATAGAGCAGTTTTGAAACACTCTTTTTGTAGAATCCGCAAGAGGATATTTGCATAGCTTTTAGGATTTCGTGGGAAACGGGATTGTCTTCAGGTAAAATCTAGACAGAAGCATTCTCAGAAACTTCTTTGGGATGTTTGCATTCAAGTCACAGAGTAGAACATTCCCTTTGGTAGAGCAGGTTTGAAACACTCTTTTTGTAGTATCTGGAAGTGGACATTTGGAGCGCTTTCAGGCCCATGTTGGAAAGGGAAATATCTTCCCGTAACAACTAGGCGGAAGCATTCTCAGAAACTTATTTGAGATGTGTGTACTCAACGAAGAGAATTGAACCACCGTTTTGAAGGAGCAGTTTTGAAACCCTCTTTTTCTGGAATCTGCAAGAGTATATTTGCCTAGCCTTGAGGATTTCGTTGGAAACGGGATTGTCTTCAGATAAAATCTAGACAGAAGCATTCTCAGAAACTTCTTTGGGATGTTTGCATTCAAGTCACAGAGTAGAACATTCCCTTTGGTAGAGCAGGTTTGAAACACTCTTTTTTTAGTATATGGAAGTGGACATTTGGAGCGCTTTCAGGCCTACGTTGGAAAAGGAAATATCTTCCCATAACAACTAGACAGAAGCATTCTCAGAAACTAGTTTCTGATGTGTGTCCTCAACTAACACAGTTGTACATTTCTTTAGACAGAACAGTTTTGAAACAGTCTTTTTGTGGAATCTGCAAGTGCATATTTGGCCAGATTTGGGGATTTCGTTGGAAACGGGATTACGTATAAAAAGCAGTCAGCAGCATTCTCAGAAAGTTCTTTGTGATGATTGCATTCAAGTCACAGAATTGAACATTCCCTTTCACAGAGCAGGTTTGAAACACTCTTTTTGTAGTGTGTGTAAGTGGACATTTGGAGCGCTTTCAGGCCTAAGGTGAAAAAGGAAATATCTTCCCATAAAAACTAGACAGAAGCATTCTCAGAAACTTACTCGTGATGTGTGTCCTCAACTAAAGGAGTAGAACCTTTCTATTCATAGAGAAGTTTTGAAACGCTCTTTTTGTGGAATCTCCAAGTGGATATTTGGCTAGTTTTGAGGATTTCATTGGAAGCGGGAATTCACACAAATTGCAGACTGCAGCGTTCTGAGAAACATCTTTGTGATGTTTGTATTCAGGACACAGAGATGAACATTCCCTATCATAGAGCAGGTTGGAATCACTCCTTTTGTAGTATCTGGAAGTGGACATTTGGAGCGCTTTCAGGCCTATGTTGAAAAAGGAAATATCTTCCCATAACAACTAGACACAAGCATTCTCAGAAACTTGTTTGTGATGTGTGCCCTCTACTGACAGAGTTGAACCTTTCTTTTCATAGAGCAGTTTTGAAACACTCTTTTTGTAGAATCTGCAAGAGGATATTTGCATAGCTTTGAGGATTTCGTGGGAAACGGGATTGTCTTCAGGTAAAATCTAGACAGAAGCATTCTCAGAAACTTCTTTGGGATGTTTGCATTCAAGTCACAGTAGTAGAACATTCCCTTTGGTAGAGTAGGTTTGAAACACTCTTTTTGTAGTATCTGGAAGTGGACATTTGGAGCGCTTTCAGGCCTATGTTGGAAAGGGAAATATCTTCCCGTAACAACTAGGCAGAAGCATTCTCAGAAACTTATTTGAGATGTGTGTATTCAACTAAGAGAATTGAACCACCGTTTTGAAGGAGCAGTTTTGAAACACTCTTTTTCTGGAATCTGAAAGAGGATATTTGCCTAGCCTTGAGGATTTCGTTGGAAACGGGATTGTCTTCAGATCAAATCTAGACAGAAGCATTCTCAGAAACTTCTTTGGGATGTTTGCATTCAAGTCACAGAGTAGAACATTCCCTTTGGTAGAGCAGGTTTGAAACACTCTTTTTTTAGTATATGGAAGTGGACATTTGGAGCGCTTTCAGGCCTACGTTGGAAAAGGAAATATCTTCCCATAACAACTAGACAGAAGCATTCTCAGAAACTAGTTTCTGATGTGTGTCCTCAACTAACACAGTTGTACATTTCTTTACACAGAACAGTTTTGAAACACTCTTTTTGTGGAATCTGCAAGTGGATATTGGGCTAGATTTGAGGATTTCGTTGGAAACGGGATTACATATAAAAAGCAGTCAGCAGCATTCTCAGAAAGTTCTTTGTGATGATTGCATTCAAGTCACAGAATTGAACATTCCCTTTCACAGAGCAGGTTTGAAACACTCTTTTTGTAGTGTGTGTAAGTGGACATTTGGAGCACTTACCGGCCTAAGGTGAAAAAGGAAATATCTTCCCATAAAAACTAGACAGAAGCATTCTCAGAAACTTACTCGTGATGTGTGTCCTCAACTAAAGGAGTAGAACCTTTCTTTTCATAGAGAAGTTTTGAAACGCTCTTTTTGTGGAATCTGCAAGTGGATATTTGGCTAGTTTGGAGGATTTCGTTGGAAGCGGGAATTCATACAAATTGCAGACTGCAGCGTTCTGAGAAACATCTTTGTGATGTTTGTATTCAGGACACAGAGTTGAACATTCCCTATCATAGAGCAGGTTTGAATCACTCCTTTTGTAGTATCTGGAAGAGGACATTTGGAGCGCTTTCAGGCCTATGTTGGAAAAGGAAATATCTTCCCATAACAACTAGACAGAAGCATTCTCAGAAACTTATTTGAGATGTGTGTACTCAACTAAGAGAATTGAACCACCGTTTTGAAGGAGCAGTTTTGAAACACTCTTTTTCTGGAATCTGCAAGTGGATATTTGGCTAGCTTTGGGGATTTCGCTGGAGGCGGGAATACATATAAAAAGCACACAGCAGCGTTCTGAGAAACTGCTTTCTGATGTTTGCATTCAAGTCAAAAGTTGAACACTCCCTTTCATAGAGCAGTCCTGAAACACTCCTTTTGTAGTATCTGGAACTGGACTTTTGGAGCGCTTTCAGGGCTAAGGTGAAAAAGGAAATATCTTCCCATAAAAACTGGACAGAAGCATTCTCAGAAACTTGTTTATGCTGTATCTACTCAACTAACAAAGTTGAACCTTTCTTTTGATAGAGCAGTTTTGAAATGCTCTTTTTGTGGAATCTGCAAGTGGATATTTGGCTAGTTTTGAGGATTTCGTTGGAAGCGGGAATTCATACAAATTGCAGACTGCAGCGTTCTGAGAAACATCTTTGTGATGTTTGTATTCAGGACAGAGAGTTGAACATTCCCTATCATAGAGCAGGTTGGAATCACTCCTTTTGTAGTATCTGGAAGTGGACATTTGGAGCGCTTTCTGGCCTATGTTGAAAAAGGAAATATCTTCCCATAACAACTAGACACAAGCATTCTCAGAAACTTGTTTGTGATGTGTGCCCTCTACTGACAGAGTTGAACCTTTCTTTTCATAGAGCAGTTTTGAAACACTCTTTTTGTAGAATCTGCAAGAGGATATTTGCATAGCTTTGAGGATTTCGTGGGAAACGGGATTGTCTTCAGGTAAAATCTAGACAGAAGCATTCTCAGAAACTTCTTTGGGATGTTTGCATTCAAGTCACAGAGCAGAACATTCCCTTTGGTAGAGCAGGTTTGAAACACTCTTTTTGTAGTATCTGGAAGTGGACATTTGGAGCGCTTTCAGGCCTATGTTGGAAAGGGAAATATCTTCCCGTAACAACTAGGCAGAAGCACTCTCAGAAACTTATTTGAGATGTGTGTACTCAACTAAGAGAATTGAACCACCGTTTTGAAGGAGCAGTTTTGAAACACTCTTTTTCTGGAATCTGCAAGAGGATATTTGCCTAGCCTTGAGGATTTCGTTGGAAACGGGATTGTCTTCAGATCAAATCTAGACAGAAGCATTCTCAGAAACTTCTTTGGGATGTTTGCATTCAAGTCACAGAGTAGAACATTCCCTTTGGTAGAGCAGGTTTGAAACACTCTTTTTTTAGTATATGGAAGTGGACATTTGGAGCGCTTTCAGGCCTACGTTGGAAAAGGAAATATCTTCCCATAACAACTAGACAGAAGCATTCTCAGAAACTAGTTTCTGATGTGTGTCCTCAACTAACACAGTTGAACATTTCTTTAGACAGAACAGTTTTGAAACACTCTTTTTGTGGAATCTGCAAGTGGCTATTTGGCTAGATTTGAGGATTTCGTTGGAAACGGGATTACATATAAAAAGCAGACAGCAGCATTCTCAGAAAGTTCTTTGGGATGATTGCATTCAAGTCACAGAATTGAACATTCCCTTTCACAGAGCAGGTTTGAAACACTCTTTTTGTAGTGTGTGTAAGTGGACATTTGGAGCGCTTTCCGGCCTAAGGTGAAAAAGGAAATATCTTCCCATAAAAACTAGACAGAAGCATTCTCAGAAACTTACTCGTGATGTGTGTCCTCAACTAAAGGAGTAGAACCTTTCTATTCATAGAGAAGTTTTGAAACGCTCTTTTTGTGGAATCTCCAAGTGGATATTTGGCTAGTTTTGAGGATTTCGTTGGAAGAGGGAATTCATACAAATTGCAGACTGCAGCGTTCTGAGAAACATCTTTGTGATGTTTGTATTCAGGACACAGAGATGAACATTCCCTATCATAGAGCATGTTGGAATCACTCCTTTTGTAGTATCTGGAAGTGGACATTTGGAGCGCTTTCAGGCCTATGTTGAAAAAGGAAATATCTTCTCATAACAACTAGACACAAGCATTCTCAGAAACTTGTTTGTGATGTGTGCCCTCTACTGACAGAGTTGAACCTTTCTTTTCATAGAGCAGTTTTGAAACACTCTTTTTGTAGAATCCGCAAGAGGATATTTGCATAGCTTTGAGGATTTCGTGGGAAACGGGATTGTCTTCAGGTAAAATCTAGACAGAAGCATTCTCAGAAACTTCTTTGGGATGTTTGCATTCAAGTCACAGAGTAGAACATTCCCTTTGGTAGAGCAGGTTTGAAACACTCTTTTTGTAGTATCTGGAAGTGGACATTTGGAGCGCTTTCAGGCCCATGTTGGAAAGGGAAATATCTTCCCGTAACAACTAGGCAGAAGCATTCTCAGAAACTTATTTGAGATGTGTGTACTCAACTAAGAGAACTGAACCACCGTTTTGAAGGAGCAGTTTTGAAACACTCTTTTTCTGGAATCTGCAAGAGTATATTTGCCTAGCCTTGAGGATTTCGTTGGAAACGGGATTGTCTTCAGATAAAATCTAGACAGAAGCATTCTCAGAAACTTCTTTGGGATGTTTGCATTCAAGTCACAGAGTAGAACATTCCCTTTGGTAGAGCAGGTTTGAAACACTCTTTTTGTAGTATATGGAAGTGGACATTTGGAGCGCTTTCAGGCCTACGTTGGAAAAGGAAATATCTTCCCATAACAACTAGACAGAAGCATTCTCAGAAACTAGTTTCTGATGTGTGTCCTCAACTAACACAGTTGTACATTTCTTTAGACAGAACAGTTTTGAAACACTCTTTTTGTGGAATCTGCAAGTGGATATTGGGCTAGATTTGAGGATTTCGTTGGAAACGGGATTACATATAAAAAGCAGTCAGCAGCATTCTCAGAAAGTTCTTTGTGATGATTGCATTCAAGTCACAGAATTGAACATTCCCTTTCACAGAGCAGGTTTGAAACACTCTTTTTGTAGTGTGTGTAAGTGGACATTTGGAGCGCTTTCCGGCCTAAGGTGAAAAAGGAAATATCTTCCCATAAAAACTAGACAGAAGCATTCTCAGAAACTTACTCGTGATGTGTGTCCTCAACTAAAGGAGTAGAACCTTTCTATTCATAGAGAAGTTTTGAAACGCTCTTTTTGTGGAATCTCCAAGTGGATATTTGGTTAGTTTTGAGGATTTCGTTGGAAGCGGGAATTCATACAAATTGCAGACTGCAGCGTTCTGAGAATCATCTTTGTGATGTTTGTATTCAGGACACAGAGATGAACATTCCCTATCATAGAGTAGGTTGGAATCACTCCTTTTGTAGTATCTGGAAGTGGACATTTGGAGCGCTTTCAGTCCTATGTTGAAAAAAGAAATATCTTCCCATAACAACTAGACACAAGCATTCTCAGAAACTTGTTTGTGATGTGTGCCCTCTACTGACAGAGTTGAACCTTTCTTTTCATAGAGCAGTTTTGAAACACTCTTTTTGTAGAATCTGCAAGAGGACATTTGCATAGCTTTGAGGATTCCGTGGGAAACGGGATTGTCTTCAGGTAAAATCTAGACAGAAGCATTCTCAGAAACTTCTTTGGGATGTTTGCATTCAAGTCACAGAGTAGAACATTCCCTTTGGTAGAGCAGGTTTGAAACACTCTTTTTGTAGTATCTGGAAGTGGACATTTGGAGCACTTTCAGGCCCATGTTGGAAAGGGAAATATCTTCCCGTAACAACTAGGCAGAAGCATTCTCTGAAACTTTTTTGAGATGTGTGTACGCAACTAAGAGAATTGAACCACCGTTTTGAAGGAGCAGTTTTGAAACACTCTTTTTCTGGAATCTGCTAGACGATATTTGCCTAGCCTTGAGGATTTCGTTGGAAACGGGATTGTCTTCAGATAAAATCTAGACAGAAAGCATTCTCAGAAACTTCTTTGGGATGTTTGTATTCAAGTCACAGAGTAGAACATTCCCTTTGGTAGAGCAGGTTTGAAACACTCTTTTTTTAGTATATGGAAATGGACATTTGGAGCGCTTTCAGGCCTACGTTGGAAAAGGAAATATCTTCCCATAACAACTAGACAGAAGCATTCTCAGAAACTAGTTTCTGATGTGTGTCCTCAACTAACACAGTTGAACTTTTCTTTAGACAGAACAGTTTTGAAACACTCTTTTTGTGGAATCTGCAAGTGGCTATTTGGCTAGATTTGAGGATTTCGTTGGAAACGGGATTACATATAAAAAGCAGTCAGCAGCATTCTCAGAAAGTTCTTTGTGATGATTGCATTCAAGTCACAGAATTGAACATTCCCTTTCACAGAGCAGGTTTGAAACACTCTTTTTGTAGTGTGTGTAAGTGGACATTTGGAGCGCTTTCCGGCCTAAGGTGAAAAAGGAAATATCTTCCCATAAAAACTAGACTAGAAGCATTCTCAGAAACTTACTCGTGATGTGTGTACTCAAGTAAAGGAGTAGAAACTTTCTTTTCATAGAGAAGTTTTGAAACGCTCTTTTTGTGGAATCTGCAAGTGGATATTTGGCTAGTTTTGAGGATTTCGTTGGAAGCGGGAATTCATACAAATTGCAGACTGCAGCGTTCTGAGAAACATCTTTGTGATGTTTGTATTCAGGACACAGAGTTGAACATTCCCTATCATAGAGCAGGTTTGAATCACTCCTTTTGTAGTATCTGGAAGTGGACATTTGGAGCGCTTTCAGGCCTATGTTGGAAAAGGAAATATCTTCCCATAACAAATGGACAGAAGCATTCTCAGAAACTTATTTGTGATGTGTGTCCTCAACTGACAGAGTTGAACATTTCTTTTGAGAGAGGAGTTTTGAAACACTCTTTTTGTGGAATCTGCAAGTGGATATTTGGCTGGCTTTGAGGATTTCGTTGGAAACGGGAATACATATAAAAAGCAGACAGCAGCGTTCTGAGAAACTTCTTGGTGATGTTTGCATTCAAGTCAAAAGTTGAACACTCCCTTTCATAGAGCAGTCTTGAAACTCCCCTTTTGTGGTATCTGGAAGTGGACATTTGGAGTGCTTTCAGGGCTAAGGTGAAAAAGGAAATATCTTCCCATAAAAACTGGACAGAAGCATTCTCAGAAACTTGTTTATGCTGTATCTACTCAGCTAACAAAGTTGAACCTTTCTTTTGATAGAGCAGTTTTGAAATGCTCTTTTTGTGGAGTCTGCAAGTGGATATTTGGTTAGTTTTGAGGATTGCGTTGGAAGCGGGAATTCATACAAATTGCAGACTGCAGCGTTCTGAGAAACATCTTTGTGATGTTTGTATTCAGGACACAGAGTTGAACATTCCCTATCATAGAGCAGGTTTGAATCACTCCTTTTGTAGTATCTGGAAGTGGACATTTGGAGCGCTTTCCGGCCTCAGGTGAAAAAGGAAATATCTTCCCATAAAAACTAGGCAGAAAGCATTCTCAGAAACTTATTTGAGATGTGTGTACTCAACTAAGAGAATTGAACCACCGTTTTGAAGGAGCAGTTTTGAAACACTCTTTTTCTGGAATCTGCAAGTGGATATTTGGCTAGCTTTGGGGATTTCGCTGGAGGCGGGAATACATATAAAAAGCACACAGCAGCGTTCTGAGAAACTGCTTTCTGATGTTTGCATTCAAGTCAAAAGTTGAACACTCCCTTTCATAGAGCAGTCTTGAAACACCCCTTTTGTAGTATCTGGAACTGGACTTTTGGAGCGATTTCAGGGCTAAGGTGAAAAAGGAAATATCTTCCCATAAAAACTGGACAGAAGCATTCTCAGAAACTTGTTTATGCTGTATCTACTCAACTAACAAAGTTGAACCTTTCTTTTGATAGAGCAGTTTTGAAATGGTCTTTTTGTGGAATCTGCAAGTGGATATTTGGCTAGTTTTGAGGATTTCGTTGGAAGCGGGAATTCATAAAAATTGCAGACTGCAGCGTTCTGAGAAACATCTTTGTGATGTTTGTATTCAGGACACAGAGTTGAACATTCCCTATCATAGAGCAGGTTGGAATCACTCCTTTTGTAGTATCTGGAAGTGGACATTTGGAGCGCTTTCAGGCCTATTTTGGAAAGGGAAATATCTTCCCGTAACAACTATGCAGAAGCATTCTCAGAAACTTGTTTGTGATGTGTGCCCTCTACTGACAGAGTTGAACCTTTCTTTTCATAGAGCAGTTTTGAAACACTCTTTTTGTAGAATCTGCAAGAGGATATTTGCATAGCTTTGAGGATTTCGTGGGAAACGGGATTGTCTTCAGGTAAAATCTAGACAGAAGCATTCTCAGAAACTTCTTTGGGATGTTTGCATTCAAGTCACAGAGTAGAACATTCCCTTTGGTAGAGCAGGTTTGAAACACTCTTTTTGTAGTATCTGGAAGTGGACATTTGGAGCGCTTTCAGGCCCATGTTGGAAAGGGAAATATCTTCCCGTAACAACTAGGCAGAAGCATTCTCAGAAACTTATTTGAGATGTGTGTACTCAACTAAGAGAATTGAACCACCGTTTTGAAGGAGCAGTTTTGAAACCCTCTTTTTCTGGAATCTGCAAGAGTATATTTGCCTAGCCTTGAGGATTTCGTTGGAAACGGGATTGTCTTCAGATAAAATCTAGACAGAAGCATTCTCAGAAACTTCTTTGGGATGTTTGCATTCAAGTCACAGAGTAGAACATTCCCTTTGGTAGAGCAGGTTTGAAACACTCTTTTTTTAGTATATGGAAGTGGACATTTGGAGCGCTTTCAGGCCTACGTTGGAAAAGGAAATATCTTCCCATAACAACTAGACAGAAGCATTCTCAGAAACTAGTTTCTGATGTGTGTCCTCAACTAACACAGTTGTACATTTCTTTAGACAGAACAGTTTTGAAACACTCTTTTTGTGGAATCTGCAAGTGGATATTGGGCTAGATTTGAGGATTTCGTTGGAAACGGGATTACATATAAAAAGCAGTCAGCAGCATTCTCAGAAAGTTCTTTGTGATGATTGCATTCAAGTCACAGAATTGAACATTCCCTTTCACAGAGCAGGTTTGAAACACTCTTTTTGTAGTGAGTGTAAGTGGACATTTGGAGCGCTTTCCGGCCTAAGGTGAAAAAGGAAATATCTTCCCATAAAAACTAGACAGAAGCATTCTCAGAAACTTACTCGTGATGTGTGTCCTCAACTAAAGGAGTAGAACCTTTCTATTCATAGAGAAGTTTTCAAACGCTCTTTTTGTGGAATCTCCAAGTGGATATTTGGCTAGTTTTGAGGATTTCGTTGGAAGCGGGAATTCATACAAATTGCAGACTGCAGCGTTATGAGAAACATCTTTGTGATGTTTGTATTCAGGACACAGAGATGAACATTCCCTATCATAGAGCAGGTTGGAATCACTCCTTTTGTAGTATCTGGAAGTGGACATTTGGAGCGCTTTCAGGCCTATGTTGAAAAAGGAAATATCTTCCCATAACAACTAGACACAAGCATTCTCAGAAACTTGTTTGTGATGTGTGCCCTCTACTGACAGAGTTGAACCTTTCTTTTCATAGAGCAGTTTTGAAACACTCTTTTTGTAGAATCTGCAAGAGGATATTTGCATAGCTTTGAGGATTTCGTGGGAAACGGGATTGTCTTCAGGTAAAATCTAGACAGAAGCATTCTCAGAAACTTCTTTGGGATGTTTGCATTCAAGTCACAGAGTAGAACATTCCCTTTGGTAGAGCAGGTTTGAAACCCTCTTTTTGTAGTATCTGGAAGTGGACATTTGGAGCGCTTTCAGGCCCATGTTGGAAAGGGAAATATCTTCCCGTAACAACTAGGCAGAAGCATTCTCAGAAACTTATTTGAGATGTGTGTACTCAACTAAGAGAATTTAACCAACGTTTTGAAGGAGCAGTTTTGAAAAACTCTTTTTCTGGAATCTGCAAGAGTATATTTGCCTAGCCGTGAGAATTTCGTTGGAAACGGGATTGTCTTCAGATAAAATCTAGACAGAAGCATTCTCAGAAACTTCTTTGGGATGTTTGCATTCAAGTCACAGAGTAGAACATTCCCTTTGGTAGAGCAGGTTTGAAACACTCTTTTTTTAGTATATGGAAGTGGACATTTGGAGCGCTTTCAGGCCTACGTTGGAAAAGGAAATATCTTCCCATAACAACTAGACAGAAGCATTCTCAGAAACTAGTTTCTGATGTGTGTCCTCAACTAACACAGTTGAACTTTTCTTTAGACAGAACAGTTTTGAAACACTCTTTTTGTGGAATCTGCAAGTGGATATTTGGCTAGATTTGAGGATTTCGTTGGAAACGGGATTACATATAAAAAGCAGACAGCAGCATTCTCAGAAAGTTCTGTGTGATGATTGCATTCAAGTCACAGAATTGAACATTCCCTTTCACAGAGCAGGTTTGAAACACTCTTTTTGTAGTGTGTGTAAGTGGACATTTGGAGCGCTTTCCGGCCTAAGGTGAAAAAGGAAATATCTTCCCATAAAAACTAGACAGAAGCATTCTCAAAAACTTACTCGTGATGTGTGTCCTCAACTAAAGGAGTAGAACCTTTCTATTCATAGAGAAGTTTTGAAACGCTCTTTTTGTGGAATCTCCAAGTGGATATTTGGCTAGTTTTGAGGATTTCGTTGGAAGCGGGAATTCATACAAATTGCAGACTGCAGCGTTCTGAGAAACATCTTTGTGATGTTTGTATTCAGGACACAGAGATGAACATTCCCTATCATAGAGCAGGTTGGAATCACTCCTTTTGTAGTATCTGGAAGTGGACATTTGGAGCGCTTTCAGGCCTATGTTGAAAAAGGAAATATCTTCCCATAACAACTAGACACAAGCATTCTCAGAAACTTGTTTGTGATGTGTGCCCTCTACTGACAGAGTTGAACCTTTCTTTTCATAGAGCAGTTTTGAAACACTCTTTTTGTAGAATCTGCAAGAGGATATTTGCATAGCTTTGAGGATTTCGTGGGAAACGTGATTGTCTTCAGGTAAAATCTAGACAGAAGCATTCTCAGAAACTTCTTTGGGATGTTTGCATTCAAGTCACAGAGTAGAACATTCCCTTTGGTAGAGCAGGTTTGAAACCCACTTTTTGTAGTATCTGGAAGTGGACATTTTGAGCGCATTCAGGCCCATGTTGGAAAGGGAAATATCTTCCCGTAACAACTAGGCAGAAGCATTCTCAGAAACTTATTTGAGATGTGTGTACTCAACTAAGAGAATTGAACCACCGTTTTGAAGGAGCAGTTTTGAAACACTCTTTTTCTGGAATCTGCAAGAGTATATTTGCCTAGCCTTGAGGATTTCGTTGGAAACGGGATTGTCTTCAGAGAAAATCTAGACAGAAGCATTCTCAGAAACTTCTTTGGGATGCTTGCATTCAAGTCACAGAGTAGAACATTCCCTTTGGTAGAGCAGGTTTGAAACACTCTTTTTGTAGTATCTGGAAGTGGACATTTGGAGCGCTTTCAGGCCTACGTTGGAAAAGGAAATATCTTCCCATAACAACTAGACAGAAGCATTCTCAGAAACTAGTTTCTGATGTGTGTCCTCAACTAACACAGTTGAACATTTCTTTAGACAGAACAGTTTTGAAACACTCTTTTTGTGGAATCTGCAAGTGGCTATTTGGCTAGATTTGAGGATTTCGTTGGAAACGGGATTACATATAAAAAGCAGTCAGCAGCATTCTCAGAAAGTTCTTTGTGATGATTGCATTCAAGTCACAGAATTGAACATTCCCTTTCACAGAGCAGGTTTGAAACACTCTTTTTGTAGTGTGTGTAAGTGGACATTTGGAGCACTTACCGGCCTAAGGTGAAAAAGGAAATATCTTCCCATAAAAACTAGACAGAAGCATTCTCAGAAACTTACTCGTGATGTGTGTCCTCAACTAAAGGAGTAGAACCTTTCTTTTCATAGAGAAGTTTTGAAACGCTCTTTTTGTGGAATCTGCAAGTGGATATTTGGCTAGTTTTGAGGATTTCGTTGGAAGCGGGAATTCATACAAATTGCAGACTGCAGCGTTCTGAGAAACATCTTTGTGATGTTTGTATTCAGGACACAGAGTTGAACATTCCCTATCATAGAGCAGGTTTGAATCACTCCCTTTGTAGTATCTGGAAGTGGACATTTGGAGCGCTTTCAGGCCTATGTTGGAAAAGGAAATATCTTCCCATAACAACTAGACAGAAGCATTCTCAGAAACTTATTTGAGATGTGTGTACTCAACTAAGAGAATTGAACCACCGTTTTGAAGGAGCAGTTTTGAAACTCTCTTTTTCTGGAATCTGCAAGTGGATATTTGGCTAGCTTTGGGGATTTCGCTGGAAGCGGGAATACATATAAAAAGCACACAGCAGCGTTCTGAGAAACTGCTTTCTGATGTTTGCATTCAAGTCAAAAGTTGAACACTCCCTTTCATAGAGCAGTCTTGAAACACCCCTTTTGTAGTATCTGGAACTGGACTTTTGGAGCGATTTCAGGGCTAAGGTGAAAAAGGAAATATCTTCCCATAAAAACTGGACAGAAGCATTCTCAGAAACTTGTTTATGCTGTATCTACTCAACTAACAAAGTTGAACCTTTCTTTTGATAGAGCAGTTTTGAAATGGTCTTTTTGTGGAATCTGCAAGTGGATATTTGGCTAGTTTTGAGGATTTCGTTGGAAGCGGGAATTCATACAAATTGCAGACTGCAGCGTTCTGAGAAACATCTTTGTGATGTTTGTATTCAGGACACAGAGTTGAACATTCCCTATCATAGAGCAGGTTGGAATCACTCCTTTTGTAGTATCTGGAAGTGGACATTTGGAGCGCTTTCAGGCCTATTTTGGAAAGGGAAATATCTTCCCGTAACAACTATGCAGAAGCATTCTCAGAAACTTGTTTGTGATGTGTGCCCTCTACTGACAGAGTTGAACCTTTCTTTTCATAGAGCAGTTTTGAAACACTCTTTTTGTAGAATCTGCAAGAGGATATTTGCATAGCTTTGAGGATTTCGTGGGAAACGGGATTGTCTTCAGGTAAAATCTAGACAGAAGCATTCTCAGAAACTTCTTTGGGATGTTTGCATTCAAGTCACAGAGTAGAACATTCCCTTTGGTAGAGCAGGTTTGAAACACTCTTTTTGTAGTATCTGGAAGTGGACATTTGGAGCGCTTTCAGGCCCATGTTGGAAAGGGAAATATCTTCCCGTAACAACTAGGCAGAAGCATTCTCAGAAACTTATTTGAGATGTGTGTACTCAACTAAGAGAATTGAACCACCGTTTTGAAGGAGCAGTTTTGAAACACTCTTTTTCTGGAATCTGCAAGAGTATATTTGCCTAGCCTTGAGGATTTCGTTGGAAACGGGATTGTCTTCAGAGAAAATCTAGACAGAAGCATTCTCAGAAACTTCTTTGGGATGTTTGCATTCAAGTCACAGAGTAGAACATTCCCTTTGGTAGAGCAGGTTTGAAACACTCTTTTTTTAGTATATGGAAGTGGACATTTGGATCGCTTTCAGGCCTACGTTGGAAAAGGAAATATCTTCCCATAACAACTAGACAGAAGCATTCTCAGAAACTAGTTTCTGATGTGTGTCCTCAACTAACACAGTTGAACATTTCTTTAGACAGAACAGTTTTGAAACACTCTTTTTGTGGAATCTGCAAGTGGCTATTTGGCTAGATTTGAGGATTTCGTTGGAAACGGGATTACATATAAAAAGCAGTCAGCAGCAGTCTCAGAAAGTTCTTTTTGATGATTGCATTCAAGTCACAGAATTGAACATTCCCTTTCACAGAGCAGGTTTGAAACACTCTTTTTGTAGTGTGTGTAAGTGGACATTTGGAGCACTTTCCGGCCTAAGGTGAAAAAGGAAATATCTTCCCATAAAAACTAGACAGAAGCATTCTCAGAAACTTACTCGTGATGTGTGTCCTCAACTAAAGGTGTAGAACCTTTCTTTTCATAGAGAAGTTTTGAAACGCTCTTTTTGTGGAATCTGCAAGTGGATATTTGGCTAGTTTTGAGGATTTCGTTGGAAGCGGGAATTCATACAAATTGCAGACTGCAGCGTTCTGAGAAACATCTTTGTGATGTTTGTATTCAGGACACAGAGTTGAACATTCCCTATCATAGAGCAGGTTTGAATCACTCCTTTTGTAGTATCTGGAAGTGGACATTTGGAGCGCTTTCAGGCCTATGTTGGAAAAGGAAATATCTTCCCATAACAACTAGACAGAAGCATTCTCAGAAACTTATTTGAGATGTGTGTACTCAACTAAGAGAATTGAACCACCGTTTTGAAGGAGCAGTTTTGAAACTCTCTTTTTCTGGAATCTGCAAGTGGATATTTGGCTAGCTTTGGGGATTTCGCTGGAAGCGGGAATACATATAAAAAGCACACAGCAGCGTTCTGAGAAACTGCTTTCTGATGTTTGCATTCAAGTCAAAAGTTGAACACTCCCTTTCATAGAGCAGTCTTGAAACACCCCTTTTGTAGTATCTGGAACTGGACTTTTGGAGCGATTTCAGGGCTAAGGTGAAAAAGGAAATATCTTCCCATAAAAACTGGACAGAAGCATTCTCAGAAACTTGGTTATGCTGTATCTACTCAACTAACAAAGTTGAACCTTTCTTTTGATAGAGCAGTTTTGAAATGGTCTTTTTGTGGAATCTGCAAGTGGATATTTGGCTAGTTTTGAGGATTTCGTTGGAAGCGGGAATTCATACAAATTGCAGACTGCAGCGTTCTGAGAAACATCTTTGTGATGTTTGTATTCAGGACACAGAGTTGAACATTCCCTATCATAGAGCAGGTTGGAATCACTCCTTTTGTAGTATCTGGAAGTGGACATTTGGAGCGCTTTCAGGCCTATTTTGGAAAGGGAAATATCTTCCCGTAACAACTATGCAGAAGCATTCTCAGAAACTTGTTTGTGATGTGTGCCCTCTACTGACAGAGTTGAACCTTTCTTTTCATAGAGCTGTTTTGAAACACTCTTTTTGTAGAATCTGCAAGAGGATATTTGCATAGCTTTGAGGATTTCGTGGGAAACGGGATTGTCTTCAGGTAAAATCTAGACAGAAGCATTCTCAGAAACTTCTTTGGGATGTTTGCATTCAAGTCACAGAGTAGAACATTCCCTTTGGTAGAGCAGGTTTGAAACACTCTTTTTGTAGTATCTGGAAGTGGACATTTGGAGCGCTTTCAGGCCCATGATGGAAAGGGAAATATCTTCCCGTAACAACTAGGCAGAAGCATTCTCAGAAACTTATTTGAGATGTGTGTACTCAACTAAGAGAATTGAACCACCGTTTTGAAGGAGCAGTTTTGAAACACTCTTTTTCTGGAATCTGCAAGAGTATATCTTCCTAGCTTTGTGGATTTCGTTGGAAACGGGATTGTCTTCAGATAAAATCTAGACAGAAGCATTCTCAGAAACTTCTTTGGGATGTTTGCATTCAAGTCACAGAGTAGAACATTCCCTTTGGTAGAGCAGGTTTGAAACACTCTTTTTTTAGTATATGGAAGTGGACATTTTGATCGCTTTCAGGCCTACGTTGGAAAAGGAAATATCTTCCCATAACAACTAGACAGAAGCATTCTCAGAAACTAGTTTCTGATGTGTGTCCTCAACTAACACAGTTGAACATTTCTTTAGACAGAACAGTTTTGAAACACTCTTTTTGTGGAATCTGCAAGTGGCTATTTGGCTAGATTTGAGGATTTCGTTGGAAACGGGATTACATATAAAAAGCAGTCAGCAGCATTCTCAGAAAGTTCTTTGTGATGATTGCATTCAAGTCACAGAATTGAACATTCCCTTTCACAGAGCAGGTTTGAAACACTCTTTTTGTAGTGTGTGTAAGTGGACATTTGGAGCACTTACCGGCCTAAGGTGAAAAAGGAAATATCTTCCCATAAAAACTAGACAGAAGCATTCTCAGAAACTTACTCGTGATGTGTGTCCTCAACTAAAGGAGTAGAACCTTTCTTTTCATAGAGAAGTTTTGAAACGCTCTTTTTGTGGAATCTGCAAGTGGATATTTGGCTAGTTTGGAGGATTTCGTTGGAAGCGGGAATTCATACAAATTGCAGACTGCAGCGTTCTGAGAAACATCTTTGTGATGTTTGTATTCAGGACACAGAGTTGAACATTCCCTATCATAGAGCAGGTTGGAATCACTCCTTTTGTAGTATCTGGAAGTGGACATTTGGAGCGCTTTCAGGCCTATGTTGGAAAAGGAAATATCTTCCCATAACAACTAGACAGAAGCATTCTCAGAAACTTATTTGAGATGTGTGTACTCAACTAAGAGAATTGAACCACCGTTTTGAAGGAGCAGTTTTGAAACACTCTTTTTCTGGAATCTGCAAGTGGATATTTGGCTAGCTTTGGGGATTTCGCTGGAAGCGGGAATACATATAAAAAGCACACAGCAGCGTTCTGAGAAACTGCTTTCTGATGTTTGCATTCAAGTCAAAAGTTGAACACTCCCTTTCATAGAGCAGTCCTGAAACACTCCTTTTGTAGTATCTGGAACTGGACTTTTGGAGCGCTTTCAGGGCTAAGGTGAAAAAGGAAATATCTTCCCATAAAAACTGGACAGAAGCATTCTCAGAAACTTGTTTATGCTGTATCTACTCTACTAAAAAAGTTGAACCTTTCTTTTGATAGAGCAGTTTTGAAATGCTCTTTTTGTGGAATCTGCAAGTGGATATTTGGCTAGTTTTGAGGATTTCGTTGGAAGCGGGAATTCATACAAATTGCAGACTGCAGCGTTCTGAGAAACATCTTTGTGATGTTTGTATTCAGGACACAGAGTTGAACATTCCCTATCATAGAGCAGGTTGGAATCACTCCTTTTGTAGTATCTGGAAGTGGACATTTGGAGCGTTTTCAGGCCTATGTTGAAAAAGGAAATATCTTCCCATAACAACTAGACAGAAGCATTCTCAGAAACTTATTTGAGATGTGTGTACTCAACTAAGAGAATTGAACCACCGTTTTGAAGGAGCAGTTTTGAAACACTCTTTTTCTGGAATCTGCAAGTGGATATTTGGCTAGCTTTGGGGATTTCGCTGGAAGCGGGAATACATATAAAAAGCACACAGCAGCGTTCTGAGAAACTGCTTTCTGATGTTTGCATTCAAGTCAAAAGTTGAACACTCCCTTTCATAGAGCAGTCCTGAAACACTCCTTTTGTAGTATCTGGAACTGGACTTTTGGAGCGCTTTCAGGGCTAAGGTGAAAAAGGAAATATCTTCCCATAAAAACTGGACAGAAGCATTCTCAGAAACTTACTCGTATTGTGTGTCCTCAACTAAAGGAGTAGAACCTTTCTTTTCATAGAGAAGTTTTGAAACGCTCTTTTTGTGGAATCTGCAAGTGGATATTTGGCTAGTTTTGAGGATTTCGTTGGAAGCGGGAATTCATACAAATTGCAGACTGCAGCGTTCTGAGAAACATCTTTGTGATGTTTGTATTCAGGACACAGAGATGAACATTCCCTATCATAGAGCAGGTTGGAATCACTCCTTTTGTAGTATCTGGAAGTGGACATTTGGAGCGCTTTCAGGCCTATGTTGAAAAAGGAAATATCTTCCCATAACAACTAGACACAAGCATTCTCAGAAACTTGTTTGTGATGTGTGCCCTCTACTGACAGAGTTGAACCTTTCTTTTCATAGAGCAGTTTTGAAACACTCTTTTTGTAGAATCTGCAAGAGGATATTTGCATAGCTTTGAGGATTTCGTGGGAAACGGGATTGTCTTCAGGTAAAATCTAGACAGAAGCATTCTCAGAAACTTCTTTGGGATGTTTGCATTCAAGTCACAGAGTAGAACATTCCCTTTGGTAGAGCAGGTTTGAAACCCTCTTTTTGTAGTATCTGGAAGTGGACATTCGGAGCGCTATCAGGCCCATGTTGGAAAGGGAAATATCTTCCCGTAACAACTAGGCAGAAGCATTCTCAGAAAGTTATTTGAGATGTGTGTACTCAACTAAGAGAATTGAACCACCGTTTTGAAGGAGCAGTTTTGAAACACTCTTTTTCTGGAATCTGCAAGAGTATATTTGCCTAGCCTTGAGGATTTCGTTGGAAACGGGATTGTCTTCAGATAAAATCTAGACAGAAGCATTCTCAGAAACTTCTTTGGGATGTTTGCATTCAAGTCACAGAGTAGAACATTCCCTTTGGTAGAGCAGGTTTGAAACACTCTTTTTTTAGTATATGGAAGTGGACATTTGGAGCGCTTTCAGGCCTACGTTGGAAAAGGAAATATCTTCCCATAACAACTAGACAGAAGCATTCTCAGAAACTAGTTTCTGATGTGTGTCCTCAACTAACACAGTTGAACATTTCTTTAGACAGAACAGTTTTGAAACACTCTCTTTGTGGAATCTGCAAGTGGATATTTGGCTAGATTTGAGGATTTCCGTTGGAAACGGGATTACATATAAAAAGCAGACAGCAGCATTCTCAGAAACTTCTTTGTGATGATTGTATTCAGGACACAGAGTTGAACATTCCCTATCATAGAGCAGGTTGGAATCACTCCTTTTGTAGTATCTGGAAGTGGACATTTGGAGCGCTTTCAGGCCTATGTTGAAAAAGGAAATATCTTCCCATAACAACTAGGCAGAAGCATTCTCAGAAACTTATTTGAGATGTGTGTACTCAACTAAGAGAATTGAACCACCGTTTTGAAGGAGCAGTTTTGAAACACTCTTTTTCTGGAATCTGCAAGTGGATATTTGGCTAGCTTTGGGGATTTCGCTGGAAGCGGGAATACATATAAAAAGCACACAGCAGCGTTCTGAGAAACTGCTTTCTGATGTTTGCATTCAAGTCAAAAGTTGAACACTCCCTTTCATAGAGCAGTCCTGAAACACTCCTTTTGTAGTATCTGGAACTGGACTTTTGGAGCGCTTTCAGGGCTAAGGTGAAAAAGGAAATATCTTCCCATAAAAACTGGACAGAAGCATTCTCAGAAACTTTTTTATGCTGTATCTACTCAACTAACAAAGTTGAACCTTTCTTTTGATAGAGCAGTTTTGAAATGCTCTTTTTGTGGAATCTGCAAGTGGATATTTGGCTAGTTTTGAGGATTCGTTGGAAGCGGGAATTCATACAAATTGCAGACTGCAGCGTTCTGAGAAACATCTTGGTGATGTTTTATTCAGGACACAGAGTTGGACATTCCCTATCGTAGAGCAGGTTGGAATCACTCCTTTTGTAGTATCTGGAAGTGGACATTTGGAGCGCCTTCAGGCCTATGTTGAAAAAGGAAATATCTTCCCAAAACAACTAGACAGAAGCATTCTCAGAAACTTGTTGGTGATGTGTGCCCTCTACTGACAGAGTTGAACATTTCTTTTCATAGAGCAGTTTCGAAACACTCTTTTTGTAGAATCTGCAAGAGGATATTTGCATAGCTTTGAGGATTTCGTTGGAAACGGGATTGTCTTCAGGTAAAATCTAGACAGAAGCATTCTCAGAAACTTCTTTGGGATGTTTGCATTCAAGTCACAGAGTAGAACATTCCCTTTCGTAGAGCAGGTTTGAAACACTCTTTTTGTAGTATCTGGAAGTGGACATTTGGAGCGCTTTCAGGCCCATGTTGGAAAGGGAAATATCTTCCCGTAACAACTAGGGCAGAAGCATTCTCAGAAACTTATTTGAGATGTGTGTACTCAACTAAGAGAATTGAACCACCGTTTTGAAGGAGCAGTTTTGAAACACTCTTTTTCTGTATTCTGCAAGAATATATTTGCCTAGCCTTGAGGATTTCGTTGGATACGGGATTGTCTTCAGATAAATTCTAGACAGAAGCATTCTCAGAAACTTCTTTGGGATGTTTGCATTCAAGTCACAGAGTAGAACATTCCCTTTGGTAGAGCAGGTTTGAAACACTCTTTTTTTAGTATATGGAAGTGGACATTTGGAGCGCTTTCAGGCCTACGTTGGAAAAGGAAATATCTTCCCATAACAACTAGACAGAAGCATTCTCAGAAACTAGTTTCTGATGTGTGTCCTCAACTAACACAGTTGAACATTTCTTTAGACAGAGTAGCTTTGAAACACTCTCTTTGTGGAATCTGCAAGTGGATATTTGGCTAGATTTGAGCATTTCGTTGGAAACGGGATTACATATAAAAAGCAGACAGCAGCATTCTCAGAAAGTTCTTTGTGATGATTGCATTCAAGTCACAGAATTGAACATTCCCTTTCACAGAGCAGGTTTGAAACACTCTTTTTGTAGTGTGTGTAAGTGGACATTTGGAGCACTTTCCGGCCTAAGGTGAAAAAGGAAATATCTTCCCATAAAAACTAGACAGAAGCATTCTCAGAAACTTACTCGTGATGTGTGTCCTCAACTAAAGGAGTAGAACCTTTGTTTTCATAGAGAAGTTTTGAAACGCTCTTTTTGTGGAATCTGCAAGTGGATATTTGGCTAGTTTGGAGGATTTCGTTGGAAGCGGGAATTCATACAAATTGCAGACTGCAGCGTTCTGAGAAACATCTTTGTGATGTTTGTATTCAGGACACAGAGTTGAACATTCCCTATCATAGAGCAGGTTTGAATCACTCCTTTTGTAGTATCTGGAAGTGGACATTTGGAGCGCTTTCAGGCCTATGTTGGAAAAGGAAATATCTTCCCATAACAACTAGACAGAAGCATTCTCAGAAACTTATTTGAGATGTGTGTACTCAACTAAGAGAATTGAACCACCGTTTTGAAGGAGCAGTTTTGAAACACTCTTTTTCTGGAATCTGCAAGTGGATATTTGGCTAGCTTTGGGGATTTCGCTGGAAGCGGGAATACATATAAAAAGCACACAGCAGCGTTCTGAGAAACTGCTTTCTGATGTTTGCATTCAAGTCAAAAGTTGAACACTCCCTTTCATAGAGCAGTCCTGAAACACTCCTTTTGTAGTATCTGGAACTGGACTTTTGGAGCGCTTTCAGGGCTAAGGTGAAAAAGGAAATATCTTCCCATAAAAACTGGACAGAAGCATTCTCAGAAACTTGTTTATGCTGTATCTACTCAACTAACAAAGTTGAACCTTTCTTTTGATAGAGCAGTTTTGAAATGCTCTTTTTGTGGAATCTGCAAGTGGATATTTGGCTAGTTTTGAGGATTTCGTTGGAAGCGGGAATTCATACAAATTGCAGACTGCAGCGTTCTGAGAAACATCTTTGTGATGTTTGTATTCAGGACAGAGAGTTGAACATTCCCTATCATAGAGCAGGTTGGAATCACTCCTTTTGTAGTATCTGGAAGTGGACATTTGGAGCGCTTTCAGGCCTATGTTGAAAAAGGAAATATCTTCCCATAACAACTAGACACAAGCATTCTCAGAAACTTGTTTGTGATGTGTGCCCTCTACTGACAGAGTTGAACCTTTCTTTTCATAGAGCAGTTTTGAAACACTCTTTTTGTAGAATCTGCAAGAGGATATTTGCATAGCTTTGAGGATTTCGTGGGAAACGGGATTGTCTTCAGGTAAAATCTAGACAGAAGCATTCTCAGAAACTTCTTTGGGATGTTTGCATTCAAGTCACAGAGTAGAACATTCCCTTTGGTAGAGCAGGTTTGAAACACTCTTTTTGTAGTATCTGGAAGTGGACATTTGGAGCGCTTTCAGGCCTATGTTGGAAAGGGAAATATCTTCCCGTAACAACTAGGCAGAAGCATTCTCAGAAACTTATTTGAGATGTGTGTACTCAACTAAGAGAATTGAACCACCGTTTTGAAGGAGCAGTTTTGAAACACTCTTTTTCTGGAATCTGCAAGAGGATATTTGCCTAGCTTTGAGGATTTCGTTGGAAACGGGATTGTGTTCAGATCAAATCTAGACAGAAGCATTCTCAGAAACTTCTTTGGGATGTTTGCATTCAAGTCACAGAGTAGAACATTCCCTTTGGTAGAGCAGGTGTGAAACACTCTTTTTTTAGTATATGGAAGTGGACATTTGGAGCGCTTTCAGGCCTACGTTGGAAAAGGAAATATCTTCCCATAACAACTAGACAGAAGCATTCTCAGAAACTAGTTTCTGATGTGTGTCCTCAACTAACACAGTTGAACATTTCTTTAGACAGAACAGTTTTGAAACTCTCTTTTTGTGGAATCTGCAAGTGGCTATTTGGCTAGATTTGAGGATTTCGTTGGAAACGGGATTACATATAAAAAGCAGACAGCAGCATTCTCAGAAAGTTCTTTGTGATGATTGCATTCAAGTCACAGAATTGAACATTCCCTTTCACAGAGCAGGTTTGAAACACTCTTTTTGTAGTGTGTGTAAGTGGACATTTGGAGCACTTTCCGGCCTAAGGTGAGAAAGGAAATATCTTCCCATAAAAACTAGACAGAAGCATTCTCAGAAACTTACTCGTGATGTGTGTCCTCAACTAAAGGAGTAGAACCTTTCTTTCATAGAGAAGTTTTGAAACGCTCTTTTTGTGGAATCTGCAAGTGGATATTTGGCTAGTTTGGAGGATTTCGTTGGAAGCGGGAATTCATACAAATTGCAGACTGCAGCGTTCTGAGAAACATCTTTGTGATGTTTGTATTCAGGACACAGAGTTGAACATTCCCTATCATAGAGCAGGTTGGAATCACTCCTTTTGTAGTATCTGGAAGTGGACATTTGGAGCGCTTTCAGGCCTACGTTGGAAAAGGAAATATCTTCCCATAACAACTAGACAGAAGCATTCTCAGAAACTAGTTTCTGATGTGTGTCCTCAACTAACACAGTTGAACATTTCTTTAGACAGAACAGTTTTGAAACACTCTTTTTGTGGAATCTGCAAGTGGCTATTTGGCTAGATTTGAGGATTTCGTTGGAAACGGGATTACATATAAAAAGCAGACAGCAGCATTCTCAGAAAGTTCTTTGTGATGATTGCATTCAAGTCACAGAATTGAACATTCCCTTTCACAGAGCAGGTTTGAAACACTCTTTTTGTAGTGTGTGTAAGTGGACATTTGGAGCACTTTCCGGCCTAAGGTGAAAAAGGAAATATCTTCCCATAAAAACTAGACAGAAGCATTCTCAGAAACTTACTCGTGATGTGTGTCCTCAACTAAAGGAGTAGAACCTTTCTTTTCATAGAGAAGTTTTGAAACGCTCTTTTTGTGGAATCTGCAAGTGGATATTTGGCTAGTTTTGAGGATTTCGTTGGAAGCGGGAATTCATACAAATTGCAGACTGCAGCGTTCTGAGAAACACCTTTGTGATGTTTGTATTCAGGACACAGAGTTGAACATTCCCTATCATAGAGCAGGTTTGAATCACTCCTTTTGTAGTATCTGGAAGTGGACATTTGGAGCGCTTTCAGGCCTATGTTGGAAAAGGAAATATCTTCCCATAACAACTAGACAGAAGCATTCTCAGAAACTTATTTGAGATGTGTGTACTCAACTAAGAGAATTGAACCACCGTTTTGAAGGAGCAGTTTTGAAACACTCTTTTTCTGGAATCTGCAAGTGGATATTTGGCTAGCTTTGGGGATTTCGCTGGAAGCGGGAATACATATAAAAAGCACACAGCAGCGTTCTGAGAAACTGCTTTCTGATGTTTGCATTCAAGTCAAAAGTTGAACACTCCCTTTCATAGAGCAGTCCTGAAACACTCCTTTTGTAGTATCTGGAACTGGACTTTTGGAGCGCTTTCAGGGCTAAGGTGAAAAAGGAAATATCTTCCCATAAAAACTGGACAGAAGCATTCTCAGAAACTTGTTTATGCTGTATCTACTCAACTAACAAAGTTGAACCTTTCTTTTGATAGAGCAGTTTTGAAATGCTCTTTTTGTGGAATCTGCAAGTGGATATTTGGCTAGTTTTGAGGATTTCGCTGGAAGCGGGAATTCATACAAATTGCAGACTGCAGCGTTCTGAGAAACATCTTTGTGATGTTTGTATTCAGGACAGAGAGTTGAACATTCCCTATCATAGAGCAGGTTGGAATCACTCCTTTTGTAGTATCTGGAAGTGGACATTTGGAGCGCTTTCAGGCCTATGTTGAAAAAGGAAATATCTTCCCATAACAACTAGACACAAGCATTCTCAGAAACTTGTTTGTGATGTGTGCCCTCTACTGACAGAGTTGAACCTTTCTTTTCATAGAGCAGTTTTGAAACACTCTTTTTGTAGAATCTGCAAGAGGATATTTGCATAGCTTTGAGGATTTCGTGGGAAACGGGATTGTCTTCAGGTAAAATCTAGACAGAAGCATTCTCAGAAACTTCTTTGGGATGTTTGCATTCAAGTCACAGAGTAGAACATTCCCTTTGGTAGAGCAGGTTTGAAACACTCTTTTTGTAGTATCTGGAAGTGGACATTTGGAGCGCTTTCAGGCCCATGTTGGAAAGGGAAATATCTTCCCGTAACAACTAGGCAGAAGCATTCTCAGAAACTTATTTGAGATGTGTGTACTCAACTAAGAGAATTGAACCACCGTTTTGAAGGAGCAGTTTTGAAACACTCTTTTTCTGGAATCTGCAAGAGTATATTTGCCTAGCCTTGAGGATTTCGTTGGAAACGGGATTGTCTTCAGAGAAAATCTAGACAGAAGCATTCTCAGAAACTTCTTTGGGATGTTTGCATTCAAGTCACAGAGTAGAACATTCCCTTTGGTAGAGCAGGTTTGAAACACTCTTTTTGTAGTATCTGGAAGTGGACATTTGGAGCGCTTTCAGGCCTACGTTGGAAAAGGAAATATCTTCCCATAACAACTAGACAGAAGCATTCTCAGAAACTAGTTTCTGATGTGTGTCCTCAACTAACACAGTTGAACATTTCTTTAGACAGAACAGTTTTGAAACACTCTTTTTGTGGAATCTGCAAGTGGCTATTTGGCTAGATTTGAGGATTTCGTTGGAAACGGGATTACATATAAAAAGCAGTCAGCAGCATTCTCAGAAAGTTCTTTGTGATGATTGCATTCAAGTCACAGAATTGAACATTCCCTTTCACAGAGCAGGTTTGAAACACTCTTTTTGTAGTGTGTGTAAGTGGACATTTGGAGCACTTACCGGCCTAAGGTGAAAAAGGAAATATCTTCCCATAAAAACTAGACAGAAGCATTCTCAGAAACTTACTCGTGATGTGTGTCCTCAACTAAAGGAGTAGAACCTTTCTTTTCATAGAGAAGTTTTGAAACGCTCTTTTTGTGGAATCTGCAAGTGGATATTTGGCTAGTTTTGAGGATTTCGTTGGAAGCGGGAATTCATACAAATTGCAGACTGCAGCGTTCTGAGAAACATCTTTGTGATGTTTGTATTCAGGACACAGAGTTGAACATTCCCTATCATAGAGCAGGTTGGAATCACTCCTTTTGTAGTATCTGGAAGTGGACATTTGGAGCGCTTTCAGGCCTATTTTGGAAAGGGAAATATCTTCCCGTAACAACTATGCAGAAGCATTCTCAGAAACTTGTTTGTGATGTGTGCCCTCTACTGACAGAGTTGAACCTTTCTTTTCATAGAGCAGTTTTGAAACACTCTTTTTGTAGAATCTGCAAGAGGATATTTGCATAGCTTTGAGGATTTCGTGGGAAACGGGATTGTCTTCAGGTAAAATCTAGACAGAAGCATTCTCAGAAACTTCTTTGGGATGTTTGCATTCAAGTCACAGAGTAGAACATTCCCTTTGGTAGAGCAGGTTTGAAACACTCTTTTTGTAGTATCTGGAAGTGGACATTTGGAGCGCTTTCAGGCCCATGTTGGAAAGGGAAATATCTTCCCGTAACAACTAGGCAGAAGCATTCTCAGAAACTTATTTGAGATGTGTGTACTCAACTAAGAGAATTGAACCACCGTTTTGAAGGAGCAGTTTTGAAACACTCTTTTTCTGGAATCTGCAAGAGTATATTTGCCTAGCCTTGAGGATTTCGTTGGAAACGGGATTGTCTTCAGAGAAAATCTAGACAGAAGCATTCTCAGAAACTTCTTTGGGATGTTTGCATTCAAGTCACAGAGTAGAACATTCCCTTTGGTAGAGCAGGTTTGAAACACTCTTTTTGTAGTATCTGGAAGTGGACATTTGGAGCGCTTTCAGGCCTACATTGGAAAAGGAAATATCTTCCCATAACAACTAGACAGAAGCATTCTCAGAAACTAGTTTCTGATGTGTGTCCTCAACTAACACAGTTGAACATTTCTTTAGACAGAACAGTTTTGAAACACTCTTTTTGTGGAATCTGCAAGTGGCTATTTGGCTAGATTTGAGGATTTCGTTGGAAACGGGATTACATATAAAAAGCAGTCAGCAGCATTCTCAGAAAGTTCCTTGTGATGATTGCATTCAAGTCACAGAATTGAACATTCCCTTTCACAGAGCAGGTTTGAAACACTCTTTTTGTAGTGTGTGTAAGTGGACATTTGGAGCACTTACCGGCCTAAGGTGAAAAAGGAAATATCTTCCCATAAAAACTAGACAGAAGCATTCTCAGAAACTTACTCGTCATGTGTGTCCTCAACTAAAGGAGTAGAACCTTTCTTTTCATAGAGAAGTTTTGAAACGCTCTTTTTGTGGAATCTGCAAGTGGATATTTGGCTAGTTTGGAGGATTTCGTTGGAAGCGGGAATTCATACAAATTGAAGACTGCAGCGTTCTGAGAAACATCTTTGTGATGTTTGTATTCAGGACACAGAGTTGAACATTCCCTATCATAGAGCAGGTTGGAATCACTCCTTTTGTAGTATCTGGAAGTGGACATTTGGAGCGCTTTCTGCCCTATGTTGGAAAAGGAAATATCTTCCCATCACAACTAGACAGAAGCATTCTCAGAAACTTATTTGAGATGTGTGTACTCAACTAAGAGAATTGAACCACCGTTTTGAAGGAGCAGTTTTGAAACACTCTTTTTCTGGAATCTGCAAGTGGATATTTGGCTAGCTTTGGGGATTTTGCTGGAAGCGGGAATACATATAAAAAGCACACAGCAGCGTTCTGAGAAACTGCTTTCTGATGTTTGCATTCAAGTCAAAAGTTGAACACTCCCTTTCATAGAGCAGTCCTGAAACACTCCTTTTGTAGTATCTGGAACTGGACTTTTGGAGCGCTTTCAGGGCTAAGGTGAAAAAGGAAATATCTTCCCATAAAAACTGGACAGAAGCATTCTCAGAAACTTGTTTATGCTGTATCTACTCAACTAACAAAGTTGAACCTTTCTTTTGATAGAGCAGTTTTGAAATGCTCTTTTTGTGGAATCTGCAAGTGGATATTTGGCTAGTTTTGAGGATTTCGTTGGAAGCGGGAATTCATACAAATTGCAGACTGCAGCGTTCTGAGAAACATCTTTGTGATGTTTGTATTCAGGACACAGAGTTGAACATTCCCTATCATAGAGCAGGTTGGAATCACTCCTTTTGTAGTATCTGGAAGTGGACATTTGGAGCGCTTTCAGGCCTATTTTGGAAAGGGAAATATCTTCCCGGTAACAACTATGCAGAAGCATTCTCAGAAACTTGTTTGTGATGTGTGCCCTCTACTGACACAGTTGATCCTTTCTTTTCATAGAGCAGTTTCGAAACACTCTTTTTGTAGAATCTGCAAGAGGATATTTGCCTAGCTTTGAGGATTTCGTGGGAAACGGCATTGTCTTCAGGTAAAATCTAGACAGAAGCATTCTCAGAAACTTCTTTGGGATGTTTGCATTCAAGTCACAGAGTAGAACATTCCCTTTGGTAGAGCAGGTTTGAAACACTCTTTTTGTAGTATCTGGAAGTGGACATTTGGAGCGCTTTCAGGCCCATGTTGGAAAGGGAAATATCTTCCCGTAACAACTAGGCAGAAGCATTCTCAGAAACTTATTTGAGATGTGTGTACTCAAGTAAGAGAACTGAACCACCGTTTTGAAGGAGCAGTTTTGAAACACTCTTTTTCTGGAATCTGCAAGAGTATATTTGCCTAGCCTTGAGGATTTCGTTGGAAACGGGATTGTCTTCAGATAAAATCTAGACAGAAGCATTCTCAGAAACTTCTTTGGGATGTTTGCATTCAAGTCACAGAGTAGAACATTCCCTTTGGTAGAGCAGGTTTGAAACACTCTTTTTTTAGTATATGGAAGTGGACATTTGGAGCGCTTTCAGGCCTACGTTGGAAAAGGAAATATCTTCCCATAACAACTAGACAGAAGCATTCTCAGAAACTAGTTTCTGATGTGTGTCCTCAACTAACACAGTTGAACTTTTCTTTAGACAGAACAGTTTTGAAACACTCTTTTTGTGGAATCTGCAAGTGGATATTGGGCTAGATTTGAGGATTTCGTTGGAAACGGGATTACATATAAAAAGCAGACAGCAGCATTCTCAGAAAGTTCTTTGTGATGATTGCATTCAAGTCACAGAATTGAACATTCCCTTTCACAGAGCAGGTTTGAAACACTCTTTTTGTAGTGTGTGTAAGTGGACATTTGGAGCGCTTTCCGGCCTAAGGTGAAAAAAGAAATATCTTCCCATAAAAACTAGACAGAAGCATTCTCAGAAACTTACTCGTGATGTGTTTCCTCAACTAAAGGAGTAGAACCTTTCTATTCATAGAGAAGTTTTGAAACGCTCTTTTTGTGGAATCTGCAAGTGGATATTTGGCTAGTTTTGAGGATTTCGTTGGAAGCGGGAATTCATACAAATTGCAGACTGCAGCGTTCTGAGAAACATCTTTGTGATGTTTGTATTCAGGACACAGAGATGAACATTCCCTATCATAGAGCAGGTTGGAATCACTCCTTTTGTAGTATGTGGAAGTGGACATTTGGAGCGCTTTCAGGCCTATGTTGAAAAAGGAAATATCTTCCCATAACAACTAGACACAAGCATTCTCAGAAACTTGTTTGTGATGTGTACCGTGTACTGACAGAGTTGAACCTTTCTTTTCATAGAGCAGTTTTGAAACACTCTTTTTGTAGAATCTGCAAGAGGATATTTGCATAGCTTTGAGGATTTCGTGGGAAACGGGATTGTCTTCAGGTAAAATCTAGACAGAAGCATTCTCAGAAACTTCTTTGGGATGTTTGCATTCAAGTCACAGAGTAGAACATTCCCTTTGGTAGAGCAGGTTTGAAACACTCTTTTTGTAGTATCTGGAAGTGGACATTTGGAGCGCTTTCAGGCCCATGTTGGAAAGGGAAATATCTTCCCGTATCAACTAGGCAGAAGCATTCTCTGAAACTTATTTGAGATGTGTGTACTCAACTAAGAGAATTGAACCACCGTTTTGAAGGAGCAGTTTTGAAACACTCTTTTTCTGGAATCTGCTAGAGGATATTTGCCTAGCTTTGAGGATTTCGTTGGAAACCGGATTGTCTTTAGATAAAATCTAGACAGAAGCATTCTCAGAAACTTCTTTGGGACGTTTGTATTCAAGTCACAGAGTAGAACATTCCCTTTGGTAGAGCAGGTTTGAAACACTCTTTTTTTAGTATATGGAAATGGACATTTGGAGCGCTTTCAGGCCTACGTTGGAAAAGGAAATATCTTCCCATAACAACTAGACAGAAGCATTCTCAGAAACTAGTTTCTGATGTGTGTCCTCAACTAACACAGTTGAACTTTTCTTTAGACAGAACAGTTTTGAAACACTCTTTTTGTGGAATCTGCAAGTGGATATTTGGCTAGATTTGAGGATTTCGTTGGAAACGGGATTACATATAAAAAGCAGACAGCAGCATTCTCAGAAAGTTCTTTGTGATGATTGCATTCAAGTCACAGAATTGAACATTCCCTTTCACAGAGCAGGTTTGAAACACTCTTTTTGTAGTGTGTGTAAGTGGACATTTGGAGCACTTTCCGGCCTAAGGTGAAAAAGGAAATATCTTCCCATAAAAACTAGACAGAAGCATTCTCAGAAACTTACTCGTGATGTGTGTCCTCAACTAAAGGAGTAGAACCTTTCTATTCATAGAGTAGGTTTGAAACGCTCTTTTTGTGGAATCTCCAAGTGGATATTTGGCTAGTTTTGAGGATTTCGTTGGATGCGGGAATTCATACAAATTGCAGACTGCAGCGTTCTGAGAAACATCTTTGTGATGTTTGTATTCAGGACACAGAGATGAACATTCCCTATCATAGAGCAGGTTGGAATCACTCCTTTTGTAGTATCTGGAAGTGGACATTTGGAGCGCTTTCAGGCCTATGTTGAAAAAGGAAATATCTTCTCATAACAACTAGACACAAGCATTCTCAGAAACTTGTTTTTGATGTGTGCCCTCTGCTGACAGAGTTGAACCTTTCTTTTCATAGAGCAGTTTTGAAACACTCTTTTTGTAGAATCTGCAAGAGGATATTTGCATAGCTTTGAGGATTTCGTGGGAAACGGGATTGTCTTCAGGTAAAATCTAGACAGAAGCATTCTCAGAAACTTCTTTGGGATGTTTGCATTCAAGTCACAGAGTAGAACATTCCCTTTGGTAGAGCAGGTTTGAAACCCTCTTTTTGTAGTATCTGGAAGTGGACATTTGGAGCGCTATCAGGCCCATGTTGGAAAGGGAAATATCTTCCCGTAACAACTAGGCAGAAGCATTCTCAGAAACTTATTTGAGATGTGTGTACTCAACTAAGAGAATTGAACCACCGTTTTGAAGGAGCAGTTTTGAAACACTCTTTTTCTGGAATCTGCAAGAGTATATTTGCCTAGCCTTGAGGATTTCGTTGGAAACGGGATTGTCTTCAGATAAAATCTAGACAGAAGCATTCTCAGAAACTTCTTTGGGATGTTTGCATTCAAGTCACAGAGTAGAACATTCCCTTTGGTAGAGCAGGTTTGAAACACTCTTTTTTTAGTATATGGAAGTGGACATTTGGAGCGCTTTCAGGCCTACGTTGGAAAAGGAAATATCTTCCCATAACAACTAGACAGAAGCATTCTCAGAAACTAGTTTCTGATGTGTGTCCTCAACTAACACAGTTGAACATTTCTTTAGACAGAACAGTTTTGAAACACTCTTTTTGTGGAATCTGCAAGTGGCTATTTGGCTAGATTTGAGGATTTCGTTGGAAACGGGATTACATATAAAAAGCAGTCAGCAGCATTCTCAGAAAGTTCTTTGTGATGATTGCATTCAAGTCACAGAATTGAACATTCCCTTTCACAGAGCAGGTTTGAAACACTCTTTTTGTAGTGTGTGTAAGTGGACATTTGGAGCACTTACCGGCCTAAGGTGAAAAAGGAAATATCTTCCCATAAAAACTAGACAGAAGCATTCTCAGAAACTTACTCGTGATGTGTGTCCTCAACTAAAGGAGTAGAACCTTTCTTTTCATAGAGAAGTTTTGAAACGCTCTTTTTGTGGAATCTGCAAGTGGATATTTGGCTAGTTTTGAGGATTTCGTTGGAAGCGGGAATTCATACAAATTGCAGACTGCAGCGTTCTGAGAAACATCTTTGTGATGTTTGTATTCAGGACACAGAGTTGAACATTCCCTATCATAGAGCAGGTTTGAATCACTCCTTTTGTAGTATCTGGAAGTGGACATTTGGAGTGCTTTCTGGCATATGTTGGAAAAGGAAATATCTTCCCATAACAACTAGACAGAAGCATTCTCAGAAACTTATTTGAGATGTGTGTACTCAACTAAGAGAATTGAACCACCGTTTTGAAGGAGCAGTTTTGAAACACTCTTTTTCTGGAATCTGCAAGTGGATATTTAGCTAGATATGAGGATTTCGTTGGAAACGGGATTATATACACAAAGCAGACAGCAGCAGTCTCAGAAAGTTCTTTGTGATGATTGCATTCAAGTCACAGAATTGAACATTCCCTTTCACAGAGCAGGTTTGAAACACTCTTTTTGTAGTGTGTGTAAGTGGACATTTGGAGCACTTACCGGCCTAAGGTGAAAAAGGAAATATCTTCCCATAAAAACTAGACAGAAGCATTCTCAGAAACTTACTCGTGATGTGTGTCCTCAACTAAAGGAGTAGAACCTTTCTTTTCATAGAGAAGTTTTGAAACGCTCTTTTTGTGGAATCTGCAAGTGGGTATTTGGCTAGTTTTGAGGATTTCGTTGGAAGCGGGAATTCATACAAATTGCAGACTGCAGCGTTCTGAGAAACATCTTTGTGATGTTTGTATTCAGGACACAGAGTTGAACATTCCCTATCATAGAGCAGGTTTGAATCACTCCTTTTGTAGTATCTGGAAGTGGACATTTGGAGCGCTTTCAGGCCCTATGTTGGAAAAGGAAATATCTTCCCATAACAAATAGACAGGAAGCATTCTCAGAAACTTATTTGAGATGTGTGTACTCAACTAAGAGAATTGAACCACCGTTTTGAAGGAGCAGTTTTGAAACACTCTTTTTCTGGAATCTGCAAGTGGATATTTGGCTAGCTTTGGGGATTTCGCTGGAAGCGGGAATACATATAAAAAGCACACAGCAGCGTTCTGAGAAACTTCTTTCTGATGTTCGCATTCAAGTCAAAAGTTGAACACTCCCTTTCATAGAGCAGTCTTGAAACACCCCTTTTGTAGTATCTGGAAGTGGACATTTGGAGTGCTTTCAGGGCTAAGGTGAAAAAGGAAATATCTTCCCATAAAAACTGGACAGAAGCATTCTCAGAAACTTGTTTATGCTGTATCTACTCAGCTAACAAAGTTGAACCTTTCTTTTGATAGAGCAGTTTTGAAATGCTCTTTTTGTGGAGTCTGCAAGTGGATATTTGGCTAGTTTTGAGGATTTCGTTGGAAGCGGGAATTCATACAAATTGCAGACTGCAGCGTTCTGAGAAACATCTTTGTGATGTTTGTATTCAGGACACAGAGTTGAACATTCCCTATCATAGAGCAGGTTTGAATCACTCCTTTTGTAGTATCTGGAAGTGTCCATTTGGAGCCCTTTCAGGCCTATGTTGGAAAAGGAAATATCTTCCCATAACAAATAGACAGAAGCATTCTCAGAAACTTATTTGAGATGTGTGTACTCAACTAAGAGAATTGAACCACCGTTTTGAAGGAGCAGTTTTGAAACACTCTTTTTCTGGAAGCTGCAAGTGGCTATTTGGCTAGCTTTGGGGATTTCGCTGGAAGCGGGAATACATATAAAAAGCACACAGCAGCGTTCTGAGAAACTGCTTTCTGATGTTTGCATTCAAGTCAAAAGTTGAACACTCCCTTTCATAGAGCAGTCTTGAAACACCCCTTTTGTAGTATCTGGAACTGGACTTTTGGAGCGATTTCAGGGCTAAGGTGAAAAAGGAAATATCTTCCCATAAAAACTGGACAGAAGCATTCTCAGAAACTTGTTTATGCTGTATCTACTCAACTAACAAAGTTGAACCTTTCTTTTGATAGAGCAGTTTTGAAATGGTCTTTTTGTGGAATCTGCAAGTGGATATTTGGCTAGTTTTGAGGATTTCGTTGGAAGCGGGAATTCATACAAATTGCAGACTGCAGCGTTCTGAGAAACATCTTTGTGATGTTTGTATTCAGGACACAGAGTTGAACATTCCCTATCATAGAGCAGGTTGGAATCACTCCTTTTGTAGTATCTGGAAGTGGACATTTGGAGCGCTTTCAGGCCTATTTTGGAAAGGGAAATATCTTCCCGTAACAACTATGCAGAAGCATTCTCAGAAACTTGTTTGTGATGTGTGCCCTCTACTGACAGAGTTGAACCTTTCTTTTCATAGAGCAGTTTTGAAACACTCTTTTTGTAGAATCTGCAAGAGGATATTTGCATAGCTTTGAGGATTTCGTGGGAAACGGGATTGTCTTCAGGTAAAATCTAGACAGAAGCATTCTCAGAAACTTCTTTGGGATGTTTGCATTCAAGTCACAGAGTAGAACATTCCCTTTGGTAGAGCAGGTTTGAAACACTCTTTTTGTAGTATCTGGAAGTGGACATTTGGAGCGCTTTCAGGCCCATGTTGGAAAGGGAAATATCTTCCCGTAACAACTAGGCAGAAGCATTCTCAGAAACTTATTTGAGATGTGTGTACTCAACTAAGAGAATTGAACCACCGTTTTGAAGGAGCAGTTTTGAAACACTCTTTTTCTGGAATCTGCAAGAGTATATTTGCCTAGCCTTGAGGATTTCGTTGGAAACGGGATTGTCTTCAGAGAAAATCTAGACAGAAGCATTCTCAGAAACTTCTTTGGGATGTTTGCATTCAAGTCACAGAGTAGAACATTCCCTTTGGTAGAGCAGGTTTGAAACACTCTTTTTGTAGTATATGGAAGTGGACATTTGGATCGCTTTCAGGCCTACGTTGGAAAAGGAAGTATCTTCCCATAACAACTAGACAGAAGCATTCTCAGAAACTAGTTTCTGATGTGTGTCCTCAACTAACACAGTTGAACATTTCTTTAGACAGAACAGTTTTGAAACACTCTTTTTGTGGAATCTGCAAGTGGCTATTTGGCTAGATTTGAGGATTTCGTTGGAAACGGGATTACATATAAAAAGCAGTCAGCAGCATTCTCAGAAAGTTCTTTGTGATGATTGCATTCAAGTCACAGAATTGAACATTCCCTTTCACAGAGCAGGTTTGAAACACTCTTTTTGTAGTGTGTGTAAGTGGACATTTGGAGCACTTACCGGCCTAAGGTGAAAAAGGAAATATCTTCCCATAAAAACTAGACAGAAGCATTCTCAGAAACTTACTCGTGATGTGTGTCCTCAACTAAAGGAGTAGAACCTTTCTTTTCATAGAGAAGTTTTGAAACGCTCTTTTTGTGGAATCTGCAAGTGGATATTTGGCTAGTTTTGAGGATTTCGTTGGAAGCGGGAATTCATACAAATTGCAGACTGCAGCGTTCTGAGAAACATCTTTGTGATGTTTGTATTCAGGACACAGAGTTGAACATTCCCTATCATAGAGCAGGTTTGAATCACTCCTTTTGTAGTATCTGGAAGTGGACATTTGGAGCGTTTTCAGGCCTATGTTGGAAAAGGAAATATCTTCCCATAACAACTAGACAGAAGCATTCTCAGAAACTTATTTGAGATGTGTGTACTCAACTAAGAGAATTGAACCACCGTTTTGAAGGAGCAGTTTTGAAACTCTCTTTTTCTGGAATCTGCAAGTGGATATTTGGCTAGCTTTGGGGATTTCGCTGGAAGCGGGAATACATATAAAAAGCACACAGCAGCGTTCTGAGAAACTGCTTTCTGATGTTTGCATTCAAGTCAAAAGTTGAACACTCCCTTTCATAGAGCAGTCTTGAAACACCCCTTTTGTAGTATCTGGAACTGGACTTTTGGAGCGATTTCAGGGCTAAGGTGAAAAAGGAAATATCTTCCCATAAAAACTGGACAGAAGCATTCTCAGAAACTTGTTTATGCTGTATCTACTCAACTAACAAAGTTGAACCTTTCTTTTGATAGAGCAGTTTTGAAATGGTCTTTTTGTGGAATCTGCAAGTGGATATTTGGCTAGTTTTGAGGATTTCGTTGGAAGCGGGAATTCATACAAATTGCAGACTGCAGCGTTCTGAGAAACATCTTTGTGATGTTTGTATTCAGGACACAGAGTTGAACATTCCCTATCATAGAGCAGGTTGGAATCACTCCTTTTGTAGTATCTGGAAGTGGACATTTGGAGCGCTTTCAGGCCTATTTTGGAAAGGGAAATATCTTCCCGTAACAACTATGCAGAAGCATTCTCAGAAACTTGTTTGTGATGTGTGCCCTCTACTGACAGAGTTGAACCTTTCTTTTCATAGAGCACTTTTGAAACACTCTTTTTGTAGAATCTGCAAGAGGATATTTGCATAGCTTTGAGGATTTCGTGGGAAACGGGATTGTCTTCAGGTAAAATCTAGACAGAAGCATTCTCAGAAACTTCTTTGGGATGTTTGCATTCAAGTCACAGAGTAGAACATTCCCTTTGGTAGAGCAGGTTTGAAACACTCTTTTTGTAGTATCTGGAAGTGGACATTTGGAGCGCTTTCAGGCCCATGTTGGAAAGGGAAATATCTTCCCGTAACAACTAGGCAGAAGCATTCTCAGAAACTTATTTGAGATGTGTGTACTCAACTAAGAGAATTGAACCACCGTTTTGAAGGAGCAGTTTTGAAACACTCTTTTTCTGGAATCTGCAAGAGTATATTTGCCTAGCCTTGAGGATTTCGTTGGAAACGGGATTGTCTTCAGAGAAAATCTAGACAGAAGCATTCTCAGAAACTTCTTTGGGATGTTTGCATTCAAGTCACAGAGTAGAACATTCCCTTTGGTAGAGCAGGTTTGAAACACTCTTTTTTTAGTATATGGAAGTGGACATTTGGATCGCTTTCAGGCCTACGTTGGAAAAGGAAATATCTTCCCATAACAACTAGACAGAAGCATTCTCAGAAACTAGTTTCTGATGTGTGTCCTCAACTAACACAGTTGAACATTTCTTTAGACAGAACAGTTTTGAAACACTCTTTTTGTGGAATCTGCAAGTGGCTATTTGGCTAGATTTGAGGATTTCGTTGGAAACGGGATTACATATAAAAAGCAGTCAGCAGCATTCTCAGAAAGTTCTTTGTGATGATTGCATTCAAGTCACAGAATTGAACATTCCCTTTCACAGAGCAGGTTTGAAACACTCTTTTTGTAGTGTGTGTAAGTGGACATTTGGAGCACTTACCGGCCTAAGGTGAAAAAGGAAATATCTTCCCATAAAAACTAGACAGAAGCATTCTCAGAAACTTACTCGTGATGTGTGTCCTCAACTAAAGGAGTAGAACCTTTCTTTTCATAGAGAAGTTTTGAAACGCTCTTTTTGTGGAATCTGCAAGTCGATATTTGGCTAGTTTTGAGGATTTCGTTGGAAGCGGGAATTCATACAAATTGCAGACTGCAGCGTTCTGAGAAACATCTTTGTGATGTTTGTATTCAGGACACAGAGTTGAACATTCCCTATCATAGAGCAGGTTTGAATCACTCCTTTTGTAGTATCTGGAAGTGGACATTTGGAGCGCTTTCAGGCCCTATGTTGGAAAAGGAAATATCTTCCCATAACAAATAGACAGGAAGCATTCTCAGAAACTTATTTGAGATGTGTGTACTCAACTAAGAGAATTGAACCACCGTTTTGAAGGAGCAGTTTTGAAACTCTCTTTTTCTGGAATCTGCAAGTGGATATTTGGCTAGCTTTGGGGATTTCGCTGGAAGCGGGAATACATATAAAAAGCACACAGCAGCGTTCTGAGAAACTGCTTTCTGATGTTTGCATTCAAGTCAAAAGTTGAACACTCCCTTTCATAGAGCAGTCTTGAAACACCCCTTTTGTAGTATCTGGAACTGGACTTTTGGAGCGATTTCAGGGCTAAGGTGAAAAAGGAAATATCTTCCCATAAAAACTGGACAGAAGCATTCTCAGAAACTTGTTTATGCTGTATCTACTCAACTAACAAAGTTGAACCTTTCTTTTGATAGAGCAGTTTTGAAATGGTCTTTTTGTGGAATCTGCAAGTGGATATTTGGCTAGTTTTGAGGATTTCGTTGGAAGCGGGAATTCATACAAATTGCAGACTGCAGCGTTCTGAGAAACATCTTTGTGATGTTTGTATTCAGGACACAGAGTTGAACATTCCCTATCATAGAGCAGGTTGGAATCACTCCTTTTGTAGTATCTGGAAGTGGACATTTGGAGCGCTTTCAGGCCTATGTTGGAAAAGGAAATATCTTCCCATAACAACTAGACAGAAGCATTCTCAGAAACTTATTTGAGATGTGTGTACTCAACTAAGAGAATTGAACCACCGTTTTGAAGGAGCAGTTTTGAAACACTCTTTTTCTGGAATCTGCAAGTGGATATTTGGCTAGCTTTGGGGATTTCGCTGGAAGCGGGAATACATATAAAAAGCACACAGCAGCGTTCTGAGAAACTGCTTTCTGATGTTTGCATTCAAGTCAAAAGTTGAACACTCCCTTTCATAGAGCAGTCTTGAAACACCCCTTTTGTAGTATCTGGAACTGGACTTTTGGAGCGCTTTCAGGGCTAAGGTGAAAAAGGAAATATCTTCCCATAAAAACTGGACAGAAGCATTCTCAGAAACTTGTTTATGCTGTATCTACTCAACTAACAAAGTTGAACCTTTCTTTTGATAGAGCAGTTTTGAAACGCTCTTTTTGTGGAATCTGCAAGTGGATATTTGGCTAGTTTTGAGGATTTCGTTGGGAGCGGGAATTCATACAAATTGCAGACTGCAGCGTTCTGAGAAACATCTTTGTGATGTTTGTATTCAGGACACAGAGATGAACATTCCCTATCATAGAGCAGGTTGGAATCACGCCTTTTGTAGTATCTGGAAGTGGACATTTGGAGCGCTTTCAGGCCTATGTTGAAAAAGGAAATATCTTCCCATAACAACTAGACACAAGCATTCTCAGAAACTTGTTTGTGATGTGTGCCCTCTACTGACAGAGTTGAACCTTTCTTTTCATAGAGCAGTTTTGAAACACTCTTTTTGTAGAATCTGCAAGAGGATATTTGCATAGCTTTGAGGATTTCGTGGGAAACGGGATTGTCTTCAGGTAAAATCTAGACAGAAGCATTCTCAGAAACTTCTTTGGGATGTTTGCATTCAAGTCACAGAGTAGAACATTCCCTTTGGTAGAGCAGGTTTGAAACACTCTTTTTGTAGTATCTGGAAGTGGACATTTGGAGCGCTTTCAGGCCTATGTTGGAAAGGGAAATATCTTCCCGTAACAACTAGGCAGAAGCATTCTCAGAAACTTATTTGAGATGTGTGTACTCAACTAAGAGAATTGAACCACCGTTTTGAAGGAGCAGTTTTGAAACACTCTTTTTCTGGAATCTGCAAGAGGATATTTGCCTAGCCTTGAGGATTTCGTTGGAAACGGGATTGTCTTCAGATCAAATCTAGACAGAAGCATTCTCAGAAACTTCTTTGGGATGTTTGCATTCAAGTCACAGAGTAGAACATTCCCTTTGGTAGAGCAGGTTTGAAACACTCTTTTTTTAGTATATGGAAGTGGACATTTGGAGCGCTTTCAGGCCTACGTTGGAAAAGGAAATATCTTCCCATAACAACTAGACAGAAGCATTCTCAGAAACTAGTTTCTGATGTGTGTCCTCAACTAACACAGTTGAACATTTCTTTAGACAGAACAGTTTTGAAACTCTCTTTTTGTGGAATCTGCAAGTGGCTATTTGGCTTGATTTGAGGATTTCGTTGGAAACGGGATTACATATAAAAAGCAGACAGCAGCATTCTCAGAAACTTCTTTGTGATGATTGCATTCAAGTCACAGTATTGAACATTCCCTTTCACAGAGCAGGTTTGAAACACTCTTTGTATAGTGTGTGTAAGTGGACATTTGGAGCACTTTCCGGCCTAAGGTGAAAAAGGAAATATCTTCCCATAAAAACTAGACAGAAGCATTCTCAGAAACTTACTCGTGATGTGTGTCCTCAACTAAAGAAGTAGAACCTTTCTTTTCATAGATAAGTTTTGAAACGCTCTTTTTGTGGAATCTGCAAGTGGATATTTGGCTAGTTTTGAGGATTTCGTTGGAAGCGGGAATTCATACAAATTGCAGACTGCAGCGTTCTGAGAAACATCTTTGTGATGTTTGTATTCAGGACAGAGAGTTGAACATTCCCTATCATAGAGCAGGTTGGAATCACTCCTTTTGTAGTATCTGGAAGTGGACATTTGGAGCGCTTTCAGGCCTATCTTGAAAAAGGAAATATCTTCCCATAACAACTAGACACAAGCATTCTCAGAAACTTGTTTGTGATGTGTGCCCTCTACTGACAGAGTTGAACCTTTCTTTTCATAGAGCAGTTTTGAAACACTCTTTTTGTAGAATCTGCAAGAGGATATTTGCATAGCTTTGAGGATTTCGTGGGAAACGGGATTGTCTTCAGGTAAAATCTAGACAGAAGCATTCTCAGAAACTTCTTTGGGATGTTTGCATTCAAGTCACAGAGTAGAACATTCCCTTTGGTAGAGCAGGTTTGAAACACTCTTTTTGTAGTATCTGGAAGTGGACATTTGGAGCGCTTTCAGGCCCATGTTGGAAAGGGAAATATCTTCCCGTAACAACTAGGCAGAAGCATTCTCAGAAACTTATTTGAGATGTGTGTACTCAACTAAGAGAATTGAACCACCGTTTTGAAGGAGCAGTTTTGAAACACTCTTTTTCTGGAATCTGCAAGAGTATATTTGCCTAGCCTTGAGGATTTCGTTGGAAACGGGATTGTCTTCAGAGAAAATCTAGACAGAAGCATTCTCAGAAACTTCTTTGGGATGCTTGCATTCAAGTCACAGAGTAGAACATTCCCTTTGGTAGAGCAGGTTTGAAACACTCTTTTTGTAGTATCTGGAAGTGGACATTTGGAGCGCTTTCAGGCCTACGTTGGAAAAGGAAATATCTTCCCATAACAACTAGACAGAAGCATTCTCAGAAACTAGTTTCTGATGTGTGTCCTCAACTAACACAGTTGAACATTTCTTTAGACAGAACAGTTTTGAAACACTCTTTTTGTGGAATCTGCAAGTGGCTATTTGGCTAGATTTGAGGATTTCGTTGGAAACGGGATTACATATAAAAAGCAGCCAGCAGCATTCTCAGAAAGTTCTTTGTGATGATTGCATTCAAGTCACAGAATTGAACATTCCCTTTCACAGAGCAGGTTTGAAACACTCTTTTTGTAGTGTGTGTAAGTGGACATTTGGAGCACTTACCGGCCTAAGGTGAAAAAGGAAATAATCTTCCCATAAAAACTAGACAGAAGCATTCTCAGAAACTTACTCGTGATGTGTGTCCTCAACTAAAGGAGTAGAACCTTTCTTTTCATAGAGAAGTTTTGAAACGCTCTTTTTGTGGAATCTGCAAGTGGATATTTGGCTAGTTTGGAGGATTTCGTTGGAAGCGGGAATTCATACAAATTGCAGACTGCAGCGTTCTGAGAAACATCTTTGTGATGTTTGTATTCAGGACACAGAGTTGAACATTCCCTATCATAGAGCAGGTTGGAATCACTCCTTTTGTAGTATCTGGAAGTGGACATTTGGAGCGCTTTCAGGCCTATGTTGGAAAAGGAAATATCTTCCCATAACAACTAGACAGAAGCATTCTCAGAAACTTATTTCAGATGTGTGTACTCAACTAAGAGAATTGAACCACCGCTTTGAAGGAGCAGTTTTGAAACACTCTTTTTCTGGAATCTGCAAGTGGATATTTGGCTAGATTTGAGGATTTCGTTGGAAACGGGATTACATATAAAAAGCAGACAGCAGCGTTCTGAGAAACTGCTTTCTGATGTTTGCATTCAAGTCAAAAGTTGAACACTCCCTTTCATAGAGCAGTCCTGAAACACCCCTTTTGTAGTATCTGGAACTGGACTTTTGGAGCGATTTCAGGGCTAAGGTGAAAAAGGAAATATCTTCCCATAAAAACTGGACAGAAGCATTCTCAGAAACTTGTTTATGCTGTATCTACTCAACTAACAAAGTTGAACCTTTCTTTTGATAGAGCAGTTTTGAAATGGTCTTTTTGTGGAATCTGCAAGTGGATATTTGGCTAGTTTTGAGGATTTCGTTGGAAGCGGGAATTCATACAAATTGCAGACTGCAGCGTTCTGAGAAACATCTTTGTGATGTTTGTATTCAGGACACAGAGTTGAACATTCCCTATCATAGAGCAGGTTGGAATCACTCCTTTTGTAGTATCTGGAAGTGGACATTTGGAGCGCTTTCAGGCCTATTTTGGAAAGGGAAATATCTTCCCGTAACAACTATGCAGAAGCATTCTCAGAAACTTGTTTGTGATGTGTGCCCTCTACTGACAGAGTTGAACCTTTCTTTTCATAGAGCAGTTTTGAAACACTCTTTTTGTAGAATCTGCAAGAGGATATTTGCATAGCTTTGAGGATTTCGTGGGAAACGGGATTGTCTTCAGGTAAAATCTAGACAGAAGCATTCTCAGAAACTTCTTTGGGATGTTTGCATTCAAGTCACAGAGTAGAACATTCCCTTTGGTAGAGCAGGTTTGAAACACTCTTTTTGTAGTATCTGGAAGTGGACATTTGGAGCGCTTTCAGGCCCATGTTGGAAAGGGAAATATCTTCCCGTAACAACTAGGCAGAAGCATTCTCAGAAACTTATTTGAGATGTGTGTACTCAAGTAAGAGAACTGAACCACCGTTTTGAAGGAGCAGTTTTGAAACACTCTTTTTCTGGAATCTGCAAGAGTATATTTGCCTAGCCTTGAGAATTTCGTTGGAAACGGGATTGTCTTCAGATAAAATCTAGACAGAAGCATTCTCAGAAACTTCTTTGGGATGCTTGCATTCAAGTCACAGAGTAGAACATTCCCTTTGGTAGAGCAGGTTTGAAACACTCTTTTTGTAGTATCTGGAAGTGGACATTTGGAGCGCTTTCAGGCCTACGTTGGAAAAGGAAATATCTTCCCATAACAACTAGACAGAAGCATTCTCAGAAACTAGTTTCTGATGTGTGTCCTCAACTAACACAGTTGAACATTTCTTTAGACAGAACAGTTTTGAAACACTCTTTTTGTGGAATCTGCAAGTGGCTATTTGGCTAGATTTGAGGATTTCGTTGGAAACGGGATTACATATAAAAAGCAGTCAGCGGCATTCTCAGAAAGTTCTTTGTGATGATTGCATTCAAGTCACAGAATTGAACATTCCCTTTCACAGAGCAGGTTTGAAACACTCTTTTTGTAGTGTGTGTAAGTGGACATTTGGAGCACTTACCGGCCTAAGGTGAAAAAGGAAATATCTTCCCATAAAAACTAGACAGAAGCATTCTCAGAAACTTACTCGTGATGTGTGTCCTCAACTAAAGGAGTAGAACCTTTCTTTTCATAGAGAAGTTTTGAAACGCTCTTTTTGTGGAATCTGCAAGTGGATATTTGGCTAGTTTTGAGGATTTCGTTGGAAGCGGGAATTCATACAAATTGCAGACTGCAGCGTTCTGAGAAACATCTTTGTGATGTTTGTATTCAGGACACAGAGTTGAACATTCCCTATCATAGAGCAGGTTGGAATCACTCCTTTTGTAGTATCTGGAAGTGGACATTTGGAGCGCTTTCAGGCCTATGTTGGAAAAGGAAATATCTTCCCATAACAACTAGACAGAAGCATTCTCAGAAACTTATTTGAGATGTGTGTACTCAACTAAGAGAATTGAACCACCGTTTTGAAGGAGCAGTTTTGAAACACTCTTTTTCTGGAATCTGCAAGTGGATATTTGGCTAGCTTTGGGGATTTCGCTGGAAGCGGGAATACATATAAAAAGCACACAGCAGCGTTCTGAGAAACTGCTTTCTGATGTTTGCATTCAAGTCAAAAGTTGAACACTCCCTTTCATAGAGCAGTCCTGAAACACTCCTTTTGTAGTATCTGGAACTGGACTTTTGGAGCGCTTTCAGGGCTAAGGTGAAAAAGGAAATATCTTCCCATAAAAACTGGACAGAATCATTCTCAGAAACTTGTTTATGCTGTATCTACTCAACTAACATAGTTGAACCTTTCTTTTGATAGAGCAGTTTTGAAATGCTCTTTTTGTGGAATCTGCAAGTGGATATTTGGCTAGTTTTGAGGATTTCGTTGGAAGCGGGAATTCATACAAATTGCAGACTGCAGCGTTCTGAGAAACATCTTTGTGATGTTTGTATTCAGGACACAGAGTTGAACATTCCCTATCATAGAGCAGGTTGGAATCACTCCTTTTGTAGTATCTGGAAGTGGACATTTGGAGCGCTTTCAGGCCTATTTTGGAAAGGGAAATATCTTCCCGTAACAACTATGCAGAAGCATTCTCAGAAACTTGTTTGTGATGTGTGCCCTCTACTGACAGAGTTGAACCTTTCTTTTCATAGAGCAGTTTTGAAACACTCTTTTTGTAGAATCTGCAAGAGGATATTTGCATAGCTTTGAGGATTTCGTGGGAAACGGGATTGTCTTCAGGTAAAATCTAGACAGAAGCATTCTCAGAAACTTCTTTGGGATGTTTGCATTCAAGTCACAGAGTAGAACATTCCCTTTGGTAGAGCAGGTTTGAAACACTCTTTTTGTAGTATCTGGAAGTGGACATTTGGAGCGCTTTCAGGCCCATGTTGGAAAGGGAAATATCTTCCCGTAACAACTAGGCAGAAGCATTCTCAGAAACTTATTTGAGATGTGTGTACTCAACTAAGAGAATTGAACCACCGTTTTGAAGGAGCAGTTTTGAAACACTCTTTTTCTGGAATCTGCAAGAGTATATTTGCCTAGCCTTGAGGATTTCGTTGGAAACGGGATTGTCTTCAGAGAAAATCTAGACAGAAGCATTCTCAGAAACTTCTTTGGGATGTTTGCATTCAAGTCACAGAGTAGAACATTCCCTTTGGTAGAGCAGGTTTGAAACACTCTTTTTTTAGTATATGGAAGTGGACATTTGGATCGCTTTCAGGCCTACGTTGGAAAAGGAAATATCTTCCCATAACAACTAGACAGAAGCATTCTCAGAAACTAGTTTCTGATGTGTGTCCTCAACTAACACAGTTGAACATTTCTTTAGACAGAACAGTTTTGAAACACTCTTTTTGTGGAATCTGCAAGTGGCTATTTGGCTAGATTTGAGGATTTCGTTGGAAACGGGATTACATATAAAAAGCAGTCAGCAGCATTCTCAGAAAGTTCTTTGTGATGATTGCATTCAAGTCACAGAATTGAACATTCCCTTTCACAGAGCAGGTTTGAAACACTCTTTTTGTAGTGTGTGTAAGTGGACATTTGGAGCACTTACCGGCCTAAGGTGAAAAAGGAAATATCTTCCCATAAAAACTAGACAGAAGCATTCTCAGAAACTTACTCGTGATGTGTGTCCTCAACTAAAGGAGTAGAACCTTTCTTTTCATAGAGAAGTTTTGAAACGCTCTTTTTGTGGAATCTGCAAGTCGATATTTGGCTAGTTTTGAGGATTTCGTTGGAAGCGGGAATTCATACAAATTGCAGACTGCAGCGTTCTGAGAAACATCTTTGTGATGTTTGTATTCAGGACACAGAGTTGAACATTCCCTATCATAGAGCAGGTTTGAATCACTCCTTTTGTAGTATCTGGAAGTGGACATTTGGAGCGCTTTCAGGCCTATGTTGGAAAAGGAAATATCTTCCCATAACAACTAGACAGAAGCATTCTCAGAAACTTATTTGAGATGTGTGTACTCAACTAAGAGAATTGAACCACCGTTTTGAAGGAGCAGTTTTGAAACACTCTTTTTCTGGAATCTGCAAGTGGATATTTGGCTAGCTTTGGGGATTTCGCTGGAAGCGGGAATACATATAAAAAGCACACAGCAGCGTTCTGAGAAACTGCTTTCTGATGTTTGCATTCAAGTCAAAAGTTGAACACTCCCTTTCATAGAGCAGTCTTGAAACACCCCTTTTGTAGTATCTGGAACTGGACTTTTGAAGCGCTTTCAGGGCTAAGGTGAAAAAGGAAATATCTTCCCATAAAAACTGGACAGAAGCATTCTCAGAAACTTGTTTATGCTGTATCTACTCAACTAACAAAGTTGAACCTTTCTTTTGATAGAGCAGTTTTGAAATGCTCTTTTTGTGGAATCTGCAAGTGGATATTTGGCTAGTTTTGAGGATTTCGTTGGAAGCGGGAATTCATACAAATTGCAGACTGCAGCGTTCTGAGAAACATCTTTGTGATGTTTGTATTCAGGACAGAGAGTTGAACATTCCCTATCATAGAGCAGGTTGGAATCACTCCTTTTGTAGTATCTGGAAGTGGACATTTGGAGCGCTTTCAGGCCTATGTTGAAAAAGGAAATATCTTCCCATAACAACTAGACACAAGCATTCTCAGAAACTTGTTTGTGATGTGTGCCCTCTACTGACAGAGTTGAACCTTTCTTTTCATAGAGCAGTTTTGAAACACTCTTTTTGTAGAATCTGCAAGAGGATATTTGCATAGCTTTGAGGATTTCGTGGGAAACGGGATTGTCTTCAGGTAAAATCTAGACAGAAGCATTCTCAGAAACTTCTTTGGGATGTTTGCATTCAAGTCACAGAGTAGAACATTCCCTTTGGTAGAGCAGGTTTGAAACACTCTTTTTGTAGTATCTGGAAGTGGACATTTGGAGCGCTTTCAGGCCCATGTTGGAAAGGGAAATATCTTCCCGTAACAACTAGGCAGAAGCATTCTCAGAAAGTTATTTGAGATGTGTGTACTCAACTAAGAGAATTGAACCACCGTTTTGAAGGAGCAGTTTTGAAACACTCTTTTTCTGGAATCTGCAAGAGTATATTTGCCTAGCCTTGAGGATTTCGTTGGAAACGGGATTGTCTTCAGATAAAATCTAGACAGAAGCATTCTCAGAAACTTCTTTGGGATGTTTGCATTCAAGTCACAGAGTAGAACATTCCCTTTGGTAGAGCAGGTTTGAAACACTCTTTTTTTAGTATATGGAAGTGGACATTTGGAGCGCTTTCAGGCCTACGTTGGAAAAGGAAATATCTTCCCATAACAACTAGACAGAAGCATTCTCAGAAACTAGTTTCTGATGTGTGTCCTCAACTAACACAGTTGAACATTTCTTTAGACAGAACAGTTTTGAAACACTCTTTTTGTGGAATCTGCAAGTGGCTATTTGGCTAGATTTGAGGATTTCGTTGGAAACGGGATTACATATAAAAAGCAGTCAGCAGCATTCTCAGAAAGTTCTTTGTGATGATTGCATTCAAGTCACAGAATTGAACATTCCCTTTCACAGAGCAGGTTTGAAACACTCTTTTTGTAGTGTGTGTAAGTGGACATTTGGAGCACTTACCGGCCTAAGGTGAAAAAGGAAATATCTTCCCATAAAAACTAGACAGAAGCATTCTCAGTAACTTACTCGTGATGTGTGTCCTCAACTAAAGGAGTAGAACCTTTCTTTTCATAGAGAAGTTTTGAAACGCTCTTTTTGTGGAATCTGCAAGTGGATATTTGGCTAGTTTTGAGGATTTCGTTGGAAGCGGGAATTCATACAAATTGCAGACTGCAGCGTTCTGAGAAACATCTTTGTGATGTTTGTATTCAGGACACAGAGTTGAACATTCCCTATCATAGAGCAGGTTTGAATCACTCCTTTTGTAGTATCTGGAAGTGGACATTTGGAGCGCTTTCAGGCCTATGTTGGAAAAGGAAATATCTTCCCATAACAACTAGACAGAAGCATTCTCAGAAACTTATTTGAGATGTGTGTACTCAACTAAGAGAATTGAACCACCGTTTTGAAGGAGCAGTTTTGAAACACTCTTTTTCTGGAATCTGCAAGTGGATATCTGGCTAGCTTTGGGGATTTCGCTGGAAGCGGGAATACATATAAAAAGCACACAGCAGCGTTCTGAGAAACTGCTTTCTGATGTTTGCATTCAAGTCAAAAGTTGAACACTCCCTTTCATAGTGCAGTCCTGAAACACTCCTTTTGTAGTATCTGGAACTGGACTTTTGGAGCGCTTTCAGGGCTAAGGTGAAAAAGGAAATATCTTCCCATAAAAACTGGACAGAAGCATTCTCAGAAACTTGTTTATGCTGTATCTACTCAACTAACAAAGTTGAACCTTTCTTTTGATAGAGCAGTTTTGAAATGCTCTTTTTGTGGAATCTGCAAGTGGATATTTGGCTAGTTTTGAGGATTTCGCTGGAAGCGGGAATTCATACAAATTGCAGACTGCAGCGTTCTGAGAAACATCTTTGTGATGTTTGTATTCAGGACAGAGAGTTGAACATTCCCTATCATAGAGCAGGTTGGAATCACTCCTTTTGTAGTATCTGGAAGTGGACATTTGGAGCGCTTTCTGGCCTATGTTGAAAAAGGAAATATCTTCCCATAACAACTAGACACAAGCATTCTCAGAAACTTGTTTGTGATGTGTGCCCTCTACTGACAGAGTTGAACCTTTCTTTTCATAGAGCAGTTTTGAAATGCTCTTTTTGTGGAATCTGCAAGTGGATATTTGGCTAGTTTTGAGGATTTCGTTGGAAGCGGGAATTCATACAAATTGCAGACTGCAGCGTTCTGAGAAACATCTTTGTGATGTTTGTATTCAGGACAGAGAGTTGAACATTCCCTATCATAGAGCAGGTTGGAATCACTCCTTTTGTAGTATCTGGAAGTGGACATTTGGAGCGCTTTCAGGCCTATGTTGAAAAAGGAAATATCTTCCCATAACAACTAGACACAAGCATTCTCAGAAACTTGTTTGTGATGTGTGCCCTCTACTGACAGAGTTGAACCTTTCTTTTCATAGAGCAGTTTTGAAACACTCTTTTTGTAGAATCTGCAAGAGGATATTTGCATAGCTTTGAGGATTTCGTGGGAAACGGGATTGTCTTCAGGTAAAATCTAGACAGAAGCATTCTCAGAAACTTCTTTGGGATGTTTGCATTCAAGTCACAGAGTAGAACATTCCCTTTGGTAGAGCAGGTTTGAAACACTCTTTTTGTAGTATCTGGAAGTGGACATTTGGAGCGCTTTCAGGCCTATGTTGGAAAGGGAAATATCTTCCCGTAACAACTAGGCAGAAGCATTCTCAGAAACTTATTTGAGATGTGTGTACTCAACTAAGAGAATTGAACCACCGTTTTGAAGGAGCAGTTTTGAAACACTCTTTTTCTGGAATCTGCAAGAGGATATTTGCCTAGCTTTGAGGATTTCGTTGGAAACGGGATTGTCTTCAGATCAAATCTAGACAGAAGCATTCTCAGAAACTTCTTTGGGATGTTTGCATTCAAGTCACAGAGTAGAACATTCCCTTTGGTAGAGGAGGTTTGAAACACTCTTTTTTTAGTATATGGAAGTGGACATTTGGAGCGCTTTCAGGCCTACGTTGGAAAAGGAAATATCTTCCCATAACAATTAGACAGAAGCATTCTCAGAAACTAGTTTCTGATGTGTGTCCTCAACTAACACAGTTGAACATTTCTTTAGACAGAACAGTTTTGAAACTCTCTTTTTGTGGAATCTGCAAGTGGCTATTTGGCTAGATTTGAGGATTTCGTTGGAAACGGGATTACATATAAAAAGCAGACAGCAGCATTCTCAGAACGTTCTTTGTGATGATTGCATTCAAGTCACAGAATTGAACATTCCCTTTCACAGAGCAGGTTTGAAACACTCTTTTTGTAGTGTGTGTAAGTGGACATTTGGAGCACTTTCCGGCCTAAGGTGAAAAAGGAAATATCTTCCCATAAAAACTAGACAGAAGCATTCTCAGAAACTTACTCGTGATGTGTGTCCTCAACTAAAGGAGTAGAACCTTTCTTTTCATAGAGAAGTTTTGAAACGCTCTTTTTGTGGAATCTGCAAGTGGATATTTGGCTAGTTTGGAGGATTTCGTTGGAAGCGAGAATTCATACAAATTGCAGACTGCAGCGTTCTGAGAAACATCTTTGTGATGTTTGTATTCAGGACACAGAGTTGAACATTCCCTATCATAGAGCAGGTTGGAATCACTCCTTTTGTAGTATCTGGAAGTGGACATTTGGAGCGCTTTCAGGCCTATGTTGGAAAAGGAAATATCTTCCCATAACAACTAGACAGAAGCATTCTCAGAAACTTATTTGAGATGTGTGTACTCAACTAAGAGAATTGAACCACCGTTTTGAAGGAGCAGTTTTGAAACACTCTTTTTCTGGAATCTGCAAGTGGATATTTGGCTAGCTTTGGGGATTTCGCTGGAAGCGGGAATACATATAAAAAGCACACAGCAGCGTTCTGAGAAACTGCTTTCTGATGTTTGCATTCAAGTCAAAAGTTGAACACTCCCTTTCATAGAGCAGTCTTGAAACACCCCTTTTGTAGTATCTGGAACTGGACTTTTGGAGCGATTTCAGGGCTAAGGTGAAAAAGGAAATATCTTCCCATAAAAACTGGACAGAAGCATTCTCAGAAACTTGTTTATGCTGTATCTACTCAACTAACAAAGTTGAACCTTTCTTTTGATAGAGCAGTTTTGAAATGGTCTTTTTGTGGAATCTGCAAGTGGATATTTGGCTAGTTTTGAGGATTTCGTTGGAAGCGGGAATTCATACAAATTGCAGACTGCAGCGTTCTGAGAAACATCTTTGTGATGTTTGTATTCAGGACAGAGAGTTGAACATTCCCTATCATAGACCAGGTTGGAATCCCTCCTTTTGTAGTATCTGGAAGTGGACATTTGGAGCGCTTTCAGGCCTATGTTGGAAAAGGAAATATCTTCCCATAACAACTAGACACAAGCATTCTCAGAAACTTGTTTGTGATGTGTGCCCTCTACTGACAGAGTTGAACCTTTCTTTTCATAGAGCAGTTTTGAAACACTCTTTTTGTAGAATCTGCAAGAGGATATTTGCATAGCTTTGAGGATTTCGTGGGAAACGGGATTGTCTTCAGGTAAAATCTAGACAGAAGCATTCTCAGAAACTTCTTTGGGATGTTTGCATTCAAGTCACAGAGTAGAACATTCCCTTTGGTAGAGCAGGTTTGAAACACTCTTTTTGTAGTATCTGGAAGTGGACATTTGGAGCGCTTTCAGGCCCATGTTGGAAAGGGAAATATCTTCCCGTAACAACTAGGCAGAAGCATTCTCAGAAACTTATTTGAGATGTGTGTACTCAACTAAGAGAATTGAACCACCGTTTTGAAGGAGCAGTTTTGAAACACTCTTTTTCTGGAATCTGCAAGAGTATATTTGCCTAGCCTTGAGGATTTCGTTGGAAACGGGATTGTCTTCAGAGAAAATCTAGACAGAAGCATTCTCAGAAACTTCTTTGGGATGTTTGCATTCAAGTCACAGAGTAGAACATTCCCTTTGGTAGAGCAGGTTTGAAACACTCTTTTTTTAGTATATGGAAGTGGACATTTTGATCGCTTTCAGGCCTACGTTGGAAAAGGAAATATCTTCCCATAACAACTAGACAGAAGCATTCTCAGAAACTAGTTTCTGATGTGTGTCCTCAACTAACACAGTTGAACATTTCTTTAGACAGAACAGTTTTGAAACACTCTTTTTGTGGAATCTGCAAGTGGCTATTTGGCTAGATTTGAGGATTTCGTTGGAAACGGGATTACATATAAAAAGCAGTCAGCAGCATTCTCAGAAAGTTCTTTGTGATGATTGCATTCAAGTCACAGAATTGAACATTCCCTTTCACAGAGCAGGTTTGAAACACTCTTTTTGTAGTGTGTGTAAGTGGACATTTGGAGCACCTATCCGGCCTAAGGTGAAAAAGGACATATCTTCCCATAAAAACTAGACAGAAGCATTCTCAGAAACTTACTCGTGATGTGTGTCCTCAACTAAAGGAGTAGAACCTTTCTTTTCATAGAGAAGTTTTGAAACGCTCTTTTTGTGGAATCTGCAAGTGGATATTTGGCTAGTTTTGAGGATTTCGTTGGAAGCGGGAATTCATACAAATTGCAGACTGCAGCGTTCTGAGAAACATCTTTGTGATGTTTGTATTCAGGACACAGAGTTGAACATTCCCTATCATAGAGCAGGTTGGAATCACTCCTTTTGTAGTATCTGGAAGTGGACATTTGGAGCGCTTTCAGGCCTATGTTGGAAAAGGAAATATCTTCCCATAACAACTAGACAGAAGCATTCTCAGAAACTTATTTGAGATGTGTGTACTCAACTAAGAGAATTGAACCACCGTTTTGAAGGAGCAGTTTTGAAACTCTCTTTTTCTGGAATCTGCAAGTGGATATTTGGCTAGCTTTGGGGATTTCGCTGGAAGCGGGAATACATATAAAAAGCACACAGCAGCGTTCTGAGAAACTGCTTTCTGATGTTTGCATTCAAGTCAAAAGTTGAACACTCCCTTTCATAGAGCAGTCTTGAAACACCCCTTTTGTAGTATCTGGAACTGGACTTTTGGAGCGATTTCAGGGCTAAGGTGAAAAAGGAAATATCTTCCCATAAAAACTGGACAGAAGCATTCTCAGAAACTTGTTTATGCTGTATCTACTCAACTAACAAAGTTGAACCTTTCTTTTGATAGAGCAGTTTTGAAATGGTCTTTTTGTGGAATCTGCAAGTGGATATTTGGCTAGTTTTTAGGATTTCGTTGGAAGCGGGAATTCATACAAATTGCAGACTGCAGCGTTCTGAGAAACATCTTTGTGATGTTTGTATTCAGGACAGAGAGTTGAACATTCCCTATCATAGAGCAGGTTGGAATCACTCCTTTTGTAGTATCTGGAAGTGGACATTTGGAGCGCTTTCAGGCCTATGTTGAAAAAGGAAATATCTTCCCATAACAACTAGACACAAGCATTCTCAGAAACTTGTTTGTGATGTGTGCCCTCTAGTGACAGAGTTGAACCTTTCTTTTCATAGAGCAGTTTTGAAACACTCTTTTTGTAGAATCTGCAAGAGGATATTTGCATAGCTTTGAGGATTTCGTGGGAAACGGGATTGTCTTCAGGTAAAATCTAGACAGAAGCATTCTCAGAAACTTCTTTGGGATGTTTGCATTCAAGTCACAGAGTAGAACATTCCCTTTGGTAGAGCAGGTTTGAAACACTCTTTTTATAGTATCTGGAAGTGGACATTTGGAGCGCTTTCAGGCCTATGTTGGAAAGGGAAATATCTTCCCGTAACAACTAGGCAGAAGCATTCTCAGAAACTTATTTGAGATGTGTGTACTCAACTAAGAGAATTGAACCACCGTTTTGAAGGAGCAGTTTTGAAACACTCTTTTTCTGGAATCTGCAAGAGGATATTTGCCTAGCTTTGAGGATTTCGTTGGAAACGGGATTGTCTTCAGATCAAATCTAGACAGAAGCATTCTCAGAAACTTCTTTGGGATGTTTGCATTCAAGTCACAGAGTAGAACATTCCCTTTGGTAGAGCAGGTTTGAAACACTCTTTTTTTAGTATATGGAAGTGGACATTTGGAGCGCTTTCAGGCCTACGTTGGAAAAGGAAATATCTTCCCATAACAACTAGACAGAAGCATTCTCAGAAACTAGTTTCTGATGTGTGGCCTCAACTAACACAGTTGTACATTTCTTTACACAGAACAGTTTTGAAACACTCTTTTTGTGGAATCTGCAAGTGGATATTGGGCTAGATTTGAGGATTTCGTTGGAAACGGGATTACATATAAAAAGCAGTCAGCAGCATTCTCAGAAAGTTCTTTGTGATGATTGCATTCAAGTCACAGCAATTGAACATTCCCTTTCACAGAGCAGGTTTGAAACACTCTTTTTGTAGTGTGTGTAAGTGGACATTTGGAGCGCTTTCTGGCCTAAGGTGAAAAAGGAAATATCTTCCCATAAAAACTAGACAGAAGCATTCTCAGAAACTTACTCGTGATGTGTGTCCTCAACTAAAGGAGTAGAACCTTTCTTTTCATAGAGAAGTTTTGAAACGCTCTTTTTGTGGAATCTGCAAGTGGATATTTGGCTAGTTTTGAGGATTTCGTTGGAAGCGGGAATTCATACAAATTGCAGACTGCAGCGTTCTGAGAAACATCTTTGTGATGTTTGTATTCAGGACACAGAGTTGAACATTCCCTATCATAGAGCAGGTTTGAATCACTCCTTTTGTAGTATCTGGAAGTGGACATTTGGAGCGCTTTCAGGCCTATGTTGGAAAAGGAAATATCTTCCCATAACAACTAGACAGAAGCATTCTCAGAAACTTATTTGAGATGTGTGTACTCAACTAAGAGAATTGAACCACCGTTTTGAAGGAGCAGTTTTGAAACACTCTTTTTCTGGAATCTGCAAGTGGATATTTGGCTAGCTTTGGGGATTTCGCTGGAAGCGGGAATACATATAAAAAGCACACAGCAGCGTTCTGAGAAACTGCTTTCTGATGTTTGCATTCAAGTCAAAAGTTGAACACTCCCTTTCATAGTGCAGTCTGAAACACTCCTTTTGTAGTATCTGGAACTGGACTTTTGGAGCGCTTTCAGGGCTAAGGTGAAAAAGGAAATATCTTCCCATAAAAACTGGACAGAAGCATTCTCAGAAACTTGTTTATGCTGTATCTACTCAACTAACAAAGTTGAACCTTTCTTTTGATAGAGCAGTTTTGAAATGCTCTTTTTGTGGAATCTGCAAGTGGATATTTGGCTAGTTTTGAGGATTTCGTTGGAAGCGGGAATTCATACAAATTGCAGACTGCAGCGTTCTGAGAAACATCTTTGTGATGTTTGTATTCAGGACACAGAGTTGAACATTCCCTATCATAGAGCAGGTTGGAATCACTCCTTTTGTAGTATCTGGAAGTGGACATTTGGAGCGCTTTCAGGCCTATGTTGAAAAAGGAAATATCTTCCCATAACAACTAGACACAAGCATTCTCAGAAACTTGTTTGTGATGTGTGCCCTCTACTGACAGAGTTGAACCTTTCTTTTCATAGAGCAGTTTTGAAACACTCTTTTTGTAGAATCTGCAAGAGGATATTTGCATAGCTTTGAGGATTTCGTGGGAAACGGGATTGTCTTCAGGTAAAATCTAGACAGAAGCATTCTCAGAAACTTCTTTGGGATGTTTGCATTCAAGTCACAGAGTAGAACATTCCCTTTGGTAGAGCAGGTTTGAAACACTCTTTTTGTAGTATCTGGAAGTGGACATTTGGAGCGCTTTCAGGCCTATGTTGGAAAGGGAAATATCTTCCCGTAACAACTAGGCAGAAGCATTCTCAGAAACTTATTTGAGATGTGTGTACTCAACTAAGAGAATTGAACCACCGTTTTGAAGGAGCAGTTTTGAAACACTCTTTTTCTGGAATCTGCAAGAGTATATTTGCCTAGCCTTGAGGATTTCGTTGGAAACGGGATTGTCTTCAGATCAAATCTAGACAGAAGCATTCTCAGAAACTTCTTTGGGATGTTTGCATTCAAGTCACAGAGTAGAACATTCCCTTTGGTAGAGCAGGTTTGAAACACTCTTTTTTTAGTATATGGAAGTGGACATTTGGAGCGCTTTCAGGCCTACGTTGGAAAAGGAAATATCTTCCCATAACAACTAGACAGAAGCATTCTCAGAAACTAGTTTCTGATGTGTGTCCTCAACTAACACAGTTGAACATTTCTTTAGACAGAACAGTTTTGAAACACTCTTTTTGTGGAATCTGCAAGTGGCTATTTGGCTAGATTTGAGGATTTCGTTGGAAACGGGATTACATATAAAAAGCAGACAGCAGCATTCTCAGAAAGTTCTTTGTGATGATTGCATTCAAGTCACAGAATTGAACATTCCCTTTCACAGAGGAGGTTTGAAACACTCTTTTTGTAGTGTGTGTAAGTGGACATTTGGAGCACTTTCCGGCCTAAGGTGAAAAAGGAAATATCTTCCCTTAAAAACTAGACAGAAGCATTCTCAGAAACTTACTCGTGATGTGTGTCCTCAACTAAAGGAGTAGAACCTTTCTTTTCATAGAGAAGTTTTGAAACGCTCTTTTTGTGGAATCTGCAAGTGGATATTTGGCTAGTTTTGAGGATTTCGTTGGAAGCGGGAATTCATACAAATTGCAGACTGCAGCGTTCTGAGAAACATCTTTGTGATGTTTGTATTCAGGACACAGAGTTGAACATTCCCTATCATAGAGCAGGTTTGAATCACTCCTTTTGTAGTATCTGGAAGTGGACATTTGGAGCGCTTTCAGGCCTATGTTGGAAAAGGAAATATCTTCCCATAACAACTAGACAGAAGCATTCTCAGAAACTTATTTGAGATGTGTGTACTCAACTAAGAGAATTGAACCACCGTTTTGAAGGAGCAGTTTTGAAACTCTCTTTTTCTGGAATCTGCAAGTGGATATTTGGCTAGCTTTGGGGATTTCGCTGGAAGCGGGAATACATATAAAAAGCACACAGCAGCGTTCTGAGAAACTGCTTTCTGATGTTTGCATTCAAGTCAAAAGTTGAACACTCCCTTTCATAGAGCAGTCTTGAAACACCCCTTTTGTAGTATCTGGAACTGGACTTTTGGAGCGATTTCAGGGCTAAGGTGAAAAAGGAAATATCTTACCATAAAAACTGGACAGAAGCATTCTCAGAAACTTGGTTATGCTGTATCTACTCAACTAACAAAGTTGAACCTTTCTTTTGATAGAGCAGTTTTGAAATGGTCTTTTTGTGGAATCTGCAAGTGGATATTTGGCTAGTTTTGAGGATTTCGTTGGAAGCGGGAATTCATACAAATTGCAGACTGCAGCGTTCTGAGAAACATCTTTGTGATGTTTGTATTCAGGACACAGAGTTGAACATTCCCTATCATAGAGCAGGTTGGAATCACTCCTTTTGTAGTATCTGGAAGTGGACATTTGGAGCGCTTTCAGGCCTATTTTGGAAAGGGAAATATCTTCCCGTAACAACTATGCAGAAGCATTCTCAGAAACTTGTTTGTGATGTGTGCCCTCTACTGACAGAGTTGAACCTTTCTTTTCATAGAGCAGTTTTGAAACACTCTTTTTGTAGAATCTGCAAGAGGATATTTGCATAGCTTTGAGGATTTCGTGGGAAACGGGATTGTCTTCAGGTAAAATCTAGACAGAAGCATTCTCAGAAACTTCTTTGGGATGTTTGCATTCAAGTCACAGAGTAGAACATTCCCTTTGGTAGAGCAGGTTTGAAACACTCTTTTTGTAGTATCTGGAAGTGGACATTTGGAGCGCTTTCAGGCCCATGTTGGAAAAGGAAATATCTTCCCGTAACAACTAGGCAGAAGCATTCTCAGAAACTTATTTGAGATGTGTGTACTCAACTAAGAGAATTGAACCACCGTTTTGAAGGAGCAGTTTTGAAACACTCTTTTTCTGGAATCTGCAAGAGTATATTTGCCTAGCCTTGAGGATTTCGTTGGAAACGGGATTGTCTTCAGATAAAATGCTAGACAGAAGCATTCTCAGAAACTTCTTTGGGATGTTTGCATTCAAGTCACAGAGTAGAACATTCCCTTTGGTAGAGCAGGTTTGAAACACTCTTTTTTTAGTATATGGAAGTGGACATTTGGAGCGCTTTCAGGCCTACGTTGGAAAAGGAAATATCTTCCCATAACAACTAGACAGAAGCATTCTCAGAAACTAGTTTCTGATGTGTGTCCTCAACTAACACAGTTGTACATTTCTTTAGACAGAACAGTTTTGAAACACTCTTTTTGTGGAATCTGCAAGTGGATATTGGGCTAGATTTGAGGATTTCGTTGGAAACGGGATTACATATAAAAAGCAGTCAGCAGCATTCTCAGAAAGTTCTTTGTGATGATTGCATTCAAGTCACAGAATTGAACATTCCCTTTCACAGAGCAGGTTTGAAACACTCTTTTTGTAGTGTGTGTAAGTGGACATTTGGAGCGCTTTCCGGCCTAAGGTGAAAAAGGACATATCTTCCCATAAAAATTAGACAGAAGCATTCTCAGAAACTTACTCGTGATGTGTGTCCTCAACTAAAGGAATAGAACCTTTCTATTCATAGAGAAGTTTTGAAACGCTCTTTTTGTGGAATCTCCAAGTGGATATTTGGCTAGTTTTGAGGATTTCGTTGGAAGCGGGAATTCATACAAATTGCAGACTGCAGCGTTCTGAGAAACATCTTTGTGATGTTTGTATTCAAGACACAGAGATGAACATTCCCTATCATAGACCATGTTGGAATCAGTCCTTTTGTAGTATCTGGAAGTGGACATTTGGAGCGCTTTCAGGCCTATGTTGAAAAAGGAAATATCTTCCCATAACAACTAGACACAAGCATTCTCAGAAACTTGTTTGTGATGTGTGCCCTCTACTGACAGAGTTGAACCTTTCTTTTCATAGAGCAGTTTTGAAACACTCTTTTTGTAGAATCCGCAAGAGGATATTTGCATAACTTTGAGGATTTCGTGGGAAACGGGATTGTCTTCAGGTAAAATCTAGACAGAAGCATTCTCAGAAACTTCTTTGGGATGTTTGCATTCAAGTCACAGAGTAGAACATTCCCTTTGGTAGAGCAGGTTTGAAACACTCTTTTTGTAGTATCTGGAAGTGGACATTTGGAGCGCTTTCAGGCCCATGTTGGAAAGGGAAATATCTTCCCGTAACAACTAGGCAGAATCATTCTCAGAAACTTATTTGAGATGTGTGTACTCAACGAAGAGAATTGAACCACCGTTTTGAAGGAGCAGTTTTGAAACCCTCTTTTTCTGGAATCTGCAAGAGTATATTTGACTAGCCTTGAGGATTTCGTTGGAAACGGGATTGTCTTCAGATAAAATCTAGACAAAAGCATTCTCAGAAACTTCTTTGAGATGTTTGCATTCAAGTCACAGAGTAGAACATTCCCTTTAGTAGAGCAGGTTTGAAACACTCTTTTTTTAGTATATGGAAGTGGACATTTGGAGCGCTTTCAGGCCTACGTTGGAAAAGGAAATATCTTCCCATAACAACTAGACAGAAGCATTCTCAGAAACTAGTTTCTGATGTGTGTCCTCAACTAACACAGTTGAACTTTTCTTTAGACAGAACAGTTTTGAAACACTCTTTTTGTGGAATCTGCAAGTGGATATTGGGCTAGATTTGAGGATTTCGTTGGAAACGGGATTACATATAAAAAGCAGACAGCAGCATTCTGAGAAAGTTCTTTGTGATGATTGCATTCAAGTGACAGAATTGAACATTCCCTTTCACAGAGCAGGTTTGAAACACTCTTTTTGTAGTGTGTGTAAGTGGACATTTGGAGCGCTTTCCGGCCTAAGGTGAAAAAGGACATATCTTCCCATAAAAATTAGACAGAAGCATTCTCAGAAACTTAATCGTGATGTGTGTCCTCAACTAAAGGAGTAGAACCTTTCTATTCATAGAGAAGTTTTGAAACGCTCTTTTTGTGGAATCTCCAAGTGGATATTTGGCTAGTTTTGAGGATTTCGTTGGAAGCGGGAATTCATACAAATTGCAGACTGCAGCGTTCTGAGAAACATCTTTGTGATGTTTGTATTCAGGACACAGAGATGAACATTCCCTATCATAGAGCAGGTTGGAATCACTCCTTTTGTAGTATCTGGAAGTGGACATTTGGAGCGCTTTCAGGGCTATGTTGAAAAAGGAAATATCTTCCCATAACAACTAGACACAAGCATTCTCAGAAACTTGTTTGTGATGTGTGCCCTCTACTGACAGAGTTGAACCTTTCTTTTCATAGAGCAGTTTTGAAACACTCTTTTTGTAGAATCTGCAAGAGGATATTTGCATAGCTTTGAGGATTTCGTGGGAAACGGGATTGTCTTCAGGTAAAATCTAGACAGAAGCATTCTCAGAAACTTCTTTGGGATGTTTGCATTCAAGTCACAGAGTAGAACATTCCCTTTGGTAGAGCAGGTTTGAAACACTCTTTTTGTAGTATCTGGAAGTGGACATTTGGAGCGCTTTCAGGCCCATGTTGGAAAGGGAAATATCTTCCCGTAACAACTAGGCAGAAGCATTCTCAGAAACTTATTTGAGATGTGTGTACTCAACTAAGAGAATTGAACCACCGTTTTGAAGGAGCAGTTTTGAAACACTCTTTTTCTGGAATCTGCAAGAGGATATTTGCCTAGCCTTGAGGATTTCGTTGGAAACGGGATTGTCTTCAGAGAAAATCTAGACAGAAGCATTCTCAGAAACTTCTTTGGGATGCTTGCATTCAAGTCACAGAGTAGAACATTCCCTTTGGTAGAGCAGGTTTGAAACACTCTTTTTGTAGTATCTGGAAGTGGACATTTGGAGCGCTTTCAGGCCTACGTTGGAAAAGGAAATATCTTCCCATAACAACTAGACAGAAGCATTCTCAGAAACTCGTTTCTGATGTGTGTCCTCAACTAACACAGTTGAACATTTCTTTAGACAGAACAGTTTTGAAACACTCTTTTTGTGGAATCTGCAAGTGGCTATTTGGCTAGATTTGAGGATTTCGTTGGAAACGGGATTACATATAAAAAGCAGTCAGCAGCATTCTCAGAAAGTTCTTTGTGATGATTGCATTCAAGTCACAGAATTGAACATTCCCTTTCACAGAGCAGGTTTGAAACACTCTTTTTGTAGTGTGTGTAAGTGGACATTTGGAGCACTTACCGGCCTAAGGTGAAAAAGGAAATAATCTTCCCATAAAAACTAGACAGAAGCATTCTCAGAAACTTACTCGTGATGTGTGTCCTCAACTAAAGGAGTAGAACCTTTCTTTTCATAGAGAAGTTTTGAAACGCTCTTTTTGTGGAATCTGCAAGTGGATATTTGGCTAGTTTTGAGGATTTCGTTGGAAGCGGGAATTCATACAAATTGCAGACTGCAGCGTTCTGAGAAACATCTTTGTGATGTTTGTATTCAGGACACAGAGTTGAACATTCCCTATCATAGAGCAGGTTTGAATCACTCCTTTTGTAATATCTGGAAGTGGACATTTGGAGCGCTTTCAGGCCTATGTTGGAAAAGGAAATATCTTCCCATAACAACTAGACAGAAGCATTCTCAGAAACTTATTTGAGATGTGTGTACTCAACTAAGAGAATTGAACCACCGTTTTGAAGGAGCAGTTTTGAAACTCTCTTTTTCTGGAATCTGCAAGTGGATATTTGGCTAGCTTTGGGGATTTCGCTGGAAGCGGGAATACATATAAAAAGCACACAGCAGCGTTCTGAGAAACTGCTTTCTGATGTTTGCATTCAAGTCAAAAGTTGAACACTCCCTTTCATAGAGCAGTCTTGAAACACCCCTTTTGTAGTATCTGGAACTGGACTTTTGGAGCGATTTCAGGGCTAAGGTGAAAAAGGAAATATCTTCCCATAAAAACTGGACAGAAGCATTCTCAGAAACTTGTTTATGCTGTATCTACTCAACTAACAAAGTTGAACCTTTCTTTTGATAGAGCAGTTTTGAAATGGTCTTTTTGTGGAATCTGCAAGTGGATATTTGGCTAGTTTTGAGGATTTCGTTGGAAGCGGGAATTCATACAAATTGCAGACTGCAGCGTTCTGAGAAACATCTTTGTGATGTTTGTATTCAGGACACAGAGTTGAACATTCCCTATCATAGAGCAGGTTGGAATCACTCCTTTTGTAGTATCTGGAAGTGGACATTTGGAGCGCTTTCAGGCCTATTTTGGAAAGGGAAATATCTTCCCGTAACAACTATGCAGAAGCATTCTCAGAAACTTGTTTGTGATGTGTGCCCTCTACTGACAGAGTTGAACCTTTCTTTTCATAGAGCAGTTTTGAAACACTCTTTTTGTAGAATCTGCAAGAGGATATTTGCATAGCTTTGAGGATTTCGTGGGAAACGGGATTGTCTTCAGGTAAAATCTAGACAGAAGCATTCTCAGAAACTTCTTTGGGATGTTTGCATTCAAGTCACAGAGTAGAACATTCCCTTTGGTAGAGCAGGTTTGAAACACTCTTTTTGTAGTATCTGGAAGTGGACATTTGGAGCGCTTTCAGGCCCATGTTGGAAAGGGAAATATCTTCCCGTAACAACTAGGCAGAAGCATTCTCAGAAACTTATTTGAGATGTGTGTACTCAACTAAGAGAATTGAACCACCGTTTTGAAGGAGCAGTTTTGAAACACTCTTTTTCTGGAATCTGCAAGAGTATATTTGCCTAGCCTTGAGGATTTCGTTGGAAACGGGATTGTCTTCAGAGAAAATCTAGACAGAAGCATTCTCAGAAACTTCTTTGGGATGTTTGCATTCAAGTCACAGAGTAGAACATTCCCTTTGGTAGAGCAGGTTTGAAACACTCTTTTTGTAGTATCTGGAAGTGGACATTTGGAGCGCTTTCAGGCCTACGTTGGAAAAGGAAATATCTTCCCATAACAACTAGACAGAAGCATTCTCAGAAACTAGTTTCTGATGTGTGTCCTCAACTAACACAGTTGAACATTTCTTTAGACAGAACAGTTTTGAAACACTCTTTTTGTGGAATCTGCAAGTGGCTATTTGGCTAGATTTGAGGATTTCGTTGGAAACGGGATTACATATAAAAAGCAGTCAGCAGCATTCTCAGAAAGTTCTTTGTGATGATTGCATTCAAGTCACAGAATTGAACATTCCCTTTCACAGAGCAGGTTTGAAACACTCTTTTTGTAGTGTGTGTAAGTGGACATTTGGAGCACTTACCGGCCTAAGGTGAAAAAGGAAATATCTTCCCATAAAAACTAGACAGAAGCATTCTCAGAAACTTACTCGTGATGTGTGTCCTCAACTAAAGGAGTAGAACCTTTCTTTTCATAGAGAAGTTTTGAAACGCTCTTTTTGTGGAATCTGCAAGTGGATATTTGGCTAGTTTTGAGGATTTCGTTGGAAGCGGGAATTCATACAAATTGCAGACTGCAGCGTTCTGAGAAACATCTTTGTGATGTTTGTATTCAGGACACAGAGTTGAACATTCCCTATCATAGAGCAGGTTTGAATCACTCCTTTTCTAGTATCTGGAAGTGGACATTTGGAGCGCTTTCAGGCCTATGTTGGAAAAGGAAATATCTTCCCATAACAAATAGACAGAAGCATTCTCAGAAACTTATTTGAGATGTGTGTACTCAACTAAGAGAATTGAACCACCGTTTTGAAGGAGCAGTTTTGAAACACTCTTTTTCTGGAATCTGCAAGTGGATATTTGGCTAGCTTTGGGGATTTCGCTGGAAGCGGGAATACATATAAAAAGCACACAGCAGCGTTCTGAGAAACTGCTTTCTCATGTTTGCATTCAAGTCAAAAGTTGAACACTCCCTTTCATAGAGCAGTCTTGAAACACCCCTTTTGTAGTATCTGGAACTGGACTTTTGGAGCGCTTTCAGGGCTAAGGTGAAAAAGGAAATATCTTCCCATAAAAACTGGACAGAAGCATTCTCAGAAACTTGTTTATGCTGTATCTACTCAACTAACAAAGTTGAACCTTTCTTTTGATAGAGCAGTTTTGAAATGCTCTTTTTGTGGAATCTGCAAGTGGATATTTGGCTAGTTTTGAGGATTTCGTTGGAAGCGGGAATTCATACAAATTGCAGACTGCAGCGTTCTGAGAAACATCTTTGTGATGTTTGTATTCAGGACACAGAGTTGAACATTCCCTATCATAGAGCAGGTTGGAATCACTCCTTTTGTAGTATCTGGAAGTGGACATTTGGAGCGCTTTCAGGCCTATGTTGAAAAAGGAAATATCTTCCCATAACAACTAGACACAAGCATTCTCAGAAACTTGTTTGTGATGTGTGCCCTCTACTGACAGAGTTGAACCTTTCTTTTCATAGAGCAGTTTTGAAACACTCTTTTTGTAGAATCTGCAAGAGGATATTTGCATAGCTTTGAGGATTTCGTGGGAAACGGGATTGTCTTCAGGTAAAATCTAGACAGAAGCATTCTCAGAAACTTCTTTGGGATGTTTGCATTCAAGTCACAGAGTAGAACATTCCCTTTGGTAGAGCAGGTTTGAAACACTCTTTTTGTAGTATCTGGAAGTGGACATTTGGAGCGCTTTCAGGCCTATGTTGGAAAGGGAAATATCTTCCCGTAACAACTAGGCAGAAGCATTCTCAGAAACTTATTTGAGATGTGTGTACTGAACTAAGAGAATTGAACCACCGTTTTGAAGGAGCAGGTTTGAAACACTCTTTTTGTAGTATCTGGAAGTGGACATTTGGAGCGCTTTCAGGCCTATGTTGGAAAGGGAAATATCTTCCCGTAACAACTAGGCAGAAGCATTCTCAGAAACTTATTTGAGATGTGTGTACTCAACTAAGAGAATTGAACCACCGTTTTGAAGGAGCAGTTTTGAAACACTCTTTTTCTGGAATCTGCAAGAGGATATTTGCATAGATTTGAGGATTTCGTTGGAAACGGGATTGTCTTCAGATCCAATCTAGACAGAAGCATTCTCAGAAACTTCTTTGGGATGTTTGCATTCAAGTCACAGAGTAGAACATTCCCTTTGGTAGAGCAGGTTTGAAACACTCTTTTTTTAGTATATGGAAGTGGACATTTGGAGCGCTTTCAGGCCTACGTTGGAAAAGGAAATATCTTCCCATAACAACTAGACAGAAGCATTCTCAGAAACTAGTTTCTGATGTGTGTCCTCAACTAACACAGTTGAACATTTCTTTAGACAGAACAGTTTTGAAACACTCTCTTTGTGGAATCTGCAAGTGGATATTTGGCTAGATTTGAGGATTTCGTTGGAAACGGGATTACATATAAAAAGCAGACAGCAGCATTCTCAGAAACTTCTTTGTGACGATTGCATTCAAGTCACAGAATTGAACATTCCCTTTCACAGAGCAGGTTTGAAACACTCTTTTTGTAGTGTGTGTAAGTGGACATTTGGAGCGCTTTCCGGCCTAAGGTGAACAAGGAAATATCTTCCCATAAAAACTAGACAGAAGTATTCTCAGAAACTTACTCGTGATGTGTGTCCTCAACTAAAGGAGTAGAACCTTTCTTTTCATAGAGAAGTTTTGAAACGCTCTTTTTGTGGAATCTGCAAGTGGATATTTGGCTAGTTTTGAGGATTTCGTTGGAAGCGGGAATTCATACAAATTGCAGACTGCAGCGTTCTGAGAAACATCTTTGTGATGTTTGTATTCAGGACACAGAGTTGAACGTTCCCTATCATAGAGCAGGTTTGAATCACTCCTTTTGTAGTATCTGGAAGTGGACATTTGGAGCGCTTTCCGGCCTCAGGTGAAAAAGGAAATATCTTCCCATAAAAACTAGACAGAAGCATTCTCAGAAACTTACTCGTGATGTGTGTCCTCAACTAAAGGGGTAGAACCTTTCTTTTGATAGAGCAGTTTTGAAACACTCTTTTTGTAGAATCTGCAAGTGGATATTTCGATAGCTTTGTGGATTTCGTTGGAAACGGGAATATCTTCATATAAAATCTAGAGAGAAGCGTTCTGAGAAACATCTTTGTGATGTTTGTATTCAGGACACAGAGTTGAACGTTCCCTATCATAGAGCAGGTTTGAATCACTCCTTTTGTAGTATCTGGAAGTGGACATTTGGAGCGCTTTCCGGCCTCAGGTGAAAAAGGAAATATCTTCCCATAAAAACTAGACAGAAGCATTCTCAGAAACTTATTTGTGATGTGTGTCCTCAACTGACAGAGTTGAACATTTCTTTTGAGAGAGCAGTTTTGAAACACTCTTTTTGTGGAATCTGCAAGTGGATATTTGGCTGGCTTTGAGGATTTCGTTGGAAACGGGAATACATATAAAAAGCAGACAGCAGCATTCTCAGAAACTTCTTTGTGATGATTGCATTCAAGTCACAGAATTGAACATTCCCTTTCACAGAGCAGGTTTGAAACACTCTTTTTGTAGTGTGTGTAAGTGGACATTTGGAGCGCTTTCCGGCCTAAAGTGAACAAGGAAATATCTTCCCATAAAAACTAGACAGAAGCATTCTCAGAAACTTACTCGTGATGTGTGTCCTCAACTAAAGGAGTAGAACCTTTCTTTTCATAGAGAAGTTTTGAAACGCTCTTTTTGTGGAATCTGCAAGTGGATATTTGGCTAGTTTTGAGGATTTCGTTGGAAGCGGGAATTCATACAAATTGCAGACTGCAGCGTTCTGAGAAACATCTTTGTGATGTTTGTATTCAGGACACAGAGTTGAACATTCCCTATCATAGAGCAGGTTTGAATCACTCCTTTTGTAGTATCTGGAAGTGGACATTTGGAGCGCTTTCAGGCCTATGTTGGAAAAGGAAATATCTTCCCATAACAACTAGACAGAAGCATTCTCAGAAACTTATTTGAGATGTGTGTACTCAACTAAGAGAATTGAACCACCGTTTTGAAGGAGCAGTTTTGAAACTCTCTTTTTCTGGAATCTGCAAGTGGATATTTGGCTAGCTTTGGGGATTTCGCTGGAAGCGGGAATACATATAAAAAGCACACAGCAGCGTTCTGAGAAACTGCTTTCTGATGTTTGCATTCAAGTCAAAAGTTGAACACTCCCTTTCATAGAGCAGTCTTGAAACACCCCTTTTGTAGTATCTGGAACTGGACTTTTGGAGCGATTTCAGGGCTAAGGTGAAAAAGGAAATATCTTCCCATAAAAACTGGACAGAAGCATTCTCAGAAACTTGTTTATGCTGTATCTACTCAACTAACAAAGTTGAACCTTTCTTTTGATAGAGCAGTTTTGAAATGGTCTTTTTGTGGAATCTGCAAGTGGATATTTGGCTAGTTTTGAGGATTTCGTTGGAAGCGGGAATTCATACAAATTGCAGACTGCAGCGTTCTGAGAAACATCTTTGTGATGTTTGTATTCAGGACACAGAGTTGAACATTCCCTATCATAGAGCAGGTTTGAATCACTCCTTTTGTAGTATCTGGAAGTGGACATTTGGAGCGCTTTCAGGCCTATGTTGGAAAAGGAAATATCTTCCCATAACAACTAGACAGAAAGCATTCCCAGAAAACTTATTTGAGATGTGTGTACTCAACTAAGAGAATTGAACCACCGTTTTGAAGGAGCAGTTTGGAAACACTCTTTTTCTGGAATCTGCAAGTGGATATTTGGCTAGCTTTGGGGATTTCGCTGGAAGCGGGAATACATATAAAAAGCACACAGCAGCGTTCTGAGAAACTGCTTTCTGATGTTTGCATTCAAGTCAAAAGTTGAACACTCCCTTTCATAGAGCAGTCCTGAAACACTCCTTTTGTAGTATCTGGAACTGGACTTTTGGAGCGCTTTCAGGGCTAAGGTGAAAAAGGAAATATCTTCCCATAAAAACTGGACAGAAGCATTCTCAGAAACTTGTTTATGCTGTATCTACTCAACTAACAAAGTTGAACCTTTCTTTTGATAGAGCAGTTTTGAAATGCTCTTTTTGTGGAATCTGCAAGTGGATATTTGGCTAGTTTTGAGGATTTCGTTGGAAGCGGGAATTCATACAAATTGCAGACTGCAGCGTTCTGAGAAAACAACTTTGTGATGTTTGTATTCAGGACACAGAGTTGAACATTCTCTATCATAGAGCAGGTTGGAATCACTCCTTTTGTAGTATCTGGAAGTGGACATTTGGAGCGCTTTCAGGCCTATGTTGAAAAAGGAAATATCTTCCCATAACAACTAGGCAGAAGCATTCTCAGAAACTTGTTTGTGATGTGTGCCCTCTACTGACACAGTTGAACCTTTCTTTTCATAGAGCAGTTTCGAAACACTCTTTTTGTAGAATCTGCAAGAGGATATTTGCATAGCTTTGAGGATTTCGTGGGAAACGGGATTGTCTTCAGGTAAAATCTAGACAGAAGCATTCTCAGAAACTTCTTTGGGATGTTTGCATTCAAGTCACAGAGTAGAACATTCCCTTTGGTAGAGCAGGTTTGAAACACTCTTTTTGTAGTGTGTGTAAGTGGACATTTGGAGCGCTTTCTGGCCTACGTTGGAAAAGGAAATATCTTCCCATAACAACTAGACAGAAGCATTCTCAGAAACTAGTTTCTGATGTGTGTCCTCAACTAACACAGTTGAACATTTCTTTAGACAGAACAGTTTTGAAACACTCTTTTTGTGGAATCTGCAAGTGGATATTTGGCTACATTTGAGGATTTCGTTGGAAACGGGATTACATATAAAAAGCAGACAGCAGCATTCTCAGAAACTTCTTTGTGATGATTGCCTTCAAGTCACAGAATTGAACATTCCTTTTCACAGAGCAGGTTTGAAACACTCTTTTTCTAGTGTGTGTAAGTGGACATTTGGAGCGCTTTCCGGCCTAAGGTGAACAAGGAAATATCTTCCCATAAAAACTAGACAGAAGCATTCTCAGAAAATTACTCGTGATGTGTGTCCTCAACTAAAGGAGTAGAACCTTTCTTTTCATAGAGAAGTTTTGAAACGCTCTTTTTGTGGAATCTGCAAGTGGATATTTGGCTAGTTTGGAGGATTTCGTTGGAAGCGGGAATTCATACAAATTGCAGACTGCAGCGTTCTGAGAAACATCTTTGTGATGTTTGTATTCAGGACACAGAGTTGAACATTCCCTATCATAGAGCAGGTTGGAATCACTCCTTTTGTAGTATCTGGAAGTGGACATTTGGAGCGCTTTCAGGCCTATGTTGGAAAAGGAAATATCTTCCCATAACAACTAGACAGAAGCATTCTCAGAAACTTATTTGAGATGTGTGTACTCAACTAAGAGAATTGAACCACCGTTTTGAAGGAGCAGTTTTGAAACACTCTTTTTCTGGAATCTGCAAGTGGATATTTGGCTAGCTTTGGGGATTTCGCTGGAAGCGGGAATACATATAAAAAGCACACAGCAGCGTTCTGAGAAACTGCTTTCTGATGTTTGCATTCAAGTCAAAAGTTGAACACTCCCTTTCATAGAGCAGTCTTGAAACACCCCTTTTGTAGTATCTGGAACTGGACTTTTGGAGCGATTTCAGGGCTAAGGTGAAAAAGGAAATATCTTCCCATAAAAACTGGACAGAAGCATTCTCAGAAACTTGTTTATGCTGTATCTACTCAACTAACAAAGTTGAACCTTTCTTTTGATAGAGCAGTTTTGAAATGCTCTTTTTGTGGAATCTGCAAGTGGATATTTGGCTAGTTTTGAGGATTTCGTTGGAAGCGGGAATTCATACAAATTGCAGACTGCAGCGTTCTGAGAAACATCTTTCTGATGTTTGTATTCAGGACAGAGAGTTGAACATTCCCTATCATAGAGCAGGTTGGAATCACTCCTTTTGTAGTATCTGGAAGTGGACATTTGGAGCGCTTTCAGGCCTATGTTGAAAAAGGAAATATCTTCCCATAACAACTAGACACAAGCATTCTCAGAAACTTGTTTGTGATGTGTGCCCTCTACTGACAGAGTTGAACCTTTCTTTTCATAGAGCAGTTTTGAAACACTCTTTTTGTAGAATCTGCAAGAGGATATTTGCATAGCTTTGAGGATTTCGTGGGAAACGGGATTGTCTTCAGGTAAAATCTAGACAGAAGCATTCTCAGAAACTTCTTTGGGATGTTTGCATTCAAGTCACAGAGTAGAACATTCCCTTTGGTAGAGCAGGTTTGAAACACTCTTTTTATAGTATCTGGAAGTGGACATTTGGAGCGCTTTCAGGCCTATGTTGGAAAGGGAAATATCTTCCCGTAACAACTAGGCAGAAGCATTCTCAGAAACTTATTTGAGATGTGTGTACTCAACTAAGAGAATTGAACCACCGTTTTGAAGGAGCAGTTTTGAAACACTCTTTTTCTGGAATCTGCAAGAGGATATTTGCCTAGCTTGGAGGATTTCGTTGGAAACGGGATTGTCTTCAGATCAAATCTAGACAGAAGCATTCTCAGAAACTTCTTTGGGATGTTTGCATTCAAGTCACAGAGTAGAACATTCCCTTTGGTAGAGCAGGTTTGAAACACTCTTGTTTTAGTATATGGAAGTGGACATTTGGAGCGCTTTCAGGCCTACGTTGGAAAAGGAAATATCTTCCCATAACAACTAGACAGAAGCATTGTCAGAAACTAGTTTCTGATGTGTGTCCTCAACTAACACAGTTGTACATTTCTTTAGACAGAACAGTTTTGAAACACTCTCTTTGTGGAATCTGCAAGTGGATATTTGGCTAGATTTGAGCATTTCGTTGGAAACGGGATTACATAGAAAAAGCAGACAGCAGCATTCTCAGAAAGTTCTTTGTGATGATTGCATTCAAGTCACAGAATTGAACATTCCCTTTCACAGAGCAGGTTTGAAACACTCTTTTTATAGTGTGTGTAAGTGGACATTTGGAGCACTTTCCGGCCTAAGGTGAAAAAGGAAATATCTTCCCATAAAAACTAGACAGAAGCATTCTCAGAAACTTACTCGTGATGTGTGTCCTCAACTAAAGGAGTAGAACCTTTGTTTTCATAGAGAAGTTTTGAAACGCTCTTTTTGTGGAATCTGCAAGTGGATATTTGGCTAGTTTGGAGGATTTCGTTGGAAGCGGGAATTCATACAAATTGCAGACTGCAGCGTTCTGAGAAACATCTTTGTGATGTTTGTATTCAGGACACAGAGTTGAACATTCCCTATCATAGAGCAGGTTTGAATCACTCCTTTTCTAGTATCTGGAAGTGGACATTTGGAGCGCTTTCAGGCCTATGTTGGAAAAGGAAATATCTTCCCATAACAAATAGACAGAAGCATTCTCAGAAACTTATTTGAGATGTGTGTACTCAACTAAGAGAATTGAACCACCGTTTTGAAGGAGCAGTTTTGAAACACTCTTTTTCTGGAATCTGCAAGTGGATATTTGGCTAGCTTTGGGGATTTCGCTGGAAGCGGGAATACATATAAAAAGCACACAGCAGCGTTCTGAGAAACTGCTTTCTGATGTTTGCATTCAAGTCAAAAGTTGAACACTCCCTTTCATAGAGCAGTCCTGAAACACTCCTTTTGTAGTATCTGGAACTGGACTTTTGGAGCGCTTTCAGGGCTAAGGTGAAAAAGGAAATATCTTCCCATAAAAACTGGACAGAAGCATTCTCAGAAACTTGTTTATGCTGTATCTACTCAACTAACAAAGTTGAACCTTTCTTTTGATAGAGCAGTTTTGAAATGCTCTTTTTGTGGAATCTGCAAGTGGATATTTGGCTAGTTTTGAGGATTTCGCTGGAAGCGGGAATTCATACAAATTGCAGACTGCAGCGTTCTGAGAAACATCTTTGTGATGTTTGTATTCAGGACAGAGAGTTGAACATTCCCTATCATAGAGCAGGTTGGAATCACTCCTTTTGTAGTATCTGGAAGTGGACATTTGGAGCGCTTTCAGGCCTATGTTGAAAAAGGAAATATCTTCCCATAACAACTAGACACAAGCATTCTCAGAAACTTGTTTGTGATGTGTGCCCTCTAGTGACAGAGTTGAACCTTTCTTTTCATAGAGCAGTTTTGAAACACTCTTTTTGTAGAATCTGCAAGAGGATATTTGAATAGCTTTGAGGATTTCGTGGGAAACGGGATTGTCTTCAGGTAAAATCTAGACAGAAGCATTCTCAGAAACTTCTTTGGGATGTTTGCATTCAAGTCACAGAGTAGAACATTCCCTTTGGTAGAGCAGGTTTGAAACACTCTTTTTGTAGTATCTGGAAGTGGACATTTGGAGCGCTTTCAGGCCCATGTTGGAAAGGGAAATATCTTCCCGTAACAACTAGGCAGAAGCATTCTCAGAAACTTATTTGAGATGTGTGTACTCAACTAAGAGAATTGAACCACCGTTTTGAAGGAGCAGTTTTGAAACACTCTTTTTCTGGAATCTGCAAGAGTATATTTGCCTAGCCTTGAGGATTTCGTTGGAAACGGGATTGTCTTCAGATAAAATCTAGACAGAAGCATTCTCAGAAACTTCTTTGGGATGTTTGCATTCAAGTCACAGAGTAGAACATTCCCTTTGGTAGAGCAGGTTTGAAACACTCTTTTTTTAGTATATGGAAGTGGACATTTGGAGCGCTTTCAGGCCTACGTTGGAAAAGGAAATATCTTCCCATAACAACTAGACAGAAGCATTCTCAGAAACTAGTTTCTGATGTGTGTCCTCAACTAACACAGTTGAACTTTTCTTTAGACAGAACAGTTTTGAAACACTCTTTTTGTGGAATCTGCAAGTGGATATTGGGCTAGATTTGAGGATTTCGTTGGAAACGGGATTACATATAAAAAGCAGACAGCAGCATTCTCAGAAAGTTCTTTGTGATGATTGCATTCAAGTCACAGAATTGAACATTCCCTTTCACAGAGCAGGTTTGAAACACTCTTTTTGTAGTGTGTGTAAGTGGACATTTGGAGCGCTTTCCGGCCTAAGGTGAAAAAGGACATATCTTCCCATAAAAACTAGACAGAAGCATTCTCAGAAACTTACTCGTGATGTGTGTCCTCAACTAAAGGAGTAGAACCTTTCTATTCATAGAGAAGTTTTGAAACGCTCTTTTTGTGGAATCTCCAAGTGGATATTTGGCTAGTGTTGAGGATTTCGTTGGAAGCGGGAATTCATACAAATTGCAGACTGCAGCGTTCTGAGAAACATCTTTGTGATGTTTGTATTCAGGACACAGAGATGAACATTCCCTATCATAGAGCAGGTTGGAATCACTCCTTTTGTAGTATCTGGAAGTGGACATTTGGAGCGCTTTCAGGCCTATGTTGAAAAAGGAAATATCTTCCCATAACAACTAGACACAAACATTCTCAGAAACTTGTTTGTGATGTGTGCCCTCTACTGACAGAGTTGAACCTTTCTTTTCATAGAGCAGTTTCGAAACACTCTTTTTGTAGAATCTGCAAGAGGATATTTGCATGGCTTTGAGGATTTCGTGGGAAACGGGATTGTCTTCAGGTAAAATCTAGACAGAAGCATTCTCAGAAACTTCTTTGGGATGTTTGCATTCAAGTCACAGAGTAGAACATTCCCTTTGGTAGAGTAGGTTTGAAACACTCTTTTTGTAGTATCTGGAAGTGGACATTTGGAGTGATTTCAGGCCCATGTTGGAAAGGGAAATATCTTCCCGTAACAACTAGGCAGAAGCATTCTCAGAAACTTCTTTGAGATGTGTGGACTCAACTAAGAGAATTGAACCACCGTTTTGAAGGAGCAGTTTTGAAACCCTCTTTTTCTGGAATCTGCAAGAGTATATTTGCCTAGCCTTGAGGATTTCGTTGGAAACGGGATTGTCTTCAGATAAAATCTAGACAGAAGCATTCTCAGAAACTTCTTTGGGATGTTTGCATTCAAGTCACAGAGTAGAACATTCCCTTTGGTAGAGCAGGTTTGAAACACTCTTTTTTTAGTATATGGAAGTGGACATTTGGAGCGCTTTCAGGCCTACGTTGGAAAAGGAAATATCTTCCCATAACAACTAGACAGAAGCATTCTCAGAAACTAGTTTCTGATGTGTGTCCTCAACTAACACAGTTGAACATTTCTTTAGACAGAACAGTTTTGAAACTCTCTTTTTGTGGAATCTGCAAGTGGCTATTTGGCTAGATTTGAGGATTTCGTTGGAAACGGGATTACATATAAAAAGCAGACAGCAGCATTCTCAGAAAGTTCTTTGTGATGATTGCATTCAAGTCACAGAATTGAACATTCCCTTTCACAGAGCAGGTTTGAAACACTCTTTTTGTAGTGTGTGTAAGTGGACATTTGGAGCACTTACCGGCCTAAGGTGAAAAAGGAAATATCTTCCCATAAAAACTAGACAGAAGCATTCTCAGAAACTTACTCGTGATGTGTGTCCTCAACTAAAGGAGTAGAACCTTTCTTTTCATAGAGAAGTTTTGAAACGCTCTTTTTGTGGAATCTGCAAGTGGATATTTGGCTAGTTTGGAGGATTTCGTTGGAAGCGGGAATTCATACAAATTGCAGACTGCAGCGTTCTGAGAAACATCTTTGTGATGTTTGTATTCAGGACACTGAGTTGAACATTCCCTATCATAGAGCAGGTTTGAGTCACTCCTTTTGTAGTATCTGGAAGTGGACATTTGGAGCGCTTTCAGGCCTATGTTGGAAAAGGAAATATCTTCCCATAACAACTAGACAGAAGCATTCTCAGAAACTTATTTGAGATGTGTGTACTCAACTAAGAGAATTGAACCACCGTTTTGAAGGAGCAGTTTTGAAACACTCTTTTTCTGGAATCTGCAAGTGGATATTTGGCTAGCTTTGGGGATTTCGCTGGAAGCGGGAATACATATAAAAAGCACACAGCAGCGTTCTGAGAAACTGCTTTCTGATGTTTGCATTCAAGTCAAAAGTTGAACACTCCCTTTCATAGAGCAGTCCTGAAACACTCCTTTTGTAGTATCTGGAACTGGACTTTTGGAGCGCTTTCAGGGCTAAGGTGAAAAAGGAAATATCTTCCCATAAAAACTGGACAGAAGCATTCTCAGAAACTTGTTTATGCTGTATCTACTCAACTAACAAAGTTGAACCTTTCTTTTGATAGAGCAGTTTTGAAATGCTCTTTTTGTGGAATCTGCAAGTGGATATTTGGCTAGTTTTGAGGATTTCGTTGGAAGCGGGAATTCATACAAATTGCAGACTGCAGCGTTCTGAGAAACATCTTTGTGATGTTTGTATTCAGGACAGAGAGTTGAACATTCCCTATCATAGAGCAGGTTGGAATCACTCCTTTTGTAGTATCTGGAAGTGGACATTTGGAGCGCTTTCAGGACTATGTTGAAAAAGGAAATATCTTCCCATAACAACTAGACACAAGCATTCTCAGAAACTTGTTTGTGATGTGTGCCCTCTACTGACAGAGTTGAACCTTTCTTTTCATAGAGCAGTTTTGAAACACTCTTTTTGTAGAATCTGAAAGAGGATATTTGCATAGCTTTGAGGATTTCGTGGGAAACGGGATTGTCTTCAGGTAAAATCTAGACAGAAGCATTCTCAGAAACTTCTTTGGGATGTTTGCATTCAAGTCACAGAGCAGAACATTCCCTTTGGTAGAGCAGGTTTGAAACACTCTTTTTGTAGTATCTGGAAGTGGACATTTGGAGCGCTTTCAGGCCTATGTTGGAAAGGGAAATATCTTCCCGTAACAACTAGGCAGAAGCATTCTCAGAAACTTATTTGAGATGTGTGTACTCAACTAAGAGAATTGAACCACCGTTTTGAAGGAGCAGTTTTGAAACACTCTTTTTCTGGAATCTGCAAGAGGATATTTGCCTAGCCTTGAGGATTTCGTTGGAAACGGGATTGTCTTCAGATCAAATCTAGACAGAAGCATTCTCAGAAACTTCTTTGGGATGTTTGCATTCAAGTCACAGAGTAGAACATTCCCTTTGGTAGAGCAGGTTTGAAACACTCTTTTTTTAGTATATGGAAGTGGACATTTGGAGCGCTTTCAGGCCTACGTTGGAAAAGGAAATATCTTCCCATAACAACTAGACAGAAGCATTCTCAGAAACTAGTTTCTGATGTGTGTCCTCAACTAACACAGTTGAACATTTCTTTAGACAGAACAGTTTTGAAACTCTCTTTTTGTGGAATCTGCAAGTGGCTATTTGGCTAGATTTGAGGATTTCGTTGGAAACGGGATTACATATAAAAAGCAGACAGCAGCATTCTCAGAAAGTTCTTTGTGATGATTGCATTCAAGTCACAGAATTGAACATTCCCTTTCACAGAGCAGGCTTGAAACACTCTTTTTGTAGTGTGTGTAAGTGGACATTTGGAGCACTTTCCGGCCTAAGGTGAGAAAGGAAATATCTTCCCATAAAAACTAGACAGAAGCATTCTCAGAAACTTACTCGTGATGTGTGTCCTCAACTAAAGGAGTAGAACCTTTCTTTCATAGAGAAGTTTTGAAACGCTCTTTTTGTGGAATCTGCAAGTGGATATTTGGCTAGTTTGGAGGATTTCGTTGGAAGCGGGAATTCATACAAATTGCAGACTGCAGCGTTCTGAGAAACATCTTTGTGATGTTTGTATTCAGGACACAGAGTTGAACATTCCCTATCATAGAGCAGGTTGGAATCACTCCTTTTGTAGTATCTGGAAGTGGACATTTGGAGCGCTTTCAGGCCTATGTTGGAAAAGGAAATATCTTCCCATAACAACTAGACAGAAGCATTCTCAGAAACTTATTTGAGATGTGTGTACTCAACAAAGAGAATTGAACCACCGTTTTGAAGGAGCAGTTTTGAAACACTCTTTTTCTGGAATCTGCAAGTGGATATTTGGCTAGCTTTGGGGATTTCGCTGGAAGCGGGAATACATATAAAAAGCACACAGCAGCGTTCTGAGAAACTGCTTTCTGATGTTTGCATTCAAGTCAAAAGTTGAACACTCCCTTTCATAGAGCAGTCCTGAAACACTCCTTTTGTAGTATCTGGAACTGGACTTTTGGAGCGCTTTCAGGGCTAAGGTGAAAAAGGAAATATCTTCCCATAAAAACTGGACAGAAGCATTCTCAGAAACTTGTTTATGCTGTATCTACTCAACTAACAAAGTTGAACCTTTCTTTTGATAGAGCAGTTTTGAAATGCTCTTTTTGTGGAATCTGCAAGTGGATATTTGGCTAGTTTTGAGGATTTCGTTGGAAGCGGGAATTCATACAAATTGCAGACTGCAGCGTTCTGAGAAACATCTTTGTGATGTTTGTATTCAGGACACAGAGTTGGACATTCCCTATCATAGAGCAGGTTGGAATCACTCCTTTTGTAGTATCTGTAAGTGGACATTTGGAGCACTTTCAGGCCTATGTTGAAAAAGGAAATATCTTCCCATAACAACTAGACACAAGCATTCTCAGAAACTTGTTTGTGATGTGTGCCCTCTACTGACAGAGTTGAACCTTTCTTTTCATAGAGCAGTTTTGAAACACTGTTTTTGTAGAATCTGCAAGAGGATATTTGCATAGATTTGAGGATTTCGTGGGAAACGGGATTGTCTTCAGGTAAAATCTAGACAGAAGCATTCTCAGAAACTTCTTTGGGATGTTTGCATTCAAGTCACAGAGTAGAACTTTCCCTTTGGTAGAGCAGGTTTGAAACACTCTTTTTGTAGTATCTGGAAGTGGACATTTGGAGCGCTTTCAGGCCTATGTTGGAAAGGGAAATATCTTCCCTTAACAACTAGGCAGAAGCATTCTCAGAAACTTATTTGAGATGTGTGTACTCAACTAAGAGAATTGAACCACCGTTTTGAAGGACCAGTTTTGAAACACTCTTTTTCTGGAATCTGCTAGAGTATATTTGCCTAGCTTTGAGGATTTCATTGGAAACGGGATTGTCTTCAGCTAAAATCTAGACAGAAGCATTCTCAGAAACTTCTTTGGGATGTTTCTATTCAAGTCACAGAGTAGAACATTCCCTTTGGTAGAGCAGGTTTGAAACACTCTTTTTGTAGTATCTGGAAGTGGACATTTGGAGCGCTTTCAGGCCTATGTTGGAAAGGGGAATATCTTCCCGTAACAACTAGGCAGAAGCATTCTCAGAAACTTATTTGAGATGTGTGTACTCAACTAAGAGAATTGAACCACCGTTTTGAAGGAGCAGTTTTGAAACACTCTTTTTCTGGAATCTGCAAGAGTATATTTGCCTAGCCTTGAGGATTTCGTTGGAAACGGGATTGTCTTCAGATCAAATCTAGACAGAAGCATTCTCAGAAACTTCTTTGGGATGTTTGCATTCAAGTCACAGAGTAGAACATTCCCTTTGGTAGAGCAGGTTTGAAACACTCTTTTTTTAGTATATGGAAGTGGACATTTGGAGCGCTTTCAGGCCTACGTTGGAAAAGGAAATATCTTCCCATAACAACTAGACAGAAGCATTCTCAGAAACTAGTTTCTGATGTGTGTCCTCAACTAACACAGTTGAACATTTCTTTAGACAGAACAGTTTTGAAACACTCTTTTTGTGGAATCTGCAAGTGGCTATTTGGCTAGATTTGAGGATTTCGTTGGAAACGGGATTACATATAAAAAGCAGTCAGCAGCATTCTCAGAAAGTTCTTTGTCATGATTGCATTCAAGTCACAGAATTGAACATTCCCTTTCACAGAGCAGGTTTGAAACACTCTTTTTGTAGTGTGTGTAAGTGGACATTTGGAGCACTTACCGGCCTAAGGTGAAAAAGGAAATATCTTCCCATAAAAACTAGACAGAAGCATTCTCAGAAACTTACTCGTGATGTGTGTCCTCAACTAAAGGAGTAGAACCTTTCTATTCATAGAGAAGTTTTGAAACGCTCTTTTTGTGGAATCTGCAAGTGGATATTTGGCTAGTTTTGAGGATTTCGTTGGAAGCGGGAATTCATACAAATTGCAGACTGCAGCGTTATGAGAAACATCTTTGTGATGTTTGTATTCAGGACACATAGATGAACATTCCCTATCATAGAGCAGGTTGGAATCACTCCTTTTGTAGTATCTGGAAGTGGACATTTGGAGCGCTTTCAGGCCTATGTTGAAAAAGGAAATATCTTCCCATAACAACTAGACACAAGCATTCTCAGAAACTTGTTTGTGATGTGTACCCTGTACTGACAGAGTTGAACCTTTCTTTTCATAGAGCAGTTTTGAAACACTCTTTTTGTAGAATCTGCAAGAGGATATTTGCATAGCTTTGAGGATTTCGTGGGAAACGGGATTGTCTTCAGGTAAAATCTAGACAGAAGCATTCTCAGAAACTTCTTTGGGATGTTTGCATTCAAGTCACAGAGTAGAACATTCCCTTTGGTAGAGCAGGTTTGAAACACTCTTTTTGTAGTATCTGGAAGTGGACATTTGGAGCGCTTTCAGGCCCATGTTGGAAAGGGAAATATCTTCCCGTATCAACTAGGCAGAAGCATTCTCTGAAACTTATTTGAGATGTGTGTACTCAACTAAGAGAATTGAACCACCGTTTTGAAGGAGCAGTTTTGAAACACTCTTTTTCTGGAATCTGCAAGAGGATATTTGCCTAGCCTTGAGGATTTCGTTGGAAACGGGATTGTCTTCAGATCAAATCTAGACAGAAGCATTCTCAGAAACTTCTTTGGGATGTTTGCATTCAAGTCACAGAGTAGAACATTCCCTTTGGTAGAGCAGGTTTGAAACACTCTTTTTTTAGTATATGGAAGTGGACATTTGGAGCGCTTTCAGGCCTACGTTGGAAAAGGAAATATCTTCCCATAACAACTAGACAGAAGCATTCTCAGAAACTAGTTTCTGATGTGTGTCCTCAACTAACACAGTTGAACATTTCTTTAGACAGAACAGTTTTGAAACACTCTTTTTGTGGAATCTGCAAGTGGCTATTTGGCTAGATTTGAGGATTTCGTTGGAAACGGGATTACATATAAAAAGCAGACAGCAGCATTCTCAGAAAGTTCTTTGTGATGATTGCATTCAAGTCACAGAATTGAACATTCCCTTTCACAGAGCAGGTTTGAAACACTCTTTTTGCAGTGTGTGTAAGTGGACATTTGGAGCACTTTCCTGCCTAAGGTGAAAAAGGAAATATCTTCCCATAAAAACTAGACAGAAGCATTCTCAGAAACTTACTCGTGATGTGTGTCCTCAACTAAAGGAGTAGAACCTTTCTTTTCATAGAGAAGTTTTGAAACGCTCTTTTTGTGGAATCTGCAAGTGGATATTTGGCTAGTTTTGAGGATTTCGTTGGAAGCGGGAATTCATACAAATTGCAGACTGCAGCGTTCTGAGAAACATCTTTCTGATGTTTGTATTCAGGACAGAGAGTTGAACATTCCCTATCATAGAGCAGGTTGGAATCACTCCTTTTGTAGTATCTGGAAGTGGATATTTGGAGCGCTTTCAGGCCTATGTTGAAAAAGGAAATATCTTCCCATAACAACTAGACACAAGCATTCTCAGAAACTTATTTGAGATGTGTGTACTCAACTAAGAGAATTGAACCACCGTTTTGAAGGAGCAGTTTTGAAACACTCTTTTTCTGGAATCTGCAAGTGGATATTTGGCTAGCTTTGGGGATTTCGCTGGAAGCGGGAATACATATAAAAAGCACACAGCAGCGTTCTGAGAAACTGCTTTCTGATGTTTGCATTCAAGTCAAAAGTTGAACACTCCCTTTCATAGAGCAGTCCTGAAACACTCCTTTTGTAGTATCTGGAACTGGACTTTTGGAGCGCTTTCAGGGCTAAGGTGAAAAAGGAAATATCTTCCCATAAAAACTGGACAGAAGCATTCTCAGAAACTTGTTTATGCTGTATCTACTCAACTAACAAAGTTGAACCTTTCTTTTGATAGAGCAGTTTTGAAATGCTCTTTTTGTGGAATCTGCAAGTGGATATTTGGCTAGTTTTGAGGATTTCGCTGGAAGCGGGAATTCATACAAATTGCAGACTGCAGCGTTCTGAGAAACATCTTTGTGATGTTTGTATTCAGGACAGAGAGTTGAACATTCCCTATCATAGAGCAGGTTGGAATCACTCCTTTTGTAGTATCTGGAAGTGGACATTTGGAGCGCTTTCAGGCCTATGTTGAAAAAGGAAATATCTTCCCATAACAACTAGACACAAGCATTCTCAGAAACTTGTTTGTGATGTGTGCCCTCTACTGACAGAGTTGAACCTTTCTTTTCATAGAGCAGTTTTGAAACACTCTTTTTGTAGAATCTGCAAGAGGATATTTGCATAGCTTTGAGGATTTCGTGGGAAACGGGATTGTCTTCAGGTAAAATCTAGACAGAAGCATTCTCAGAAACTTCTTTGGGATGTTTGCATTCAAGTCACAGAGTAGAACATTCCCTTTGGTAGAGCAGGTTTGAAACACTCTTTTTGTAGTATCTGGAAGTGGACATTTGGAGCGCTTTCAGGCCCATGTTGGAAAGGGAAATATCTTCCCGTAACAACTAGGCAGAAGCATTCTCAGAAACTTATTTGAGATGTGTGTACTCAACGAAGAGAATTGAACCACCGTTTTGAAGGAGCAGTTTTGAAACACTCTTTTTCTGGAATCTGCAAGAGTATATTTGCCTAGCTTTGAGGATTTCGTTGGAAACGGGATTGTCTTCAGATAAAATCTAGACAGAAGCATTCTCAGAAACTTCTTTGGGATGTTTGCATTCAAGTCACAGAGTAGAACATTCCCTTTGGTAGAGCAGGTTTGAAACACTCTTTTTTTAGTATATGGAAGTGGACATTTGGAGCGCTTTCAGGCCTACGTTGGAAAAGGAAATATCTTCCCATAACAACTAGACAGAAGCATTCTCAGAAACTAGTTTCTGATGTGTGTCCTCAACTAACACAGTTGAACATTTCTTTAGACAGAACAGTTTTGAAACACTCTTTTTGTGGAATCTGCAAGTGGCTATTTGGCTAGATTTGAGGATTTCGTTGGAAACGGGATTACATATAAAAAGCAGTCAGCAGCATTCTCAGAAAGTTCTTTGTGATGATTGCATTCAAGTCACAGAATTGAACATTCCCTTTCACAGAGCAGGTTTGAAACACTCTTTTTGTAGTGTGTGTAAGTGGACATTTGGAGCACTTACCGGCCTAAGGTGAAAAAGGAAATATCTTCCCATAAAAACTAGACAGAAGCATTCTCAGAAACTTACTCGTGATGTGTGTCCTCAACTAAAGGAGTAGAACCTTTCTTTTCATAGAGAAGTTTTGAAACGCTCTTTTTGTGGAATCTGCAAGTGGATATTTGGCTAGTTTTGAGGATTTCGTTGGAAGCGGGAATTCATACAAATTGCAGACTGCAGCGTTCTGAGAAACATCTTTGTGATGTTTGTATTCAGGACACAGAGTTGAACATTCCCTATCATAGAGCAGGTTGGAATCACTCCTTTTGTAGTATCTGGAAGTGGACATTTGGAGCGCTTTCAGGCCTATGTTGGAAAAGGAAATATCTTCCCATAACAACTAGACAGAAGCATTCTCAGAAACTTATTTGAGATGTGTGTACTCAACTAAGAGAATTGAACCACCGTTTTGAAGGAGCAGTTTTGAAACTCTCTTTTTCTGGAATCTGCAAGTGGATATTTGGCTAGCTTTGGGGATTTCGCTGGAAGCGGGAATACATATAAAAAGCACACAGCAGCGTTCTGAGAAACTGCTTTCTGATGTTTGCATTCAAGTCAAAAGTTGAACACTCCCTTTCATAGAGCAGTCTTGAAACACCCCTTTTGTAGTATCTGGAACTGGACTTTTGGAGCGATTTCAGGGCTAAGGTGAAAAAGGAAATATCTTCCCATAAAAACTGGACAGAAGCATTCTCAGAAACTTGGTTATGCTGTATCTACTCAACTAACAAAGTTGAACCTTTCTTTTGATAGAGCAGTTTTGAAATGGTCTTTTTGTGGAATCTGCAAGTGGATATTTGGCTAGTTTTGAGGATTTCGTTGGAAGCGGGAATTCATACAAATTGCAGACTGCAGCGTTCTGAGAAACATCTTTGTGATGTTTGTATTCAGGACACAGAGTTGAACATTCCCTATCATAGAGCAGGTTGGAATCACTCCTTTTGTAGTATCTGGAAGTGGACATTTGGAGCGCTTTCAGGCCTATTTTGGAAAGGGAAATATCTTCCCGTAACAACTATGCAGAAGCATTCTCAGAAACTTGTTTGTGATGTGTGCCCTCTACTGACAGAGTTGAACCTTTCTTTTCATAGAGCAGTTTTGAAACACTCTTTTTGTAGAATCTGCAAGAGGATATTTGCATAGCTTTGAGGATTTCGTGGGAAACGGGATTGTCTTCAGGTAAAATCTAGACAGAAGCATTCTCAGAAACTTCTTTGGGATGTTTGCATTCAAGTCACAGAGTAGAACATTCCCTTTGGTAGAGCAGGTTTGAAACACTCTTTTTGTAGTATCTGGAAGTGGACATTTGGAGCGCTTTCAGGCCTATGTTGGAAAGGGAAATATCTTCCCGTAACAACTAGGCAGAAGCATTCTCAGAAACTTATTTGAGATGTGTGTACTCAACTAAGAGAATTGAACCACCGTTTTGAAGGAGCAGTTTTGAAACACTCTTTTTCTGGAATCTGCAAGAGGATATTTGCCTAGCTTTGAGGATTTCGTTGGAAACGGGATTGTGTTCAGATCAAATCTAGACAGAAGCATTCTCAGAAACTTCTTTGGGATGTTTGCATTCAAGTCACAGAGTAGAACATTCCCTTTGGTAGAGCAGGTGTGAAACACTCTTTTTTTAGTATATGGAAGTGGACATTTGGAGCGCTTTCAGGCCTACTTTGGAAAACGAAATATCTTCCCATAACAACTAGACAGAAGCATTCTCAGAAACTAGTTTCTGATGTGTGTCCTCAACTAACACAGTTGAACATTTCTTTAGACAGAACAGTTTTGAAACTCTCTTTTTGTGGAATCTGCAAGTGGCTATTTGGCTAGATTTGAGGATTTCGTTGGAAACGGGATTACATATAAAAAGCAGACAGCAGCATTCTCAGAAAGTTCTTTGTGATGATTGCATTCAAGTCACAGAATTGAACATTCCCTTTCACAGAGCAGGTTTGAAACACTCTATTTGTAGTGTGTGTAAGTGGACATTTGGAGCACTTTCCGGCCTAAGGTGAAAAAGGAAATATCTTCTCATAAAAACTAGACAGAAGCATTCTCAGAAACTTACTCGTGATGTGTGTCCTCAACTAAAGGAGTAGAACCTTTGTTTTCATAGAGAAGTTTTGAAACGCTCTTTTTGTGGAATCTGCAAGTGGATATTTGGCTAGTTTTGAGGATTTCGTTGGAAGCGGGAATTCATACAAATTGCAGACTGCAGCGTTCTGAGAAACATCTTTGTGATGTTTGTATTCAGGACACAGAGTTGAACATTCCCTATCATAGAGCAGGTTGGAATCACTCCTTTTGTAGTATCCGGAAGTGGACATTTGGAGCGCTTTCAGGCCTATGTTGGAAAAGGAAATATCTTCCCATAACAACTAGACAGAAGCATTCTCAGAAACTTATTTGAGATGTGTGTACTCAACTAAGAGAATTGAACCACCGTTTTGAAGGAGCAGTTTTGAAACACTCTTTTTCTGGAATCTGCAAGTGGATATTTGGCTAGCTTTGGGGATTTCGCTGGAAGCGGGAATACATATAAAAAGCACACAGCAGCGTTCTGAGAAACTGCTTTCTGATGTTTGCATTCAAGTCAAAAGTTGAACACTCCCTTTCATAGAGCAGTCTTGAAACACCCCTTTTGTAGTATCTGGAACTGGACTTTTGGAGCGATTTCAGGGCTAAGGTGAAAAAGGAAATATCTTCCCATAAAAACTGGACAGAAGCATTCTCAGAAACTTGTTTATGCTGTATCTACTCAACTAACAAAGTTGAACCTTTCTTTTGATAGAGCAGTTTTGAAATGGTCTTTTTGTGGAATCTGCAAGTGGATATTTGGCTAGTTTTGACGATTTCGTTGGAAGCGGGAATTCATACAAATTGCAGACTGCAGCGTTATGAGAAACATCTTTGTGATGTTTGTATTCAGGACACAGAGTTGAACATTCCCTATCATAGAGCAGGTTGGAATCACTCCTTTTGTAGTATCTGGAAGTGGACATTTGGAGCGCTTTCAGGCCTATGTTGAAAAAGGAAATATCTTCCCATAACAACTAGACACAAGCATTCTCAGAAACTTGTTTGTGATGTGTGCCCTCTACTGACAGAGTTGAACCTTTCTTTTCATAGAGCAGTTTTGAAACACTCTTTTTGTAGAATCTGCAAGAGGATATTTGCATAGCTTTGAGGATTTCGTGGGAAACGGGATTGTCTTCAGGTAAAATCTAGACAGAAGCATTCTCAGAAACTTCTTTGGGATGTTTACATTCAAGTCACAGAGTAGAACATTCCCTTTGGTAGAGCAGGTTTGAAACCCTCTTTTTGTAGTATCTGGAAGTGGACATTTGGAGCGCTTTCTGGCCCATGTTGCAAAGGGAAATATCTTCCCGTAACAACTAGGCAGAAGCATTCTCAGAAACTTATTTGAGATGTGTGTACTCAACTAAGAGAATTGAACCACCGTTTTGAAGGAGCAGTTTTGAAACACTCTTTTTCTGGAATCTGCAAGAGGATATTTGCCTAGCCTTGAGGATTTCGTTGGAAACGGGATTGTCTTCAGATCAAATCTAGACAGAAGCATTCTCAGAAACTTCTTTGGGATGTTTGCATTCAAGTCACAGAGTAGAACATTCCCTTTGGTAGAGCAGGTTTGAAACACTCTTTTTTTAGTATATGGAAGTGGACATTTGGAGCGCTTTCAGGCCTACGTTGGAAAAGGAAATATCTTCCCATAACAACTAGACAGAATCATTCTCAGAAACTGGTTTCTGATGTGTGTCCTCAACTAACACAGTTGAACATTTCTTTAGACAGAACAGTTTTGAAACACTCTTTTTGTGGAATCTGCAAGTGGCTATTTGGCTAGATTTGAGGATTTCGTTGGAAACGGGATTACATATAAAAAGCAGACAGCAGCATTCTCAGAAAGTTCTTTGTGATGATTGCATTCAAGTCACAGAATTGAACATTCCCTTTCACAGAGCAGGTTTGAAACACTCTTTTTATAGTGTGTGTAAGTGGACATTTGGAGCACTTTCCGGCCTAAGGTGAAAAAGGAAATATCTTCCCATAAAAACTAGACAGAAGCATTCTCAGAAACTTACTCGTGATGTGTGTCCTCAACTAAAGGAGTAGAACCTTTGTTTTCATAGAGAAGTTTTGAAACGCTCTTTTTGTGGAATCTGCAAGTGGATATTTGGCTAGTTTGGAGGATTTCGTTGGAAGCGGGAATTCATACAAATTGCAGACTGCAGCGTTCTGAGAAACATCTTTGTGATGTTTGTATTCAGGACACAGAGTTGAACATTCCCTATCATAGAGCAGGTTGGAATCACTCCTTTTGTGGTATCTGGAAGTGGACATTTGGAGCGCTTTCAGGCCTATGTTGGAAAAGGAAATATCTTCCCATAACAACTAGACAGAAGCATTCTCAGAAACTTATTTGAGATGTGTGTACTCAACTAAGAGAATTGAACCACCGTTTTGAAGGAGCAGTTTTGAAACACTCTTTTTCTGGAATCTGCAAGTGGATATTTGGCTAGCTTTGGGGATTTCGCTGGAAGCGGGAATACATATAAAAAGCACACAGCAGCGTTCTGAGAAACTGCTTTCTGATGTTTGCATTCAAGTCAAAAGTTGAACACTCCCTTTCATAGAGCAGTCCTGAAACACTCCTTTTGTAGTATCTGGAACTGGACTTTTGGAGCGCTTTCAGGGCTAAGGTGAAAAAGGAAATATCTTCCCATAAAAACTGGACAGAAGCATTCTCAGAAACTTGTTTATGCTGTATCTACTCAACTAACATAGTTGAACCTTTCTTTTGATAGAGCAGTTTTGAAATGCTCTTTTTGTGGAATCTGCAAGTGGATATTTGGCTAGTTTTGAGGATTTCGTTGGAAGCGGGAATTCATACAAATTGCAGACTGCAGCGTTCTGAGAAACATCTTTGTGATGTTTGTATTCAGGACACAGAGGTGAACATTCCCTATCATAGAGCAGGTTGGAATCACTCCTTTTGTAGTATCTGGAAGTGGACATTTGGAGCGCTTTCAGGCCTATGTTGAAAAAGGAAATATCTTCCCATAACAACTAGACACAAGCATTCTCAGAAACTTGTTTGTGATGTGTGCCCTCTACTGACAGAGTTGAACCTTTCTTTTCATAGAGCAGTTTTGAAACACTCTTTTTGTAGAATCTGCAAGAGGATATTTGCATAGCTTTGAGGATTTCGTGGGAAACGGGATTGTCTTCAGGTAAAATCTAGACAGAAGCATTCTCAGAAACTTCTTTGGGATGTTTGCATTCAAGTCACAGAGTAGAACATTCCCTTTGGTAGAGCAGGTTTGAAACACTCTTTTTGTAGTATCTGGAAGTGGACATTTGGAGCGCTTTCAGGCCTATGTTGGAAAGGGAAATATCTTCCCGTAACAACTAGGCAGAAGCATTCTCAGGAAACTTATTTGAGATGTGTGTACTCAACTAAGAGAATTGAACCACCGTTTTGAAGGAGCAGTTTTGAAACACTCTTTTTCTGGAATCTGCAAGAGGATATTTGCCTAGCCTTGAGGATTTCGTAGGAAACGGGATTGTCTTCAGATCAAATCTAGACAGAAGCATTCTCAGAAACTTCTTTGGGATGTTTGCATTCAAGTCACAGAGTAGAACATTCCCTTTGGTAGAGCAGGTTTGAAACACTCTTTTTTTAGTATATGGAAGTGGACATTTGGAGCGCTTTCAGGCCTACGTTGGAAAAGGAAATATCTTCCCATAACAACTAGACAGAAGCATTCTCAGAAACTAGTTTCTGATGTGTGTCCTCAACTAACACAGTTGAACATTTCTTTAGACAGAACAGTTTTGAAACACTCTTTTTGTGGAATCTGCAAGTGGCTATTTGGCTAGATTTGAGGATTTCGTTGGAAACGGGATTACATATAAAAAGCACTCAGCAGCATTCTCAGAAAGTTCTTTGTGATGATTGCATTCAAGTCACAGAATTGAACATTCCCTTTCACAGAACAGGTTTGAAACACTCTTTTTGTAGTGTGTGTAAGTGGACATTTGGAGCACTTACCGGCCTAAGGTGAAAAAGGAAGTATCTTCCCATAAAAACTAGACAGAAGCATTCTCAGAAACTTACTCGTGATGTGTGTCCTCAACTAAAGTAGTAGAACCTTTCTTTTCATAGAGAAGTTTTGAAACGCTCTTTTTGTGGAATCTGCAAGTGGATATTTGGCTAGTTTTGAGGATTTCGTTGGAAGCGGGAATTCATACAAATTGCAGACTGCAGCGTTCTGAGAAACATCTTTGTGATGTTTGTATTCAGGACACAGAGTTGAACATTCCCTATCATAGAGCAGGTTTGAATCACTCCTTTTGTAGTATCTGGAAGTGGACATTTGGAGCGCTTTCAGGCCTATGTTGGAAAAGGAAATATCTTCCCATAACAACTAGACAGAAGCATTCTCAGAAACTTATTTGAGATGTGTCTACTCAACTAAGAGAATTGAACCACCGTTTTGAAGGAGCAGTTTTGAAACACTCTTTTTCTGGAATCTGCAAGTGGATATTTGGCTAGCTTTGGGGATTTCGCTGGAAGCGGGAATACATATAAAAAGCACACAGCAGCGTTCTGAGAAACTGCTTTCTGATGTTTGCATTCAAGTCAAAAGTTGAACACTCCCTTTCATAGAGCAGTCCTGAAACACTCCTTTTGTAGTATCTGGAACTGGACTTTTGGAGCGCTTTCAGGGCTAAGGTGAAAAAGGAAATATCTTCCCATAAAAACTGGACAGAAGCATTCTCAGAAACTTGTTTATGCTGTATCTACTCTACTAACAAAGTTGAACCTTTCTTTTGACAGAGCAGTTTTGAAATGCTCTTTTTGTGGAATCTGCAAGTGGATATTTGGCTAGATTTGAGGATTTCGTTGGAAGCTGGAATTCATACAAATTGCAGACTGCAGCGTTCTGAGAAACATCTTTGTGATGTTTGTATTCAGGACACAGAGTTGAATATTCCCTATCATAGAGCAGGTTGGAATCACTCCTTTTGTAGTATCTGGAAGTGGACATTTGGAGCGCTTTCAGGCCTACGTTGAAAAAGGAAATATCTTCCCATAACAACTAGACACAAGCATTCTCAGAAACTTGTTTGTGATGTGTGCCCTCTACTGACAGAGTTGAACCTTTCTTTTCATAGAGCAGTTTTGAAACACTCTTTTTGTAGAATCTGCAAGAGGATATTTGCATAGCTTTGAGGATTTCGTGGGAAACGGGATTGTCTTCAGGTAAAATCTAGACAGAAGCATTCTCAGAAACTTCTTTGGGATGTTTGCATTCAAGTCACAGAGTAGAACATTCCCTTTGGTAGAGCAGGTTTGAAACACTCTTTTTGTAGTATCTGGAAGTGGACATTTGGAGCGCTTTCAGGCCTATGTTGGAAAGGGAAATATCTTCCCGTAACAACTAGGCAGAAGCATTCTCAGAAACTTATTTGAGATGTGTGTACTCAACTAAGAGAATTGAACCACCGTTTTGAAGGAGCAGTTTTGAAACACTCTTTTTCTGGAATCTGCAAGAGGATATTTGCCTAGCCTTGAGGATTTCGTTGGAAACGGGATTGTCTTCAGATCAAATCTAGACAGAAGCATTCTCAGAAACTTCTTTGGGATGTTTGCATTCAAGTCACAGAGTACAACATTCCCTTTGGTAGAGCAGGTTTGAAACACTCTTTTTTTAGTATATGGAAGTGGACATTTGGAGCGCTTTCAGGCCTACGTTGGAAAAGGAAATATCTTCCCATAACAACTAGACAGAAGCATTCTCAGAAACTAGTTTCTGATGTGTGTCCTCAACTAACACAGTTGAACATTTCTTTAGACAGAACAGTTTTGAAACACTCTTTTTGTGGAATCTGCAAGTGGATATTTGGCTAGATTTGAGGATTTCGTTGGAAACGGGATTACATATAAAAAGCAGACAGCAGCATTCTCAGAAACTTCTTTGTGATGATTGCATTCAAGTCACAGAATTGAACATTCCCTTTCACAGAGCAGGTTTGAAACACTCTTTTTGTAGTGTGTGTAAGTGGACATTTGGAGCGCTTTCCGGCCTAAGGTGAACAAGTAAATATCTTCCCATAAAAACTAGACAGAAGCATTCTCAGAAACTTACTCGTGATGTGTGTCCTCAACTAAAGGAGTAGAACCTTTCTTTTCATAGAGAAGTTTTGAAACGCTCTTTTTGTGGAATCTGCAAGTGGATATTTGGCTAGTTTGGAGGATTTCGTTGGAAGCGGGAATTCATACAAGATGCAGACTGCAGCGTTCTGAGAAACATCTTTGTGATGTTTGTATTCAGGACACAGAGTTGAACATTCCCTATCATAGAGCAGGTTTGAATCACTCCTTTTGTAGTATCTGGAAGTGGACATTTGGAGCGCTTTCAGGCCTATGTTGGAAAAGGAAATATCTTCCCATAACAACTAGACAGAAGCATTCCCAAAAACTTATTTGAGATGTGTGTACTCAACTATGAGAATTGAACCACCGTTTTGAAGGAGCAGTTTGGAAACACTCTTTTTCTGGAATCTGCAAGTGGATATTTGGCTAGCTTTGGGGATTTCGCTGGAAGCGGGAATACATATAAAAAGCACACAGCAGCGTTCTGAGAAACTGCTTTCTGATGTTTGCATTCAAGTCAAAAGTTGAACACTCCCTTTCATAGAGCAGTCTTGAAACACCCCTTTTGTAGTATCTGGAACTGGACATTTGGAGCGCCTTCAGGGCTAAGGTGAAAAAGGAAATATCTTCCCATAAAAACTGGACAGAAGCATTCTCAGAAACTTGTTTATGCTGTATCTACTCAACTAACAAAGTTGAACCTTTCTTTTGATAGAGCAGTTTTGAAATGGTCTTTTTGTGGAATCTGCAAGTGGATATTTGGCTAGTTTTGAGGATTTCGTTGGAAGCGGGAATTCATACAAATTGCAGACTGCAGCGTTCTGAGAAACATCTTTGTGATGTTTGTATTCAGGACACAGAGTTGAACATTCCCTATCATAGAGCAGGTTGGGATCACTCCTTTTGTAGTATCCGGAAGTGGACATTTGGAGCGCTTTCAGGCCTATGTTGAAAAAGGAAAAATCTTCCCATAACAACTAGACAGAAGAATTCTCAGAAACTTGTTTGTGATGTGTGCCCTCTACTGACAGAGTTGAACCTTTCTTTTCATAGAGCAGTTTTGAAACACTCTTTTTGTAGGATCTGCAAGAGGATATTTGCATAGCTTTGAGGGTTTCGTGGGAAACGGGATTGTCTTCAGGTAAAATCTAGACAGAAGCATTCTCAGAAACTTCTTTGGGATGTTTGCATTCAAGTCACAGAGTAGAACATTCCCTTTGGTAGAGCAGGTTTGAAACACTCTTTTTGTAGTATCTGGAAGTGGACATTTGGAGCGCTTTCAGGCCTATGTTGGAAAGGGAAATATCTTCCCGTAACAACTAGGCAGAAGCATTCTCAGAAACATATTTGAGATGTGTGTACTCAACTAAGAGAATTGAACCACCGTTTTGAAGGAGCAGTTTTGAAACACTCTTTTTCTGGAATCTGCAAGAGTATATTTGCCTAGCCTTGAGAATTTCGTTGGAAACGGGATTGTCTTCAGATAAAATCTAGACAGAAGCATTCTCAGAAACTTCTTTGGGATGTTTGCATTCAAGTCACAGAGTAGAACATTCCCTTTGGTAGAGCAGGTTTGAAACACTCTTTTTTTAGTATATGGAAGTGGACATTTGGAGCGCTTTCAGGCCTACGTTGGAAAAGGAAATATCTTCCCATAACAACTAGACAGAAGCATTCTCAGAAACTAGTTTCTGATGTGTGTCCTCAACTAACACAGTTGAACTTTTCTTTAGACAGAACAGTTTTGAAACACTCTTTTTGTGGAATCTGCAAGTGGATATTTGGCTAGATTTGAGGATTTCGTTGGAAACGGGATTACATATAAAAAGCAGACAGCAGCATTCTCAGAAAGTTCTTTGTGATGATTGCATTCAAGTCACAGAATTGAACATTCCCTTTCACAGAGCAGGTTTGAAACACTCTTTTTGTAGTGTGTGTAAGTGGACATTTGGAGCGCTTTCCGGCCTAAGGTGAAAAAGGAAATATCTTCCCATAAAAACTAAACAGAAGCATTCTCAGAAACTTACTCGTGATGTGTGTCCTCAACTAAAGGAGTAGAACCTTTCTTTCGCAGAGAAGTTTTGAAACGCTCTTTTTGTGGAATCTGCAAGTGGATATTTGGCTAGTTTGGAGGATTTCGTTGGAAGCGGGAATTCATACAAATTGCAGACTGCAGCGTTCTGAGAAACATCTTTGTGATGTTTGTATTCAGGACACAGAGTTGAACATTCCCTATCATAGAGCAGGTTGGAATCACTCCTTTTGTATTATCTGGAAGTGGACATTTGGAGCGCTTTCAGGCCTACGTTGGAAAAGGAAATATCTTCCCATAACAACTAGACAGAAGCATTCTCAGAAACTAGTTTCTGATGTGTGTCCTCAACTAACACAGTTGAACATTTCTTTAGACAGAACAGTTTTGAAACACTCTTTTTGTGGAATCTGCAAGTGGCTATTTGGCTAGATTTGAGGATTTCGTTGGAAACGGGATTACATATAAAAAGCAGACAGCAGCATTCTCAGAAAGTTCTTTGTGATGATTGCATTCAAGTCACAGAATTGAACATTCCCTTTCACAGAGCAGGTTTGAAACACTCTTTTTGTAGTGTGTGTAAGTGGACATTTGGAGCACTTTCCGGCCTAAGGTGAAAAAGGAAATATCTTCCCATAAAAACTAGACAGAAGCATTCTCAGAAACTTACTCGTGATGTGTGTCCTCAACTAAAGGAGTAGAACCTTCCTTTTCATAGAGAAGTTTTGAAACGCTCTTTTTGTGGAATCTGCAAGTGGATATTTGGCTAGTTTTGAGGATTTCGTTGGAAGCGGGAATTCATACAAATTGCAGACTGCAGCGTTCTGAGAAACATCTTTGTGATGTTTGTATTCAGGACAGAGAGTTGAACATTCCCTATCATAGAGCAGGTTGGAATCACTCCTTTTGTAGTATCTGGAAGTGGACATTTGGAGCGCTTTCAGGCCTATGTTGAAAAAGGAAATATCTTCCCATAACAACTAGACACAAGCATTCTCAGAAACTTGTTTGTGATGTGTGCCCTCTACTGACAGAGTTGAACCTTTCTTTTCATAGAGCAGTTTTGAAACACTCTTTTATAGAATCCGCAAGAGGATATTTGCATAGCTTTGAGGATTTCGTGGGAAACGGGATTGTCTTCAGGTAAAATCTAGACAGAAGCATTCTCAGAAACTTCTTTGGGATGTTTGCATTCAAGTCACAGAGTAGAACATTCCCTTTGGTAGAGCAGGTTTGAAACACTCTTTTTGTAGTATCTGGAAGTGGACATTTGGAGCGCTTTCAGGCCTATGTTGGAAAGGGAAATATCTTCCCGTAACAACTAGGCAGAAGCATTCTCAGAAACTTATTTGAGATGTGTGTACTCAACTAAGAGAATTGAACCACCGTTTTGAAGGAGCAGTTTTGAAACCCTCTTTTTCTGGAATCTGCAAGAGTATATTTGCCTAGCCTTGAGGATTTCGTTGGAAACGGGATTGTCTTCAGATAAAATCTAGACAGAAGCATTCTCAGAAACTTCTTTGGGATGTTTGCATTCAAGTCACAGAGTAGAACATTCCCTTTGGTAGAGCAGGTTTGAAACACTCTTTTTTTAGTATATGGAAGTGGACATTTGGAGCGCTTTCAGGCCTACGTTGGAAAAGGAAATATCTTCCCATAACAACTAGACAGAAGCATTCTCAGAAACTAGTTTCTGATGTGTGTCCTCAACTAACACAGTTGTACATTTCTTTATACAGAACAGTTTTGAAACACTCTTTTTGTGGAATCTGCAAGTGGATATTGGGCTAGATTTGAGGATTTCGTTGGAAACGGGATTACATATAAAAAGCAGACAGCAGCATTCTCAGAAAGTTCTTTGTGATGATTGCATTCAAGTCACAGAATTGAACATTCCCTTTCACAGAGCAGGTTTGAAACACTCTTTTTGTAGTGTGTGTAATTGGACATTTGGAGCGCTTTCCGGCCTAAGGTGAAAAAGGAAATATCTTCCCATAAAAACTAGACAGAAGCATTCTCAGAAACTTACTCGTGATGTGTGTCCTCAACTAAAGGAGTAGAACCTTTCTATTCATAGAGAAGTTTTGAAACGCTCTTTTTGTGGAATCTCCAAGTGGATATTTGGCTAGTTTTGAGGATTTCGTTGGAAGCGGGAATTCATCCAAATTGCAGACTGCAGCGTTCTGAGAAACATCTTTGTGATGTTTGTATTCAGGACACAGAGATGAACATTCCCTATCATAGAGCAGGTTGGAATCACTCCTTTTGTAGTATCTGGAAGTGGACATTTGGAGCGCTTTCAGGCCTATGTTGAAAAAGGAAATATCTTCCCATAACAACTAGACACAAGCATTCTCAGAAACTTGTTTGTGATGTGTGCCCTCTACTGACAGAGTTGAACCTTTCTTTTCATAGAGCAGTTTTGAAACACTCTTTTTGTAGAATCTGCAAGAGGATATTTGCATAGCTTTGAGGATTTCGTGGGAAACGGGATTGTCTTCAGGTAAAATCTAGACAGAAGCATTCTCAGAAACTTCTTTGGGATGTTTGCATTCAAGTCACAGAGTAGAACATTCCCTTTGGTAGAGCAGGTTTGAAACACTCTTTTTGTAGTATCTGGAAGTGGACATTTGCAGCACTTTCAGGCCCATGTTGGAAAGGGAAATATCTTCCCGTAACAACTAGGCAGAAGCATTCTCTGAAACTTTTTTGAGATGTGTGTACTCAACTAAGAGAATTGAACCACCGTTTTGAAGGAGCAGTTTTGAAACACTCTTTTTCTGGAATCTGCTAGACGATATTTGCCTAGCCTTGAGGATTTCGTTGGAAACGGGATTGTCTTCAGATAAAATCTAGACAGAAGCATTCTCAGAAACTTCTTTGGGATGTTTGCATTCAAGTCACAGAGTAGAACATTCCCTTTGGTAGAGCAGGTTTGAAACACTCTTTTTTTAGTATATGGAAGTGGACATTTGGAGCGCTTTCAGGCCTACGTTGGAAAAGGAAATATCTTCCCATAACAACTAGACAGAAGCATTCTCAGAAACTAGTTTCTGATGTGTGTCCTCAACTAACACAGTTGAACATTTCTTTAGACAGAACAGTTTTGAAACAATCTCTTTGTGGAATCTGCAAGTGGCTATTTGGCTAGATTTGAGGATTTCGTTGGAAACGGGATTACATATAAAAAGCAGTCAGCAGCATTCTCAGAAAGTTCTTTGTGATGATTGCATTCAAGTCACAGAATTGAACATTCCCTTTCACAGAGCAGGTTTGAAACACTCTTTTTGTAGTGTGTGTAAGTGGACATTTGGAGCACTTACCGGCCTAAGGTGAAAAAGGAAATATCTTCCCATAAAAACTAGACAGAAGCATTCTCAGAAACTTACTCGTGATGTGTGTCCTCAACTAAAGGAGTAGAACCTTTCTTTTCATAGAGAAGTTTTGAAACGCTCTTTTTGTGGAATCTGCAAGTGGATATTTGGCTAGTTTTGAGGATTTCGTTGGAAGCGGGAATTCATACAAATTGCAGACTGCAGCGTTCTGAGAAACATCTTTGTGATGTTTGTATTCAGGACACAGAGTTGAACATTCCCTATCATAGAGCAGGTTTGAATCACTCCTTTTGTAGTATCTGGAAGTGGACATTTGGAGCGCTTTCAGGCCTATGTTGGAAAAGGAAATATCTTCCCATAACAACTAGACAGAAGCATTCTCAGAAACTTATTTGAGACGTGTCTACTCAACTAAGAGAATTGAACCACCGTTTTGAAGGAGCAGTTTTGAAACACTCTTTTTCTGGAATCTGCAAGTGGATATTTGGCTAGCTTTGGGGATTTCGCTGGAAGCGGGAATACATATAAAAAGCACACAGCAGCGTTCTGAGAAACTGCTTTCTGATGTTTGCATTCAAGTCAAAAGTTGAACACTCCCTTTCATAGAGCAGTCTTGAAACACCCCTTTTGTAGTATCTGGAACTGGACTTTTGGAGCGATTTTAGGGCTAAGGTGAAAAAGGAAATATCTTCCCATAAAAACTGGACAGAAGCATTCTCAGAAACTTGTTTATGCTGTATCTACTCAACTAACAAAGTTGAACCTTTCTTTTGATAGAGCAGTTTTGAAATGGTCTTTTTGTGGAATCTGCAAGTGGATATTTGGCTAGTTTTGACGATTTCGTTGGAAGCGGGAATTCATACAAATTGCAGACTGCAGCGTTCTGAGAAACATCTTTGTGATGTTTGTATTCAGGACACAGAGTTGAACATTCCCTATCATAGAGCAGGTTGGAATCACTCCTTTTGTAGTATCTGGAAGTGGACATTTGGAGCGCTTTCAGGCCTATGTTGAAAAAGGAAATATCTTCCCATAACAACTAGACACAAGCATTCTCAGAAACTTGTTTGTGATGTGTGCCCTCTACTGACAGAGTTGAACCTTTCTTTTCATAGAGCAGTTTTGAAACACTCTTTTTGTAGAATCTGCAAGAGGATATTTGCATAGCTTTGAGGATTTCGTGGGAAACGGGATTGTCTTCAGGTAAAATCTAGACAGAAGCATTCTCAGAAACTTCTTTGGGATGTTTGCATTCAAGTCACAGAGTAGAACATTCCCTTTGGTAGAGCAGGTTTGAAACACTCTTTTTGTAGTATCTGGAAGTGGACATTTGGAGCGCTTTCAGGCCTATGTTGGAAAGGGAAATATCTTCCCGTAACAACTAGGCAGAAGCATTCTCAGAAACTTATTTGAGATGTGTGTACTCAACTAAGAGAATTGAACCACCGTTTTGAAGGAGCAGTTTAGAAACACTCTTTTTCTGGAATCTGCAAGAGGATATTTGCCTAGACTTGAGGATTTCGTTGGAAACGGGATTGTCTTCAGATCAAATCTAGACAGAAGCATTCTCAGAAACTTCTTTGGGATGTTTGCATTCAAGTCACAGAGTAGAACATTCCCTTTGGTAGAGCAGGTTTGAAACACTCTTTTTTTAGTATATGGAAGTGGACATTTGGAGCGCTTTCAGGCCTACGTTGGAAAAGGAAATATCTTCCCATAACAACTAGACAGAAGCATTCTCAGAAACTAGTTTCTGATGTGTGTCCTCAACTAACACAGTTGAACATTTCTTTAGACAGAACAGTTTTGAAACACTCTTTTTGTGGAATCTGTAAGTGGCTATTTGGCTAGATTTGAGGATTTCGTTGGAAACGGGATTACATATAAAAAGCAGACAGCAGCATTCTCAGAAAGTTCTTTGTGATGATTGCATTCAAGTCACAGAATTGAACATTCCCTTTCACAGAGCAGGTTTGAAACACTCTTTTTGTAGTGTGTGTAAGTGGACATTTGGAGCACTTTCCGGCTTAAGGTGAAAAAGGAAATATCTTCCCATAAAAACTAGACAGAAGCACTCTCAGAAACTTACTCGTGATGTGTGTCCTCAACTAAAGGAGTAGAACCTTTCTTTTCATAGAGAAGTTTTGAAACGCTCTTTTTGTGGAATCTGCAAGTGGATATTTGGCTAGTTTGGAGGATTTCGTTGGAAGCGGGAATTCATACAAATTGCAGACTGCAGCGTTCTGAGAAACATCTTTGTGATGTTTGTATTCAGGACACAGAGTTGAACATTCCCTATCATAGAGCAGGTTTGAATCACTCCTTTTGTAGTATCTGGAAGTGGACATTTGGAGCGCTTTCAGGCCTATGTTGGAAAAGGAAATATCTTCCCATAACAACTAGACAGAAGCATTCTCAGAAACTTATTTGAGATGTGTGTACTCAACTAAGAGAATTGAACCACCGTTTTGAAGGAGCAGTTTTGAAACACTCTTTTTCTGGAATCTGCAAGTGGATATTTGGCTAGCTTTGGGGATTTCGCTGGAGGCGGGAATACATATAAAAAGCACACAGCAGCGTTCTGAGAAACTGCTTTTTGATGTTTGCATTCAAGTCAAAAGTTGAACACTCCCTTTCATAGAGCAGTCCTGAAACACTCCTTTTGTAGTATCTGGAACTGGACTTTTGGAGCGCTTTCAGGGCTAAGGTGAAAAAGGAAATATCTTCCCATAAAAACTGGACAAAAGCATTCTCAGAAACATGTTTATGCTGTATCTACTCAACTAACAAAGTTGAACCTTTCTTTTGATAGAGCAGTTTTGAAATGCTCTTTTTGTGGAATCTGCAAGTGGATATTTGGCTAGTTTTGAGGATTTCGTTGGAAGCTGGAATTCATACAAATTGCAGACTGCAGCGTTCTGAGAAACATCTTTGTGATGTTTGTATTCAGGACAGAGAGTTGAACATTCCCTATCATAGAGCAGGTTGGAATCACTCCTTTTGTAGTATCTGGAAGTGGACATTTGGAGCGCTTTCAGGCCTATGTTGAAAAAGGAAATATCTTCCCATAACAACTAGACACAAGCATTCTCAGAAACTTGTTTGTGATGTGTGCCCTCTACTGACAGAGTTGAACCTTTCTTTTCATAGAGCAGTTTTGAAACACTCTTTTTGTAGAATCTGCAAGAGGATATTTGCATAGCTTTGAGGATTTCGTGGGAAACGGGATTGTCTTCAGGTAAAATCTAGACAGAAGCATTCTCAGAAACTTCTTTGGGATGTTTGCATTCAAGTCACAGAGCAGAACATTCCCTTTGGTAGAGCAGGTTTGAAACACTCTTTTTGTAGTATCTGGAAGTGGACATTTGGAGCGCTTTCAGGCCTATGTTGGAAAGGGAAATATCTTCCCGTAACAACTAGGCAGAAGCATTCTCAGAAACTTATTTGAGATGTGTGTACTCAACTAAGAGAATTGAACCACCGTTTTGAAGGAGCAGTTTTGAAACACTCTTTTTCTGGAATCTGCAAGAGGATATTTGCCTAGCCTTGAGGATTTCGTTGGAAACGGGATTGTCTTCAGATCAAATCTAGACAGAAGCATTCTCAGAAACTTCTTTGGGATGTTTGCATTCAAGTCACAGAGTAGAACATTCCCTTTGGTAGAGCAGGTTTGAAACACTCTTTTTTTAGTATATGGAAGTGGACATTTGGAGTGCTTTCAGGCCTACGTTGGAAAAGGAAATATCTTCCTATCTTCCCATAACAACTAGACAGAAGCATTCTCAGAAACTAGTTTCTGATGTGTGTCCTCAACTAACACAGTTGAACATTTCTTTAGACAGAACAGTTTTGAAACACTCTCTTTGTGGAATCTGCAAGTGGATATTTGGCTAGATTTGAGGATTTCCGTTGGAAACGGGATTACATATAAAAAGCAGACAGCAGCATTCTCAGAAAGTTCTTTGTGATGATTGCATTCAAGTCACAGAATTGAACATTCCCTTTCACAGAGCAGGTTTGAAACACTCTTTTTGTAGTGTGTGTAAGTGGACATTTGGAGCGCTTTCCGGCCTAAGGTGAAAAAGGAAATATCTTCCCATAAAAACTAGACAGAAGCATTCTCAGAAACTTACTCGTGTTGTGTGTCCTCAACTAAAGGAGTAGAACCTTTCTTTTCATAGAGAAGTTTTGAAACGCTCTTTTTGTGGAATCTGCAAGTGGATATTTGGCTAGTTTTGAGGATTTCCTTGGAAGCGGGAATTCATACAAATTGCAGACTGCAGCGTTCTGAGAAACATCTTTGTGATGTTTGTATTCAGGACACAGAGTTGAACATTCCCTATCATAGAGCAGGTTTGAATCACTCCTTTTGTAGTATCTGGAAGTGGACATTTGGAGCGCTTTCAGGCCTATGTTGGAAAAGGAAATATCTTCCCATAACAACTAGACAGAAGCATTCTCAGAAACTTATTTGAGATGTGTGTACTCAACTAAGAGAATTGAACCACCGTTTTGAAGGAGCAGTTTTGAAACACTCTTTTTCTGGAATCTGCAAGTGGATATTTGGCTAGCTTTGGGGATTTCGCTGGAAGGGGGAATACATATAAAAAGCACACAGCAGCGTTCTGAGAAACTGCTTTCTGATGTTTGCATTCAAGTCAAAAGTTGAACACTCCCTTTCATAGAGCAGTTCTGAAACACTCCTTTTGTAGTATCTGGAACTGGACTTTTGGAGCGCTTTCAGGGCTAAGGTGAAAAAGGAAATATCTTCCCATAAAAACTGGACAGAAGCATTCTCAGAAACTTGTTTATGCTGTATCTACTCAACTAACAAAGTTGAACCTTTCTTTTGATAGAGCAGTTTTGAAATGCTCTTTTTGTGGAATCTGCAAGTGGATATTTGGCTAGTTTTGAGGATTTCGTTGGAAGCGGGAATTCATACAAATTGCAGACTGCAGCGTTCTGAGAAACATCTTTGTGATGTTTGTATTCAAGACACAGAGATGAACATTCCCTATCATAGAGCATGTTGGAATCACTCCATTTGTAGTATCTGGAAGTGGACATTTGGAGCGCTTTCAGGCCTATGTTGAAAAAGGAAATATCTTCCCATAACAACTAGACACAAGCATTCTCAGAAACTTGTTTGTGATGTGTGCCCTCTACTGACAGAGTTGAACCTTTCTTTTCATAGAGCAGTTTTGAAACACTCTTTTTGTAGAATCCGCAAGAGGATATTTGCATAGCTTTGAGGATTTCGTGGGAAACGGGATTGTCTTCAGGTAAAATCTAGACAGAAGCATTCTCAGAAACTTCTTTGGGATGTTTGCATTCAAGTCACAGAGTAGAACATTCCCTTTGGTAGAGCAGGTTTGAAACACTCTTTTTGTAGTATCTGGAAGTGGACATTTGGAGCGCTTTCAGGCCCATGTTGGAAAGGGAAATATCTTCCCGTAACAACTAGGCAGAAGCATTCTCAGAAACTTATTTGAGATGTGTGTACTCAACTAAGAGAATTGAACCACCGTTTTGAAGGAGCAGTTTTGAAACACTCTTTTTCTGGAATCTGCAAGAGTATATTTGCCTAGCCTTGAGGATTTCGTTGGAAACGGGATTGTCTTCAGATAAAATCTAGACAGAAGCACTCTCAGAAACTTCTTTGGGATGTTTGCATTCAAGTCACAGAGTAGAACATTCCCTTTGGTAGAGCAGGTTTGAAACACTCTTTTTTTAGTATATGGAAGGACATTTGGAGCGCTTTGAGGCCTACGTTGGAAAAGGAAATATCTTCCCATAACAACTAGACAGAAGCATTCTCAGAAACTAGTTTCTGATGTGTGTCCTCAACTAACACAGTTGAACTTTTCTTTAGACAGAACAGTTTTGAAACACTCTTTTTGTGGAATCTGCAAGTGGATATTTGGCTAGATTTGAGGATTTCGTTGGAAACGGGATTACATATAAAAAGCAGACAGCAGCATTCTCAGAAAGTTCTTTGTGATGATTGCATTCAAGTCACAGAATTGAACATTCCCTTTCACAGAGCAGGTTTGAAACACTCTTTTTGTAGTGTGTGTAAGTGGACATTTGGAGCGCTTTCCGGCCTAAGGTGAAAAAGGACATATCTTCCCATAAAAACTAGACAGAAGCATTCTCAGAAACTTACTCGTGATGTGTGTCCTCAACTAAAGGAGTAGAACCTTTCTATTCATAGAGAAGTTTTGAAACGCTCTTTTTGTGGAATCTCCAAGTGGATATTTGGCTAGTTTTGAGGATTTCGTTGGAAGCGGGAATTCATACAAATTGCAGACTGCAGCGTTCTGAGAAACATCTTTGTGATGTTTGTATTCAGGACACAGAGATGAACATTCCCTATCATAGAGCAGGTTGGAATCACTCCTTTTGTAGTATCTGGAAGTGGACATTTGGAGCGCTTTCAGGCCTATGTTGAAAAAGGAAATATCTTCCCATAACAACTAGACACAAGCATTCTCAGAAACTTGTTTGTGATGTGTGCCCTCTACTGACAGAGTTGAACCTTTCTTTTCATAGAGCAGTTTTGAAACACTCTTTTTGTAGAATCTGCAAGAGGATATTTGCATAGCTTTGAGGATTTCGTGGGAAACGGGATTGTCTTCAGGTAAAATCTAGACAGAAGCATTCTCAGAAACTTCTTTGGGATGTTTGCATTCAAGTCACAGAGTAGAACATTCCCTTTGGTAGAGCAGGTTTGAAACCCTCTTTTTGTAGTATCTGGAAGTGGACATTCGGAGCGCTATCAGGCCCATGTTGGAAAGGGAAATATCTTCCCGTAACAACTAGGCAGAAGCATTCTCAGAAACTTATTTGAGATGTGTGTACTCAACTAAGAGAATTGAACCACCGTTTTGAAGGTGCAGTTTTGAAACACTCTTTTTCTGGAATCTGCAAGAGTATATTTGCCTAGCCTTGAGGATTTCGTTGGAAACGGGATTGTCTTCAGATAAAATCTAGACAGAAGCATTCTCAGAAACTTCTTTGGGATGTTTGCATTCAAGTCACAGAGTAGAACATTCCCTTTGGTAGAGCAGGTTTGAAACACTCTTTTTGTAGTATCTGGAAGTGGACATTTGGAGCGCTTTCAGGCCTACGTTGGAAAAGGAAATATCTTCCCATAACAACTAGACAGAAGCATTCTCAGAAACTAGTTTCTGATGTGTGTCCTCCACTAACACAGTTGAACTTTTCTTTAGACAGAACAGTTTTGAAACACTCTTTTTGTGGAATCTGCAAGTGGATATTTGGCTAGATTTGAGGATTTCGTTGGAAACGGGATTACATATAAAAAGCAGACTGCAGCATTCTCAGAAAGTTCTTTGTGGTGATTGCATTCAAGTCACAGAATTGAACATTCCCTTTCACAGAGCAGGTTTGAAACACTCTTTTTGTAGTGTGTGTAAGTGGACATTTGGAGCGCTTTCCGGCCTAAGGTGAAAAAGGAAATATCTTCCCATAAAAACTAGACAGAAGCATTCTCAGAAACTTACTCGTGATGTGTGTCCTCAACTAAAGGAGTAGAACCTTTCTATTCATAGAGAAGTTTTGAAACGCTCTTTTTGTGGAATCTCCAAGTGGATATTTGGCTAGTTTTGAGGATTTCGTTGGAAGCGGGAATTCATACAAATTGCAGACTGCAGCGTTCTGAGAAACATGTTTGTGATGTTTGTATTCAGAACACAGAGATGAACATTCCCTATCACAGAGCAGGTTGGAATCACTCCTTTTGTAGTATCTGGAAGTGGACATTTGGAGCGCTTTCAGGCCTATGTTGAAAAAGGAAATATCTTCCCATAACAACTAGACACAAGCATTCTCAGAAACTTATTTGAGATGTGTGTACGCAACTAGGAGAATTGAACCACCGTTTTGAAGGAGCAGTTTTGAAACACTCTTTTTCTGGAATCTGCAAGTGGATATTTGGCTAGCTTTGGGGATTTCGCTGGAAGCGGGAATACATATAAAAAGCACACAGCAGCGTTCTGAGAAACTGCTTTCTGATGTTTGCATTCAAGTCAAAAGTTGAACACTCCCTTTCATAGAGCAGTCTTGAAACACCCCTTTTGTAGTATCTGGAACTGGACATTTGGAGCGCTTTCAGGGCTAAGGTGAAAAAGGAAATATCTTCCCATAAAAACTGGACAGAAGCATTCTCAGAAACTTGTTTATGCTGTATCTACTCTACTAACAAAGTTGAACCTTTCTTTTGATAGAGCAGTTTTGAAATGCTCTTTTTGTGGAATCTGCAAGTGGATATTTGGCTAGTTTTGAGGATTTCGTTGGAAGCTGGAATTCATACAAATTGCAGACTGCAGCGTTCTGAGTAAACATCTTTGTGATGTTTGTATTCAGGACACAGATTTGAACATTCCCTATCATAGAGCAGGTTGGAATCACTCCTTTTGTAGTATCTGGAAGTGGACATTTGGAGCGCTTTCAGGCCTATGTTGAAAAAGGAAATATCTTCCCATAACAACTAGACACAAGCATTCTCAGAAACTTGTTTGTGATGTGTGCCCTCTACTGACAGAGTTGAACCTTTCTTTTCATAGAGCAGTTTTGAAACACTCTTTTTGTAGAATCTGCAAGAGGATATTTGCATAGCTTTGAGGATTTCGTGGGAAACGGGATTGTCTTCAGGTAAAATCTAGACAGAAGCATTCTCAGAAACTTCTTTGGGATGTTTGCATTCAAGTCACAGAGTAGAACATTCCCTTTGGTAGAGCAGGTTTGAAACACTCTTTTTGTAGTATCTGGAAGTGGACATTTGGAGCGCTTTCAGGCCTATGTTGGAAAGGGAAATATCTTCCCGTAACAACTAGGCAGAAGCATTCTCAGAAACTTATTTGAGATGTGTGTACTCAACTAAGAGAATTGAACCACCGTTTTGAAGGAGCAGTTTTGAAACACTCTTTTTCTGGAATCTGCAAGAGTATATTTGCCTAGCCTTGAGGATTTCGTTGGAAACGGGATTGTCTTCAGAGAAAATCTAGACAGAAGCATTCTCAGAAACTTCTTTGGGATGTTTGCATTCAAGTCACAGAGTAGAACATTCCCTTTGGTAGAGCAGGTTTGAAACACTCTTTTTTTAGTATATGGAAGTGGACATTTGGAGCGCTTTCAGGCCTACGTTGGAAAAGGAAATATCTTCCCATAACAACTAGACAGAAGCATTCTCAGAAACTAGTTTCTGATGTGTGTCCTCAACTAACACAGTTGAACATTTCTTTAGACAGAACAGTTTTGAAACACTCTTTTTGTGGAATCTGCAAGGGGCTATTTGGCTAGATTTGAGGATTTCGTTGGAAACGGGATTACATATAAAAAGCAGTCAGCAGCATTCTCAGAAAAGTTCTTTGTGATGATTGCATTCAAGTCACAGAATTGAACATTCCCTTTCATAGAGCAGGTTTGAAACACTCTTTTTGTAGTGTGTGTAAGTGGACATTTGGAGCGCTTTCCGGCCTAAGGTGAAAAAGGACATATCTTCCCATAAAAACTAGACAGAAGCATTCTCAGAAACTTACTCGTGATGTGTGTCCTCAACTAAAGGAGTAGAACCTTTCTATTCATAGAGAAGTTTTGAAACGCTCTTTTTGTGGAATCTCCAAGTGGATATTTGGCTAGTTTTGAGGATTTCGTTGGAAGCGGGAATTCATACAAATTGCAGACTGCAGCGTTCTGAGAAACATCTTTGTGATGTTTGTATTCAAGACACAGAGATGAACATTCCCTATCATAGAGCATGTTGGAATCACTCCTTTTGTAGTATCTGGAAGTGGACATTTGGAGCGCTTTCAGGCCTATGTTGAAAAAGGAAATATCTTCCCATAACAACTAGACACAAGCATTCTCAGAAACTTGTTTGTGATGTGTGCCCTCTACTGACAGAGTTGAACCTTTCTTTTCATAGAGCAGTTTTGAAACACTCTTTTTGTAGAATCCGCAAGAGGATATTTGCATAGCTTTGAGGATTTCGGGGGAAACGGGATTGTCTTCAGGTAAAATCTAGACAGAAGCATTCTCAGAAACTTCTTTGGGATGTTTGCATTCAAGTCACAGAGTAGAACATTCCCTTTGGTAGAGCAGGTTTGAAGCACTCTTTTTGTAGTATCTGGAAGTGGACATTTGGAGCGCTTTCAGGCCCATGTTGGAAAGGGAAATATCTTCCCGTAACAACTAGGCAGAAGCATTCTCAGAAACTTATTTGAGATGTGTGTACTCAACTAAGAGAAATGAACCACCGTTTTGAAGGAGCAGTTTTGAACCACTCTTTTTCTGGAATCTGCAAGAGTATATTTGCCTAGCCTTGAGGATTTCGTTGGAAACGGGATTGTCTTCAGATAAAATCTAGACAGAAGCATTCTCAGAAACTTCTTTGGGATGTTTGCATTCAAGTCACAGAGTAGAACATTCCCTTTGGTAGAGCAGGTTTGAAACACTCTTTTTTTAGTATATGGAAGGACATTTGGAGCGCTTTCAGGCCTACGTTGGAAAAGGAAATCTCTTCCCATAACAACTAGACAGAAGCATTCTCAGAAACTAGTTTCTGATGTGTGTCCTCAACTAACACAGTTGAACTTTTCTTTAGACAGAACAGTTTTGAAACACTCTTTTTGTGGAATCTGCAAGTGGATATTGGGCTAGATTTGAGGATTTCGTTGGAAACGGGATTACATATAAAAAGCAGACAGCAGCATTCTCAGAAAGTTCTTTGTGATGATTGCATTCAAGTCACAGAATTGAACATTCCCTTTCACAGAGCAGGTTTGAAAGACTCTTTTTGTAGTGTGTGTAAGTGGACATTTGGAGCACTTACCGGCCTAAGGTGAAAAAGGAAATATCTTCCCATAAAAACTAGACAGAAGCATTCTCAGAAACTTACTCGTGATGTGTGTCCTCAACTAAAGGAGTAGAACCTTTCTTTTCATAGAGAAGTTTTGAAACGCTCTTTTTGTGGAATCTGCAAGTGGATATTTGGCTAGTTTGGAGGATTTCGTTGGAAGCGGGAATTCATACAAATTGCAGACTGCAGCGTTCTGAGAAACATCTTTGTGATGTTTGTATTCAGGACACAGAGTTGAACATTCCCTATCATAGAACAGGTTTGAATCACTCCTTTTGTAGTATCTGGAAGTGGACATTTGGAGCGCTTTCAGGCCTATGTTGGAAAAGGAAATATCTTCCCATAACAACTAGACAGAAGCATTCTCAGAAACTTATTTGAGATGTGTGTACTCAACTAAGAGAATTGAACCACCGTTTTGAAGGAGCAGTTTTGAAACACTCTTTTTCTGGAATCTGCAAGTGGATATTTGGCTAGCTTTGGGGATTTCGCTGGAAGCGGGAATACATATAAAAAGCCCACAGCAGCGTTCTGAGAAACTGCTTTCTGATGTTTGCATTCAAGTCAAAAGTTGAACACTCCCTTTCATAGAGCAGTCTTGAAACACCCCTTTTGTAGTATCTGGAACTGGACTTTTGGAGCGATTTCAGGGCTAAGGTGAAAAAGGAAATATCTTCCCATAAAAACTGGACAGAAGCATTCTCAGAAACTTGTTTATGCTGTATCTACTCAACTAACAAAGTTGAACCTTTCTTTTGATAGAGCAGTTTTGAAATGGTCTTTTTGTGGAATCTGCAAGTGGATATTTGGCTAGTTTTGAGGATTTCGTTGGAAGCGGGAATTCATACAAATTGCAGACTGCAGCGTTCTGAGAAACATCTTTGTGATGTTTGTATTCAGGACACAGAGTTGAACATTCCCTATCATAGAGCAGGTTGGAATCACTCCTTTTGTAGTATCTGGAAGTGGACATTTGGAGCGCTTTCAGGCCTATTTTGGAAAGGGAAATATCTTCCCGTAACAACTATGCAGAAGCATTCTCAGAAACTTGTTTGTGATGTGTGCCCTCTACTGACAGAGTTGAACCTTTCTTTTCATAGAGCAGTTTTGAAACACTCTTTTTGTAGAATCTGCAAGAGGATATTTGCATAGCTTTGAGGATTTCGTGGGAAACGGGATTGTCTTCAGGTAAAATCTAGACAGAAGCATTCTCAGAAACTTCTTTGGGATGTTTGCATTCAAGTCACAGAGTAGAACATTCCCTTTGGTAGAGCAGGTTTGAAACACTCATTTTGTAGTATCTGGAAGTGGACATTTGGAGCGCTTTCAGGCCCATGTTGGAAAAGGAAATATCTTCCCGTAACAACTAGGCAGAAGCATTCTCAGAAACTTATTTGAGATGTGTGTACTCAACTAAGAGAATTGAACCACCGTTTTGAAGGAGCAGTTTTGAAACACTCTTTTTCTGGAATCTGCAAGAGGATATTTGCCTAGCCTTGAGGATTTCGTTGGAAACGGGATTGTCTTCAGATCAAATCTAGACAGAAGCATTCTCAGAAACTTCTTTGGGATGTTTGCATTCAAGTCACAGAGTAGAACATTCCCTTTGGTAGAGCAGGTTTGAAACACTCTTTTTTTAGTATATGGAAGTGGACATTTGGAGCGCTTTCAGGCCTACGTTGGAAAAGGAAATATCTTCCCATAACAACTAGACAGAAGCATTCTCAGAAACTAGTTTCTGATGTGTGTCCTCAACTAACACAGTTGAACATTTCTTTAGACAGAACAGTTTTGAAACTCTCTTTTTGTGGAATCTGCAAGTGGCTATTTGGCTAGATTTGAGGATTTCGTTGGAAACGGGATTACATATAAAAAGCAGACAGCAGCATTCTCAGAAAGTTCTTTGTGATGATTGCATTCAAGTCACAGAATTGAACATTCCCTTTCACAGAGCAGGTTTGAAACACTCTATTTGTAGTGTGTGTAAGTGGACATTTGGAGCACTTTCCGGCCTAAGGTGAAAAAGGAAATATCTTCTCATAAAAACTAGACAGAAGCATTCTCAGAAACTTACTCGTGATGTGTGTCCTCAACTAAAGGAGTAGAACCTTTGTTTTCATAGAGAAGTTTTGAAACGCTCTTTTTGTGGAATCTGCAAGTGGATATTTGGCTAGTTTTGAGGATTTCGTTGGAAGCGGGAATTCATACAAATTGCAGACTGCAGCGTTCTGAGAAACATCTTTGTGATGTTTGTATTCAGGACACAGAGTTGAACATTCCCTATCATAGAGCAGGTTGGAATCACTCCTTTTGTAGTATCTGGAAGTGGACATTTGGAGCGCTTTCAGGCCTATGTTGGAAAAGGAAATATCTTCCCATAACAACTAGACAGAAGCATTCTCAGAAACTTATTTGAGATGTGTGTACTCAACTAAGAGAATTGAACCACCCTTTTGAAGGAGCAGTTTTGAAACACTCTTTTTCTGGAATCTGCAAGTGGATATTTGGCTAGCTTTGGGGATTTCGCTGGAAGCGGGAATACATATAAAAAGCACACAGCAGCGTTCTGAGAAACTGCTTTCTGATGTTTGCATTCAAGTCAAAAGTTGAACACTCCCTTTCATAGAGCAGTCCTGAAACACTCCTTTTGTAGTATCTGGAACTGGACTTTTGGAGCGCTTTCAGGGCTAAGGTGAAAAAGGAAATATCTTCCCATAAAAACTGGACAGAAGCATTCTCAGAAACTTGTTTATGCTGTATCTACTCTACTAACAAAGTTGAACCTTTCTTTTGATAGAGCAGTTTTGAAATGCTCTTTTTGTGGAATCTGCAAGTGGATATTTGGCTAGATTTGAGGATTTCGTTGGAAGCTGGAATTCATACAAATTGCAGACTGCAGCGTTCTGAGAAACATCTTTGTGATGTTTGTATTCAGGACACAGAGTTGAACATTCCCTTTCATAGAGCAGGTTGGAATCACTCCTTTTGTAGTATCTGGAAGTGGACATTTGGAGCGCTTTCAGGCCTATTTTGGAAAGGGAAATATCTTCCCGTAACAACTATGCAGAAGCATTCTCAGAAACTTGTTTGTGATGTGTGCCCTCTACTGACAGAGTTGAACCTTTCTTTTCATAGAGCAGTTTTGAAACACTCTTTTTGTAGAATCTGCAAGAGGATATTTGCATAGCTTTGAGGATTTCGTGGGAAACGGGATTGTCTTCAGGTAAAATCTAGACAGAAGCATTCTCAGAAACTTCTTTGGGATGTTTGCATTCAAGTCACAGAGTAGAACATTCCCTTTGGTAGAGCAGGTTTGAAACACTCTTTTTGTAGTATCTGGAAGTGGACATTTGGAGCGCTTTCAGGCCTATGTTGGAAAGGGAAATATCTTCCCGTAACAACTAGGCAGAAGCATTCTCAGAAACTTATTTGAGATGTGTGTACTCAACTAAGAGAATTGAACCACCGTTTTGAAGGAGCAGTTTTGAAACACTCTTTTTCTGGAATCTGCAAGAGTATATTTGCCTAGCCTTGAGGATTTCGTTGGAAACGGGATTGTCTTCAGAGAAAATCTAGACAGAAGCATTCTCAGAAACTTCTTTGGGATGTTTGCATTCAAGTCACAGAGTAGAACATTCCCTTTGGTAGAGCAGGTTTGAAACACTCTTTTTTTAGTATATGGAAGTGGACATTTGGAGCGCTTTCAGGCCTACGTTGGAAAAGGAAATATCTTCCCATAACAACTAGACAGAAGCATTCTCAGAAACTAGTTTCTGATGTGTGTCCTCAACTAACACAGTTGAACATTTCTTTAGACAGAACAGTTTTGAAACACTCTTTTTGTGGAATCTGCAAGTGGCTATTTGGCTAGATTTGAGGATTTCGTTGGAAACGGGATTACATATAAAAAGCAGTCAGCAGCATTCTCAGAAAGTTCTTTGTGATGATTGCATTCAAGTCACAGAATTGAACATTCCCTTTCACAGAGCTGGTTTGAAACACTCTTTTTGTAGTGTGTGTAAGTGGACATTTGGAGCGCTTTCCGGCCTAAGGTGAAAAAGGAAATATCTTCCCATAAAAACTAGACAGAAGCATTCTCAGAAACTTACTCGTGATGTGTGTCCTCAACTAAAGGAGTAGAACCTTTCTATTCATAGAGAAGTTTTGAAACGCTCTTTTTGTGGAATCTCCAAGTGGATATTTGGCTAGTTTTGAGGATTTCGTTGGAAGCGGGAATTCATACAAATTGCAGACTGCAGCGTTCTGAGAAACATCTTTGAAATGTTTGTATTCAAGACACAGAGATGAACATTCCCTATCATAGAGCATGTTGGAATCACTCCTTTTGTAGTATCTGGAAGTGGACATTTGGAGCGCTTTCAGGCCTATGTTGAAAAAGGAAATATCTTCCCATAACAACTAGACACAAGCATTCTCAGAAACTTGTTTGTGATGTGTGCCCTCTACTGACAGAGTTGAACCTTTCTTTTCATAGAGCAGTTTTGAAACACTCTTTTATAGAATCCGCAAGAGGATATTTGCATAGCTTTGAGGATTTCGTGGGAAACGGGATTGTCTTCAGGTAAAATCTAGACAGAAGCATTCTCAGAAACTTCTTTGGGATGTTTGCATTCAAGTCACAGAGTAGAACATTCCCTTTGGTAGAGCAGGTTTGAAACACTCTTTTTGTAGTATCTGGAAGTGGACATTTGGAGCGCTTTCAGGCCCATGTTGGAAAGGGAAATATCTTCCCGTAACAACTAGGCAGAAGCATTCTCAGAAACTTATTTGAGATGTGTGTACTCAACTAAGAGAATTGAACCACCGTTTTGAAGGAGCAGTTTTGAAACACTCTTTTTCTGGAATCTGCAAGAGTATATTTGCCTAGCCTTGAGGATTTCGTTGGAAACGGGATTGTCTTCAGAGAAAATCTAGACAGAAGCATTCTCAGAAACTTCTTTGGGATGTTTGCATTCAAGTCACAGAGTAGAACATTCCCTTTGGTAGAGCAGGTTTGAAACACTCTTTTTGTAGTATCTGGAAGTGGACATTTGGAGCGCTTTCAGGCCTACGTTGGAAAAGGAAATATCTTCCCATAACAACTAGACAGAAGCATTCTCAGAAACTAGTTTCTGATGTGTGTCCTCAACTAACACAGTTGAACATTTCTTTAGACAGAACAGTTTTGAAACACTCTTTTTGTGGAATCTGCAAGTGGCTATTTGGCTAGATTTGAGGATTTCGTTGGAAACGGGATTACATATAAAAAGCAGTCAGCAGCATTCTCAGAAACTTCTTTGGGATGTTTGCATTCAAGTCACAGAGTAGAACATTCCCTTTGGTAGAGCAGGTTTGAAACACTCTTTTTGTAGTGTGTGTAAGTGGACATTTGGAGCGCTTTCCGGCCTAAGGTGAACAAGGAAATATCTTCCCATAAAAACTAGACAGAAGCATTCTCAGAAACTTACTCGTGATGTGTGTCCTCAACTAAAGGAGTAGAACCTTTCTTTTCATAGAGAAGTTTTGAAACGCTCTTTTTGTGGAATCTGCAAGTGGATATTTGGCTAGTTTTGAGGATTTCGTTGGAAGCGGGAATTCATACAAATTGCAGACTGCAGCGTTCTGAGAAACATCTTTGTGATGTTTGTATTCAGGACACAGAGTTGAACATTCCCTATCATAGAGCAGGTTTGAATCACTCCTTTTGTAGTATCTGGAAGTGGACATTTGGAGCGCTTTCAGGCCTATGTTGGAAAAGGAAATATCTTCCCATAACAACTAGACAGAAGCATTCTCAGAAACTTATTTGAGATGTGTGTACTCAACTAAGAGAATTGAACCACCGTTTTGAAGGAGCAGTTTTGAAACACTCTTTTTCTGGAATCTGCAAGTGGATATTTGGCTAGCTTTGGGGATTTCGCTGGAAGCGGGAATACATATAAAAAGCACACAGCAGCGTTCTGAGAAACTGCTTTCTGATGTTTGCATTCAAGTCAAAAGTTGAACACTCCCTTTCATAGAGCAGTCCTGAAACACTCCTTTTGTAGTATCTGGAACTGGACTTTTGGAGCGCTTTCAGGGCTAAGGTGAAAAAGGAAATATCTTCCCATAAAAACTGGACAGAAGCATTCTCAGAAACTTGTTTATGCTGTATCTACTCAACTAACAAAGTTGAACCTTTCTTTTGATAGAGCAGTTTTGAAATGGTCTTTTTGTGGAATCTGCAAGTGGATATTTGGCTAGTTTTGAGGATTTCGTTGGAAGCGGGAATTCATATAAATTGCAGACTGCAGCGTTCTGAGAAACATCTTTGTGATGTTTGTATTCAGGACACAGAGTTGAACATTCCCTATCATAGAGCAGGTTGGAATCACTCCTTTTGTAGTATCTGGAAGTGGACATTTGGAGCGCTTTCAGGCCTATTTTGGAAAGGGAAATATCTTCCCGTAACAACTATGCAGAAGCATTCTCAGAAACTTATTTGAGATGTGTGTACTCAACTAAGAGAATTGAACCACCGTTTTGAAGGAGCAGTTTTGAAACACTCTTTTTCTGGAATCTGCTAGAGGATATTTGCCTAGCTTTGAGGATTTCGTTGGAAACGGGATTGTCTTCAGATCAAATCCAGACAGAAGCATTCTCAGTAACTTCTTTGGGATGTTTGCATTCAAGTCACAGAGTAGAACATTCCCTTTGGTAGAGCAGGTTTGAAACACTCTTTTTGTAGTATCTGGAAGTGGACATTTGGAGCGCTTTCAGGCCCATGTTGGAAAGGGATATATCTTCCCGTAACAACTAGGCAGAAGCATTCTCAGACACTTATTTGAGATGTGTGTACTCAACGAAGAGAATTGAACCACCGTTTTGAAGGAGCAGTTTTGAAACCCTCTTTTTCTGGAATCTGCAAGAGTATATTTGCCTAGCCTTGAGGATTTCGTTGGAAACGGGATTGTCTTCAGATAAAATCTAGACAGAAGCATTCTCAGAAACTTCTTTGGGATGTTTGCATTCAAGTCACAGAGTAGAACATTCCCTTTGGTAGAGCAGGTTTGAAACACTCTTTTTTTAGTATATGGAAGTGGACATTTGGAGCGCTTTCAGGCCTACGTTGGAAAAGGAAATATCTTCCCATAACAACTAGACAGAAGCATTCTCAGAAACTAGTTTCTGATGTGTGTCCTCAACTAACACAGTTGAACATTTCTTTAGACAGAACAGTTTTGAAACACTCTTTTTGTGGAATCTGCAAGTGGCTATTTGGCTAGATTTGAGGATTTCGTTGGAAACGGGATTACATATACAAAGCAGACAGCAGCATTCTCAGAAAGTTCTTTGTGATGATTGCATTCAAGTCACAGAATTGAACATTCCCTTTCACAGAGCAGGTTTGAAACACTCTTTTTGTAGTGTGTGTAAGTGGACATTTGGAGCACTTTCCGGCCTAAGGTGAAAAAGGAAATATCTTCCCATAATAACTAGACAGAAGCATTCTCAGAAACTTACTCGTGATGTGTGTCCTCAACTAAAGGAGTAGAACCTTTCTTTTCATAGAGAAGTTTTGAAACGCTCTTTTTGTGGAATCTGCAAGTGGATATTTGGCTAGTTTGGAGGATTTCGTTGGAAGCGGGAATTCATACAAATTGCAGACTGCAGCGTTCTGAGAAACATCTTTGTGATGTTTGTATTCAGGACACAGAGTTGAACATTCCCTATCATAGAGCAGGTTGGAATCACTCCTTTTGTAGTATCTGGAAGTGGACATTTGGAGCGCTTTCAGGCCTATGTTGAAAAAGGAAATATCTTCCCATAACAACTAGACACAAGCATTCTCAGAAACTTGTTTGTGATGTGTGCCCTCTACTGACAGAGTTGAACCTTTCTTTTCATAGAGCAGTTTTGAAACACTCTTTTTGTAGAATCTGCAAGAGGATATTTGCATAGCTTTGAGGATTTCGTGGGAAACGGGATTGTCTTCAGGTAAAATCTAGACAGAAGCATTCTCAGAAACTTCTTTGGGATGTTTGCATTCAAGTCACAGAGTAGAACATTCCCTTTGGTAGAGGAGGTTTGAAACACTCTTTTTGTAGTATCTGGAAGTGGACATTTGGAGCGCTTTCAGGCCTATGTTGGAAAGGGAAATATCTTCCCGTTACAACTAGGCAGAAGCATTCTCAGAAACTTATTTGAGATGTGTGTACTCAACTAAGAGAATTGAACCACCGTTTTGAAGGAGCAGTTTTGAAACACTCTTTTTCTGGAATCTGCAAGAGGATATTTGCCTAGCCTTGAGGATTTCGTTGGAAACGGGATTGTCTTCAGATCAAATCTAGACAGAAGCATTCTCAGAAACTTCTTTGGGATGTTTGCATTCAAGTCACAGAGTAGAACATTCCCTTTGGTAGAGCAGGTTTGAAACACTCTTTTTTTAGTATATGGAAGTGGACATTTGGAGCGCTTTCAGGCCTACGTTGGAAAAGGAAATATCTTCCCATAACAACTAGACAGAAGCATTCTCAGAAACTAGTTTCTGATGTGTGTCCTCAACTAACACAGTTGAACATTTCTTTAGACAGAACAGTTTTGAAACACTCTTTTTGTGGAATCTGCAAGTGGCTATTTGGCTAGATTTGAGGATTTCGTTGGAAACGGGATTACATATAAAAAGCAGACAGCAGCATTCTCAGAAAGTTCTTTGTGATGATTGCATTCAAGTCACAGAATTGAACATTCCCTTTCACAGAGCAGGTTTGAAACACTTTTTTGTAGTGTGTGTAAGTGGACATTTGGAGCACTTTCCGGCCTAAGGTGAGAAAGGAAATATCTTCCCATAAAAACTAGACAGAAGCACTCTCAGAAACTTACTCGTGATGTGTGTCCTCAACTAAAGGAGTAGAACCTTTCTTTTCATAGAGAAGTTTTGAAACGCTCTTTTTGTGGAATCTGCAAGTGGATATTTGGCTAGTTTGGAGGATTTCGTTGGAAGCGGGAATTCATACAAATTGCAGACTGCAGCGTTCTGAGAAACATCTTTGTGATGTTTGTATTCAGGACACAGAGTTGAACATTCCCTATCATAGAGCAGGTTTGAATCACTCCTTTTGTAGTATCTGGAAGTGGACATTTGGAGCGCTTTCAGGCCTATGTTGGAAAAGGAAATATCTTCCCATAACAACTAGACAGAAGCATTCTCAGAAACTTATTTGAGATGTGTGTACTCAACTAAGAGAATTGAACCACCGTTTTGAAGGAGCAGTTTTGAAACACTCTTTTTCTGGAATCTGCAAGTGGATATTTGGCTAGCTTTGGGGATTTCGCTGGAAGCGGGAATACATATAAAAAGCACACAGCAGCGTTCTGAGAAACTGCTTTCTGATGTTTGCATTCAAGTCAAAAGTTGAACACTCCCTTTCATAGAGCAGTCCTGAAACACCCCTTTTGTAGTATCTGGAACTGGACTTTTGGAGCGCTTTCAGGGCTAAGGTGAAAAAGGAAATATCTTCCCATAAAAACTGGACAGAAGCATTCTCAGAAACTTGTTTATGCTGTATCTACTCAACTAACAAAGTTGAACCTTTCTTTTGATAGAGCAGTTTTGAAATGCTCTTTTTGTGGAATCTGCAAGTGGATATTTGGCTAGTTTTGAGGATTTCGTTGGAAGCGGGAATTCATACAAATTGCAGACTGCAGCGTTCTGAGAAACATCTTTGTGATGTTTGTATTCAGGACAGAGAGTTGAACATTCCCTATCATAGAGCAGGTTGGAATCACTCCTTTTGTAGTATCTGGAAGTGGACATTTGGAGCGCTTTCAGGCCTATGTTGAAAAAGGAAATATCTTCCCATAACAACTAGACACAAGCATTCTCAGAAACTTGTTTGTGATGTGTGCCCTCTACTGACAGAGTTGAACCTTTCTTTTCATAGAGCAGTTTTGAAACACTCTTTTTGTAGAATCTGCAAGAGGATATTTGCATAGTTTTGAGGATTTCGTGAGAAACGGGATTGTCTTCAGGTAAAATCTAGACAGAAGCATTCTCAGAAACTTCTTTGGGATGTTTGCATTCAAGTCACAGAGTAGAACATTCCCTTTGGTAGAGCAGGTTTGAAACACTCTTTTTGTAGTATCTGGAAGTGGACATTTGGAGCGCTTTCAGGCCTATGTTGGAAAGGGAAATATCTTCCCGTAACAACTAGGCAGAAGCATTCTCAGAAACTTATTTGAGATGTGTGTACTCAACTAAGAGAATTGAACCACCGTTTTGAAGGAGCAGTTTTGAAACACTCTTTTTCTGGAATCTGCAAGAGGATATTTGCCTAGCTTTGAGGATTTCGTTGGAAACGGGATTGTGTTCAGATCAAATCTAGACAGAAGCATTCTCAGAAACTTCTTTGGGATGTTTGCATTCAAGTCACAGAGTAGAACATTCCCTTTGGTAGAGCAGGTGTGAAACACTCTTTTTTTAGTATATGGAAGTGGACATTTGGAGCGCTTTCAGGCCTACGTTGGAAAACGAAATATCTTCCCATAACAACTAGACAGAAGCATTCTCAGAAACTAGTTTCTGATGTGTGTCCTCAACTAACACAGTTGAACATTTCTTTAGACAGAACAGTTTTGAAACTCTCTTTTTGTGGAATCTGCAAGTGGCTATTTGGCTAGATTTGAGGATTTCGTTGGAAACGGGATTACATATAAAAAGCAGACAGCAGCATTCTCAGAAAGTTCTTTGTGATGATTGCATTCAAGTCACAGAATTGAACATTCCCTTTCACAGAGCAGGTTTGAAACACTCTTTTTGTAGTGTGTGTAAGTGGACATTTGGAGCACTTTCCGGCCTAAGGTGAGAAAGGAAATATCTTCCCATAAAAACTGGACAGAAGCATTCTCAGAAACTTACTCGTGATGTGTGTCCTCAACTAAAGGAGTAGAACCTTTCTTTCATACAGAAGTTTCGAAACGCTCTTTTTGTGGAATCTGCAAGTGGATATTTGGCTAGTTTGGAGGATTTCGTTGGAAGGGGGAATTCATACAAATTGCAGACTGCAGCGTTCTGAGAAACATCTTTGTGATGTTTGTATTCAGGACACAGAGTTGAACATTCCCTATCATAGAGCAGGTTTGAATCACTCCTTTTGTAGTATCTGGAAGTGGACATTTGGAGCGCTTTCAGGCCTATGTTGGAAAAGGAAATATCTTCCCATAACAACTAGACAGAAGCATTCTCAGAAACTTATTTGAGATGTGTGTACTCAACTAAGAGAATTGAACCACCGTTTTGAAGGAGCAGTTTTGAAACACTCTTTTTCTGGAATCTGCAAGTGGATATTTGGCTAGCTTTGGGGATTTCGCTGGAAGCGGGAATACATATAAAAAGCACACAGCAGCGTTCTGAGAAACTGCTTTCTGATGTTTGCATTCAAGTCAAAAGTTGAACACTCCCTTTCATAGAGCAGTCCTGAAACACTCCTTTTGTAGTATCTGGAACTGGACTTTTGGAGCGCTTTCAGGGCTAAGGTGAAAAAGGAAATATCTTCCCATAAAAACTGGACAGAAGCATTCTCAGAAACTTGTTTAAGCTGTATCTACTCAACTAACAAAGTTGAACCTTTCTTTTGATAGAGCAGTTTTGAAATGCTCTTTTTGTGGAATCTGCAAGTGGATATTTGGCTAGTTTTGAGGATTTCGTTGGAAGCGGGAATTCATACAAATTTCAGACTGCAGCGTTCTGAGAAACATCTTTGTGATGTTTGTATTCAGGACAGAGAGTTGAACATTCCGTATCATAGAGCAGGTTGGAATCACTCCTTTTGTAGTATCTGGAAGTGGACATTTGGAGCGCTTTCAGGCCTATGTTGAAAAAGGAAATATCTTCCCATAACAACTAGACACAAGCATTCTCAGAAACTTGTTTGTGATGTGTGCCCTCTACTGACAGAGTTGAACCTTTCTTTTCATAGAGCAGTTTTGAAACACTCTTTTTGTAGAATCCGCAAGAGGATATTTGCATAGCTTTGAGGATTTCGTGGGAAACGGGATTGTCTTCAGGTAAAATCTAGACAGAAGCATTCTCAGAAACTTCTTTGGGATGTTTGCATTCAAGTCACAGAGTAGAACATTCCCTTTGGTAGAGCAGGTTTGAAACACTCTTTTTGTAGTATCTGGAACTGGACATTTGGAGCGCTTTCAGGCCCATGTTGGAAAGGGAAATATCTTCCCGTAACAACTAGGCAGAAGCATTCTCAGAAACTTATTTGAGATGTGTGGACTCAACTAAGAGAATTGAACCACCGTTTTGAAGGAGCAGTTTTGAAACACTCTTTTTCTGGAATCGGCAAGAGTATATTTGCCTAGCCTTGAGGATTTCGTTGGAAACGGGATTGTCTTCAGATAAAATCTAGACAGAAGCATTCTCAGAAACTTCTTTGGGATGTTTGCATTCAAGTCACAGAGTAGAACATTCCCTTTGGTAGAGCAGGTTTGAAACACTCTTTTTTTAGTATATGGAAGTGGACATTTGGAGCGCTTTCAGGCCTACGTTGGAAAAGGAAATATCTTCCCATAACAACTAGACAGAAGCATTCTCAGAAACTAGTTTCTGATGTGTGTCCTCAACTAACACAGTTGAACATTTCTTTAGACAGAACAGTTTTGAAACGCTCTTTTTGTGGAATCTGCAAGTGGATATTTGGCTAGTTTGGAGGATTTCGTTGGAAGCGGGAATTCATACAAATTGCAGACTGCAGCGTTCTGAGAAACATCTTTGTGATGTTTGTATTCAGGACACAGAGTTGAACATTCCCTATCATAGAGCAGGTTTGAATCACTCCTTTTCTAGTATCTGGAAGTGGACATTTGGAGCGCTTTCAGGCCTATGTTGGAAAAGGAAATATCTTCCCATAACAAATAGACAGAAGCATTCTCAGAAACTTATTTGAGATGTGTGTACTCAACTAAGAGAATTGAACCACCGTTTTGAAGGAGCAGTTTTGAAACACTCTTTTTCTGGAATCTGCAAGTGGATATTTGGCTAGCTTTGGGGATTTCGCTGGAGGCGGGAATACATATAAAAAGCACACAGCAGCGTTCTGAGAAACTGCTTTCTGATGTTTGCATTCAAGTCAAAAGTTGAACACTCCCTTTCATAGAGCAGTCCTGAAACACTCCTTTTGTAGTATCTGGAACTGGACTTTTGGAGCGCTTTCAGGGCTAAGGTGAAAAAGGAAATATCTTCCCATAAAAACTGGACAGAAGCATTCTCAGAAACTTGTTTATGCTGTATCTACTCAACTAACAAAGTTGAACCTTTCTTTTGATAGAGCAGTTTTGAAATGCTCTTTTTGTGGAATCTGCAAGTGGATATTTGGCTAGTTTTGAGGATTTCGCTGGAAGCGGGAATTCATACAAATTGCAGACTGCAGCGTTCTGAGAAACATCTTTGTGATGTTTGTATTCAGGACAGAGAGTTGAACATTCCCTATCATAGAGCAGGTTGGAATCACTCCTTTTGTAGTATCTGGAAGTGGACATTTGGAGCGCTTTCTGGCCTATGTTGAAAAAGGAAATATCTTCCCATAACAACTAGACACAAGCATTCTCAGAAACTTGTTTGTGATGTGTGCCCTCTACTGACAGAGTTGAACCTTTCTTTTCATAGAGCAGTTTTGAAATGCTCTTTTTGTGGAATCTGCAAGTGGATATTTGGCTAGTTTTGAGGATTTCGTTGGAAGCGGGAATTCATACAAATTGCAGACTGCAGCGTTCTGAGAAACATCTTTGTGATGTTTGTATTCAGGACAGAGAGTTGAACATTCCCTATCATAGAGCAGGTTGGAATCACTCCTTTTGTAGTATCTGGAAGTGGACATTTGGAGCGCTTTCAGGCCTATGTTGAAAAAGGAAATATCTTCCCATAACAACTAGACACAAGCATTCTCAGAAACTTGTTTGTGATGTGTGCCCACTACTGACAGAGTTGAACCTTTCTTTTCATAGAGCAGTTTTGAAACACTCTTTTTGTAGAATCTGCAAGAGGATATTTGCATAGCTTTGAGGATTTCGTGGGAAACGGGATTGTCTTCAGGTAAAATCTAGACAGAAGCATTCTCAGAAACTTCTTTGGGATGTTTGCATTCAAGTCACAGAGTAGAACATTCCCTTTGGTAGAGCAGGTTTGAAACACTCTTTTTGTAGTATCTGGAAGTGGACATTTGGAGCGCTTTCAGGCCTATGTTGGAAAGGGAAATATCTTCCCGTAACAACTAGGCAGAAGCATTCTCAGAAACTTATTTGAGATGTGTGTACTCAACTAAGAGAATTGAACCACCGTTTTGAAGGAGCAGTTTTGAAACACTCTTTTTCTGGAATCTGCAAGAGTATATTTGCCTAGCCTTGAGGATTTCGTTGGAAACGGGATTGTCTTCAGATCAAATCTAGACAGAAGCATTCTCAGAAACTTCTTTGGGATGTTTGCATTCAAGTCACAGAGTAGAACATTCCCTTTGGTAGAGCAGGTTTGAAACACTCTTTTTTTAGTATATGGAAGTGGACATTTGGAGCGCTTTCAGGCCTACGTTGGAAAAGGAAATATCTTCCCATAACAACTAGACAGAAGCATTCTCAGAAACTAGTTTCTGATGTGTGTCCTCAACTAACACAGTTGAACATTTCTTTAGACAGAACAGTTTTGAAACACCTCTTTTTGTGGAATCTGCAAGTGGCTATTTGGCTAGATTTGAGGATTTCGTTGGAAACGGGATTACATATAAAAAGCAGTCAGCAGCATTCTCAGAAAGTTCTTTGTGATGATTGCATTCAAGTCACAGAATTGAACATTCCCTTTCACAGAGCAGGTTTGAAACACTCTTTTTGTAGTGTGTGTAAGTGGACATTTGGAGCGCTTTCCGGCCTAAGGTGAAAAAGGACATATCTTCCCATAAAAACTAGACAGAAGCATTCTCAGAAACTTACTCGTGATGTGTGTCCTCAACTAAAGGAGTAGAACCTTTCTATTCATAGAGAAGTTTTGAAACGCTCTTTTTGTGAAATCTCCAAGTGGATATTTGGCTAGTTTTGAGGATTTCGTTGGAAGCGGGAATTCATACAAATTGCAGACTGCAGCGTTCTGAGAAACATCTTTGTGATGTTTGTATTCGGGACACAGAGATGAACATTCCCTATCATAGAGCAGGTTGGAATCACTCCTTTTGTAGTATCTGGAAGTGGACATTTGGAGCGCTTTCAGGCCTATGTTGAAAAAGGAAATATCTTCCCATAACAACTAGACACAAGCATTCTCAGAAACTTGTTTGTGATGTGTGCCCTCTACTGACAGAGTTGAACCTTTCTTTTCATAGAGCAGTTTTGAAACACTCTTTTTGTAGAATCCACAAGAGGATATTTGCATCGCTTTGGGGATTTAGTGGGAAACGGGATTGTCTTCAGGTAAAATCTAGACAGAAGCATTCTCAGAAACTTCTTTGGGATGTTTGCATTCAAGTCACAGAGTAGAACATTCCCTTTGGTAGAGCAGGTTTGAAACACTCTTTTTGTAGTATCTGGAAGTGGACATTTGGAGCGCTTTCAGGCCCATGTTGGAAAGGGAAATATCTTCCCGTAACAACTAGGCAGAAGCATTCTCAGAAACTTATTTGAGATGTGTGTACTCAACTAAGAGAATTGAACCACCGTTTTGAAGGAGCAGTTTTGAAACACTCTTTTTCTGGAATCTGCAAGAGTATATTTGCCTAGCCTTGAGGATTTCGTTGGAAACGGGATTGTCTTCAGAGAAAATCTAGACAGAAGCATTCTCAGAAACTTCTTTGGGATGCTTGCATTCAAGTCACAGAGTAGAACATTCCCTTTGGTAGAGCAGGTTTGAAACACTCTTTTTGTAGTATCTGGAAGTGGACATTTGGAGCGCTTTCAGGCCTACGTTGGAAAAGGAAATATCTTCCCATAACAACTAGACAGAAGCATTCTCAGAAACTAGTTTCTGATGTGTGTCCTCAACTAACACAGTTGAACATTTCTTTAGACAGAACAGTTTTGAAACACTCTTTTTGTGGAATCTGCAAGTGGCTATTTGGCTAGATTTGAGGATTTCGTTGGAAACGGGATTACATATAAAAAGCAGTCAGCGGCATTCTCAGAAAGTTCTTTGTGATGATTGCATTCAAGTCACAGAATTGAACATTCCCTTTCACAGAGCAGGTTTGAAACACTCTTTTTGTAGTGTGTGTAAGTGGACATTTGGAGCACTTACCGGCCTAAGGTGAAAAAGGAAATATCTTCCCATAAAAACTAGACAGAAGCATTCTCAGAAACTTACTCGTGATGTGTGTCCTCAACTAAAGGGGTAGAACCTTTCTTTTCATAGAGAAGTTTTGAAACGCTCTTTTTGTGGAATCTGCAAGTGGATATTTGGCTAGTTTTGAGGATTTCGTTGGAAGCGGGAATTCATACAAATTGCAGACTGCAGCGTTCTGAGAAACATCTTTGTGATGTTTGTATTCAGGACACAGAGTTGAACATTCCCTATCATAGAGCAGGTTTGAATCACTCCTTTTGTAGTATCTGGAAGTGGACATTTGGAGCGCTTTCAGGCCTATGTTGGAAAAGGAAATATCTTCCCATAACAACTAGACAGAAGCATTCTCAGAAACTTATTTGAGATGTGTGTACTCAACTAAGAGAATTGAACCACCGTTTTGAAGGAGCAGTTTTGAAACTCTCTTTTTCTGGAATCTGCAAGTGGATATTTGGCTAGCTTTGGGGATTTCGCTGGAAGCGGGAATACATATAAAAAGCACACAGCAGCGTTCTGAGAAACTGCTTTCTGATGTTTGCATTCAAGTCAAAAGTTGAACACTCCCTTTCATAGAGCAGTCTTGAAACACCCCTTTTGTAGTATCTGGAACTGGACTTTTGGAGCGATTTCAGGGCTAAGGTGAAAAAGGAAATATCTTCCCATAAAAACTGGACAGAAGCATTCTCAGAAACTTGTTTATGCTGTATCTACTCAACTAACAAAGTTGAACCTTTCTTTTGATAGAGCAGTTTTGAAATGGTCTTTTTGTGGAATCTGCAAGTGGATATTTGGCTAGTTTTGAGGATTTCGTTGGAAGCGGGAATTCATACAAATTGCAGACTGCAGCGTTCTGAGAAACATCTTTGTGATGTTTGTATTCAGGACACAGAGTTGAACATTCCCTATCATAGAGCAGGTTGGAATCACTCCTTTTGTAGTATCTGGAAGTGGACATTTGGAGCGCTTTCAGGCCTATTTTGGAAAGGGAAATATCTTCCCGTAACAACTATGCAGAAGCATTCTCAGAAACTTGTTTGTGATGTGTGCCCTCTACTGACAGAGTTGAACCTTTCTTTTCATAGAGCAGTTTTGAAACACTCTTTTTGTAGAATCTGCAAGAGGATATTTGCATAGCTTTGAGGATTTCGTGGGAAACGGGATTGTCTTCAGGTAAAATCTAGACAGAAGCATTCTCAGAAACTTCTTTGGGATGTTTGCATTCAAGTCACAGAGTAGAACATTTCCTTTGGTAGAGCAGGTTTGAAACACTCTTTTTGTAGTATCTGGAAGTGGACATTTGGAGCGCTTTCAGGCCCATGTTGGAAAGGGAAATATCTTCCCGTAACAACTAGGCAGAAGCATTCTCAGAAACTTATTTGAGATGTGTGTACTCAACTAAGAGAATTGAACCACCGTTTTGAAGGAGCAGTTTTGAAACACTCTTTTTCTGGAATCTGCAAGAGGATATTTGCCTAGCTTTGAGGATTTCGTTGGAAACGGGATTGTGTTCAGATCAAATCTAGACAGAAGCATTCTCAGAAACTTCTTTTGGATGTTTGCATTCAAGTCACAGAGTAGAACATTCCCTTTGGTAGAGCAGGTGTGAAACACTCTTTTTTTAGTATATGGAAGTGGACATTTGGAGCGCTTTCAGGCCTACGTTGGAAAAGGAAATATCTTCCCATAACAACTAGACAGAAGCATTCTCAGAAACTAGTTTCTGATGTGTGTCCTCAACTAACACAGTTGAACATTTCTTTAGACAGAACAGTTTTGAAACTCTCTTTTTGTGGAATCTGCAAGTGGCTATTTGGCTAGATTTGAGGATTTCGTTGGAAACGGGATTACATATAAAAAGCAGACAGCATCATTCTCAGAAAGTTCTTTGTGATGATTGCATTCAAGTCACAGAATTGAACATTCCCTTTCACAGAGCAGGTTTGAAACACTCTTTTTGTAGTGTGTGTAAGTGGACATTTGGAGCACTTTCCGGCCTAAGGTGAGAAAGGAAATATCTTCCCATAAAAACTAGACAGAAGCATTCTCAGAAACTTACTCGTGATGTGTGTCCTCAACTAAAGGAGTAGAACCTTTCTTTCATAGAGAAGTTTTGAAACGCTCTTTTTGTGGAATCTGCAAGTGGATATTTGGCTAGTTTGGAGGATTTCGTTGGAAGCGGGAATTCATACAAATTGCAGACTGCAGCGTTCTGAGAAACATCTTTGTGATGTTTGTATTCAGGACACAGAGTTGAACATTCCCTATCATAGAGCAGGTTGGAATCACTCCTTTTGTAGTATCTGGAAGTGGACATTTGGAGCGCTTTCAGGCCTATGTTGGAAAAGGAAATATCTTCCCATAACAACTAGACAGAAGCATTCTCAGAAACTAGTTTCTGATGTGTGTCCTCAACTAACACAGTTGAACATTTCTTTAGACAGAACAGTTTTGAAACACTCTTTTTGTGGAATCTGCAAGTGGCTATTTGGCTAGATTTGAGGATTTCGTTGGAAACGGGATTACATATAAAAAGCAGTCAGCAGCATTCTCAGAAAGTTCTTTGTGATGATTGCATTCAAGTCACAGAATTGAACATTCCCTTTCACAGAGCAGGTTTGAAACACTCTTTTTGTAGTGTGTGTAAGTGGACATTTGGAGCGCTTTCCGGCCTAAGGTGAAAAAGGACATATCTTCCCATAAAAACTAGACAGAAGCATTCTCAGAAACTTACTCGTGATGTGTGTCCTCAACTAAAGGAGTAGAACCTTTCTTTCATAGAGAAGTTTTGAAACGCTCTTTTTGTGGAATCTGCAAGTGGATATTTGGCTAGTTTGGAGGATTTCGTTGGAAGCGGGAATTCATACAAATTGCAGACTGCAGCGTTCTGAGAAACATCTTTGTGATGTTTGTATTCAGGACACAGAGTTGAACATTCCCTATCATAGAGCAGGTTGGAATCACTCCTTTTGTAGTATCTGGAAGTGGACATTTGGAGCGCTTTCAGGCCTATGTTGGAAAAGGAAATATCTTCCCATAACAACTAGACAGAAGCATTCTCAGAAACTTATTTGAGATGTGTGTACTCAACTAAGAGAATTGAACCACCGTTTTGAAGGAGCAGTTTTGAAACACTCTTTTTCTGGAATCTGCAAGTGGATATTTGGCTAGCTTTGGGGATTTCGCTGGAAGCGGGAATACATATAAAAAGCACACAGCATGCGTTCTGAGAAACTGCTTTCTGATGTTTGCATTCAAGTCAAAAGTTGAACACTCCCTTTCATAGAGCAGTCTTGAAACACCCCTTTTGTAGTATCTGGAACTGGACTTTTGGAGCGATTTCAGGGCTAAGGTGAAAAAGGAAATATCTTCCCATAAAAACTGGACAGAAGCATTCTCAGAAACTTGTTTATGCTGTATCTACTCAACTAACAAAGTTGAACCTTTCTTTTGATAGAGCAGTTTTGAAATGGTCTTTTTGTGGAATCTGCAAGTGGATATTTGGCTAGTTTTGAGGATTTCGTTGGAAGCGGGAATTCATACAAATTGCAGACTGCAGCGTTCTGAGAAACATCTTTGTGATGTTTGTATTCAGGACACAGAGTTGAACATTCCCTATCATAGAGCAGGTTGGAATCACTCCTTTTGTAGTATCTGGAAGTGGACATTTGGAGCGCTTTCAGGCCTATTTTGGAAAGGGAAATATCTTCCCGTAACAACTATGCAGAAGCATTCTCAGAAACTTGTTTGTGATGTGTGCCCTCTACTGACAGAGTTGAACCTTTCTTTTCATAGAGCAGTTTTGAAACACTCTTTTTGTAGAATCTGCAAGAGGATATTTGCATAGCTTTGAGGATTTCGTGGGAAACGGGATTGTCTTCAGGTAAAATCTAGACAGAAGCATTCTCAGAAACTTCTTTGGGATGTTTGCATTCAAGTCACAGAGTAGAACATTCCCTTTGGTAGAGCAGGTTTGAAACACTCTTTTTGTAGTATCTGGAAGTGGACATTTGGAGCGCTTTCAGGCCCATGTTGGAAAGGGAAATATCTTCCCGTAACAACTAGGCAGAAGCATTCTCAGAAACTTATTTGAGATGTGTGTACTCAACTAAGAGAATTGAACCACCGTTTTGAAGGAGCAGTTTTGAAACACTCTTTTTCTGGAATCTGCAAGAGTATATTTGCCTAGCCTTGAGGATTTCGTTGGAAACGGGATTGTCTTCAGAGAAAATCTAGACAGAAGCATTCTCAGAAACTTCTTTGGGATGCTTGCATTCAAGTCACAGAGTAGAACATTCCCTTTGGTAGAGCAGGTTTGAAACACTCTTTTTGTAGTATCTGGAAGTGGACATTTGGAGCGCTTTCAGGCCTACGTTGGAAAAGGAAATATCTTCCCATAACAACTAGACAGAAGCATTCTCAGAAACTCGTTTCTGATGTGTGTCCTCAACTAACACAGTTGAACATTTCTTTAGACAGAACAGTTTTGAAACACTCTTTTTGTGGAATCTGCAAGTGGCTATTTGGCTAGATTTGAGGATTTCGTTGGAAACGGGATTACATATAAAAAGCAGTCAGCAGCATTCTCAGAAAGTTCTTTGTGATGATTGCATTCAAGTCACAGAATTGAACATTCCCTTTCACAGAGCAGGTTTGAAACACTCTTTTTGTAGTGTGTGTAAGTGGACATTTGGAGCACTTACCGGCCTAAGGTGAAAAAGGAAATATCTTCCCATAAAAACTAGACAGAAGCATTCTCAGAAACTTACTCGTGATGTGTGTCCTCAACTAAAGGAGTAGAACCTTTCTTTTCATAGAGAAGTTTTGAAACGCTCTTTTTGTGGAATCTGCAAGTGGATATTTGGCTAGTTTTGAGGATTTCGTTGGAAGCGGGAATTCATACAAATTGCAGACTGCAGCGTTCTGAGAAACATCTTTGTGATGTTTGTATTCAGGACACAGAGTTGAACATTCCCTATCATAGAGCAGGTTTGAATCACTCCTTTTGTAGTATCTGGAAGTGGACATTTGGAGCGCTTTCAGGCCTATGTTGGAAAAGGAAATATCTTCCCATAACAACTAGACAGAAGCATTCTCAGAAACTTATTTGAGATGTGTGTACTCAACTAAGAGAATTGAACCACCGTTTTGAAGGAGCAGTTTTGAAACTCTCTTTTTCTGGAATCTGCAAGTGGATATTTGGCTAGCTTTGGGGATTTCGCTGGAAGCGGGAATACATATAAAAAGCACACAGCAGCGTTCTGAGAAACTGCTTTCTGATGTTTGCATTCAAGTCAAAAGTTGAACACTCCCTTTCATAGAGCAGTCCTGAAACACCCCTTTGGTAGTATCTGGAACTGGACTTTTGGAGCGATTTCAGGGCTAAGGTGAAAAAGGAAATATCTTCCCATAAAAACTGGACAGAAGCATTCTCAGAAACTTGTTTATGCTGTATCTACTCAACTAACAAAGTTGAACCTTTCTTTTGATAGAGCAGTTTTGAAATGGTCTTTTTGTGGAATCTGCAAGTGGATATTTGGCTAGTTTTGAGGATTTCGTTGGAAGCGGGAATTCATACAAATTGCAGACTGCAGCGTTCTGAGAAACATCTTTGTGATGTTTGTATTCAGGACACAGAGTTGAACATTCCCTATCATAGAGCAGGTTGGAATCACTCCTTTTGTAGTATCTGGAAGTGGACATTTGGAGCGCTTTCAGGCCTATTTTGGAAAGGGAAATATCTTCCCGTAACAACTATGCAGAAGCATTCTCAGAAACTTGTTTGTGATGTGTGCCCTCTACTGACAGAGTTGAACCTTTCTTTTCATAGAGCAGTTTTGAAACACTCTTTTTGTAGAATCTGCAAGAGGATATTTGCATAGCTTTGAGGATTTCGTGGGAAACGGGATTGTCTTCAGGTAAAATCTAGACAGAAGCATTCTCAGAAACTTCTTTGGGATGTTTGCATTCAAGTCACAGAGTAGAACATTCCCTTTGGTAGAGCAGGTTTGAAACACTCTTTTTGTAGTATCTGGAAGTGGACATTTGGAGCGCTTTCAGGCCCATGTTGGAAAGGGAAATATCTTCCCGTAACAACTAGGCAGAAGCATTCTCAGAAACTTATTTGAGATGTGTGTACTCAACTAAGAGAATTGAACCACCGTTTTGAAGGAGCAGTTTTGAAACACTCTTTTTCTGGAATCTGCAAGAGTATATTTGCCTAGCCTTGAGGATTTCGTTGGAAACGGGATTGTCTTCAGAGAAAATCTAGACAGAAGCATTCTCAGAAACTTCTTTGGGATGTTTGCATTCAAGTCACAGAGTAGAACATTCCCTTTGGTAGAGCAGGTTTGAAACACTCTTTTTTTAGTATATGGAAGGACATTTGGAGCGCTTTCAGGCCTACGTTGGAAAAGGAAATATCTTCCCATAACAACTAGACAGAAGCATTCTCAGAAACTATTTTCTGATGTGTGTCCTCAACTAACACAGTTGAACTTTTCTTTAGACAGAACAGTTTTGAAACACTCTTTTTGTGGAATCTGCAAGTGGATATTGGGCTAGATTTGAGGATTTCGTTGGAAACGGGATTACATATAAAAAGCAGACAGCAGCATTCTCAGAAACTTCTTTGTGATGATTGCATTCAAGTCACAGAATTGAACATTCCCTTTCACAGAGCAGGTTTGAAACACTCTTTTTGTAGTGTGTGTATTTGGACATTTGGAGCGCTTTCCGGCCTAAGGTGAAAAAGGACATATCTTCCCATAAAAACTAGACAGAAGCATTCTCAGAAACTTACTCGTGATGTGTGTCCTCAACTAAAGGAGTAGAACCTTTCTATTCATAGAGAAGTTTTGAAACGCTCTTTTTGTGGAATCTCCAAGTGGATATTTGGCTAGTTTTGAGGATTTCGTTGGAAGCGGGAATTCATCCAAATTGCAGACTGCAGCGTTCTGAGAAACATCTTTGTGATGTTTGTATTCAAGACACAGAGATGAACATTCCCTATCATAGAGCATGTTGGAATCACTCCTTTTGTAGTATCTGGAAGTGGACATTTGGAGCGCTTTCAGGCCTATGTTGAAAAAGGAAATATCTTCCCATAACAACTAGACACAAGCATTCTCAGAAACTTGTTTGTGATGTGTGCCCTCTACTGACAGAGTTGAACCTTTCTTTTCATAGAGCAGTTTTGAAACACTCTTTTTGTAGAATCCGCAAGAGGATATTTGCATAGCTTTGAGGATTTCGTGGGAAACGGGATTGTCTTCAGGTAAAATCTAGACAGAAGCATTCTCAGAAACTTCTTTGGGATGTTTGCATTCAAGTCACAGAGTAGAACATTCCCTTTGGTAGAGCAGGTTTGAAACACTCTTTTTGTAGTATCTGGAAGTGGACATTTGGAGCGCTTTCAGGCCCATGTTGGAAAGGGAAATATCTTCCCGTAACAACTAGGCAGAAGCATTCTCAGAAACTTATTTGAGATGTGTGTACTCAACTAAGAGAATTGAACCACCGTTTTGAAGGAGCAGTTTTGAAACACTCTTTTTCTGGAATCTGCAAGAGTATATTTTCCTAGCCTTGAGGATTTCGTTGGAAACGGGATTGTCTTCAGATAAAATCTAGACAGAAGCATTCTCAGAAACTTCTTTGGGATGTTTGCATTCAAGTCACAGAGTAGAACATTCCCTTTGGTAGAGCAGGTTTGAAACACTCTTTTTTTAGTATATGGAAGTGGACATTTGGAGCGCTTTCAGGCCTACGTTGGAAAAGGAAGTATCTTCCCATAACAACTAGACAGAAGCATTCTCAGAAACTAGTTTCTGATGTGTGTCCTCAACTAACACAGTTGAACTTTTCTTTAGACAGAACAGTTTTGAAACACTCTTTTTGTGGAATCTGCAAGTGGATACTGGGCTAGATTTGAGGATTTCGTTGGAAACGGGATCACATATAAAAAGCAGTCAGCAGCATTCTCAGAAAGTTCTTTGTGATGATTGCATTCAAGTCACAGAATTGAACATTCCCTTTCACAGAGCAGGTTTGAAACACTCTTTTTGTAGTGTGTGTAAGTGGACATTTGGAGCGCTTTCCGGCCTAAGGTGAAAAAGGACATATCTTCCCATAAAAACTAGACAGAAGCATTCTCAGAAACTTACTCGTGATGTGTGTCCTCAACTAAAGGAGTAGAACCTTTCTATTCATAGAGAAGTTTTGAAACGCTCTTTTTGTGGAATCTCCAAGTGGATATTTGGCTAGTGTTGAGGATTTCGTTGGAAGCGGGAATTCATACAAATTGCAGACTGCAGCGTTCTGAGAAACATCTTTGTGATGTTTGTATTCAGGACACAGAGATGAACATTCCCTATCATAGAGCAGGTTGGAATCACTCCTTTTGTAGTATCTGGAAGTGGACATTTGGAGCGCTTTCAGGCCTATGTTGAAAAAGGAAATATCTTCCCATAACAACTAGACACAAGCATTCTCAGAAACTTGTTTGTGATGTGTGCCCTCTACTGACAGAGTTGAACCTTTCTTTTCATAGAGCAGTTTTGAAACACTCTTTTATAGAATCCGCAAGAGGATATTTGGATAGCTTTGAGGATTTCGTGGGAAACGGGATTGTCTTCAGGTAAAATCTAGACAGAAGCATTCTCAGAAACTTCTTTGGGATGTTTGCATTCAAGTCACAGAGTAGAACATTCCCTTTGGTAGAGCAGGTTTGAAACACTCTTTTTGTAGTATCTGGAAGTGGACATTTGGAGCGCTTTCAGGCCCATGTTGGAAAGGGAAATATCTTCCCGTAACAACTAGGCAGAAGCATTCTCAGAAACTTATTTGAGATGTGTGTACTCAACTAAGAGAATTGAACCACCGTTTTGAAGGAGCAGTTTTGAAACCCTCTTTTTCTGGAATCTGCAAGAGTATATTTGCCTAGCCTTGAGGATTTCGTTGGAAACGGGATTGTCTTCAGATAAAATCTAGACAGAAGCATTCTCAGAAACTTCTTTGGGATGTTTGCATTCAAGTCACTGAGTAGAACATTCCCTTTGGTAGAGCAGGTTTGAAACACTCTTTTTTTAGTATATGGAAGTGGACATTTGGAGCGCTTTCAGGCCTACGTTGTAAAAGGAAATATCTTCCCATAACAACTAGACAGAAGCATTCTCAGAAACTAGTTTCTGATGTGTGTCCTCAACTAACACAGTTGTACATTTCTTTATACAGAACAGTTTTGAAACACTCTTTTTGTGGAATCTGCAAGTGGATATTGGGCTAGATTTGAGGATTTCGTTGGAAACGGGATTACATATAAAAAGCAGACAGCAGCATTCTCAGAAAGTTCTTTGTGATGATTGCATTCAAGTCACAGAATTGAACATTCCCTTTCACAGAGCAGGTTTGAAACACTCTTTTTGTAGTGTGTGTAAGTGGACATTTGGAGCGCTTTCCGGCCTAAGGTGAAAAAGGAAATATCTTCCCATAAAAACTAGACAGAAGCATTCTCAGAAACTTACTCGTGATGTGTGTCCTCAACTAAAGGAGTAGAACCTTTCTATTCATAGAGAAGTTTTGAAACGCTCTTTTTGTGGAATCTCCAAGTGGATATTTGGCTAGTTTTGAGGATTTCGTTGGAAGCGGGAATTCATACAAATTGCAGACTGCAGCGTTCTGAGAAACATCTTTGTGATGTTTGTATTCAGGACACAGAGATGAACATTCCCTATCATAGAGCAGGTTGGAATCACTCCTTTTGTAGTATCTGGAAGTGGACATTTGGAGCGCTTTCAGGCCTATGTTGAAAAAGGAAATATCTTCCCATAACAACTAGACACAAGCATTCTCAGAAACTTGTTTGTGATGTGTGCCCTCTACTGACAGAGTTGAACCTTTCTTTTCATAGAGCAGTTTTGAAACACTCTTTTTGTAGAATCTGCAAGAGGATATTTGCATAGCTTTGAGGATTTCGTGGGAAACGGGATTGTCTTCAGGTAAAATCTAGACAGAAGCATTCTCAGAAACTTCTTTGGGATGTTTGCATTCAAGTCACAGAGTAGAACATTCCCTTTGGTAGAGCAGGTTTGAAACCCTCTTTTTGTAGTATCTGGAAGTGGACATTTGGAGCGCTTTCAGGCCCATGTTGGAAAGGGAAATATCTTCCCGTAACAACTAGGCAGAAGCATTCTCAGAAACTTATTTGAGATGTGTGTACTCAACTAAGAGAATTTAACCAACGTTTTGAAGGAGCAGTTTTGAAACACTCTTTTTCTGGAATCTGCAAGAGTATATTTGCCTAGCCTTGAGAATTTCGTTGGAAACGGGATTGTCTTCAGATAAAATCTAGACAGAAGCATTCTCAGAAACTTCTTTGGGATGTTTGCATTCAAGTCACAGAGTAGAACATTCCCTTTGGTAGAGCAGGTTTGAAACACTCTTTTTTTAGTATATGGAAGTGGACATTTGGAGCGCTTTCAGGCCTACGTTGGAAAAGGAAATATCTTCCCATAACAACTAGACAGAAGCATTCTCAGAAACTAGTTTCTGATGTGTGTCCTCAACTAACACAGTTGAACTTTTCTTTAGACAGAACAGTTTTGAAACACTCTTTTTGTGGAATCTGCAAGTGGATATTTGGCTAGATTTGAGGATTTCGTTGGAAACGGGATTACATATAAAAAGCAGACAGCAGCATTCTCAGAAAGTTCTTTGTGATGATTGCATTCAAGTCACAGAATTGAACATTCCCTTTCACAGAGCAGGTTTGAAACACTCTTTTTGTAGTGTGTGTAAGTGGACATTTGGAGCGCTTTCCGGCCTAAGGTGAAAAAGGAAATATCTTCCCATAAAAACTAGACAGAAGCATTCTCAGAAACTTACTCGTGATGTGTGTCCTCAACTAAAGGAGTAGAACCTTTCTATTCATAGAGAAGTTTTGAAACGCTCTTTTTGTGGAATCTCCAAGTGGATATTTGGCTAGTTTTGAGGATTTCGTTGGAAGCGGGAATTCATACAAATTGCAGACTGCAGCGTTCTGAGAAACATCTTTGTGATGTTTGTATTCAGGACACAGAGATGAACATTACCTATCATAGAGCATGTTGGAATCACTCCTTTTGTAGTATCTGGAAGTGGACATTTGGAGCGCTTTCAGGCCTATGTTGAAAAAGGAAATATCTTCCCATAACAACTAGACACAAGCATTCTCAGAAACTTGTTTGTGATGTGTGCCCTCTGCTGACAGAGTTGAACCTTTCTTTTCATAGAGCAGTTTTGAAACACTCTTTTTGTAGAATCTGCAAGAGGATATTTGCATAGCTTTGAGGATTTCGTGGGAAACGGGATTGTCTTCAGGTAAAATCTAGACAGAAGCATTCTCAGAAACTTCTTTGGGATGTTTGCATTCAAGTCACAGAGTAGAACATTCCCTTTGGTAGAGCAGGTTTGAAACCCTCTTTTTGTAGTATCTGGAAGTGGACATTTGGAGCGCTTTCAGGCCCATGTTGGAAAGGGAAATATCTTCCCGTAACAACTAGGCAGAAGAATTCTCAGAAACTTATTTGAGATGTGTGTACTCAACTAAGAGAATTGAACCACCGTTTTGAAGGAGCAGTTTTGAAACACTCTTTTTCTGGAAACTGCAAGAGTATATTTGCCTAGCCTTGAAGATTTCGTTGGAAACGGGATTGTCTTCAGATAAAATCTAGACAGAAGCATTCTCAGAAACTTCTTTGGGATGTTTGCATTCAAGTCACAGAGTAGAACATTCCCTTTGGTAGAGCAGGTTTGAAACACTCTTTTTTTAGTATATGGAAGTGGACATTTGGAGCGCTTTCAGGCCTACGTTGGAAAAGGAAATATCTTCCCATAACAACTAGACAGAAGCATTCTCAGAAACTAGTTTCTGATGTGTGTCCTCAACTAACACAGTTGAACATTTCTTTAGACAGAACAGTTTTGAAACTCTCTTTTTGTGGAATCTGCAAGTGGCTATTTGGCTAGATTTGAGGATTTCGTTGGAAACGGGATTACATATAAAAAGCAGACAGCAGCATTCTCAGAAAGTTCTTTGTGATGATTGCATTCAAGTCACAGAGTTGAACATTCCCTTTCACAGAGCAGGTTTGAAACACTCTTTTTATAGTGTGTGTAAGTGGACATTTGGAGCACTTTCCGGCCTAAGGTGAAAAAGGAAATATCTTCCCATAAAAACTAGACAGAAGCATTCTCAGAAACTTACTCGTGATGTGTGTCCTCAACTAAAGGAGTAGAACCTTTGTTTTCATAGAGAAGTTTTGAAACGCTCTTTTTGTGGAATCTGCAAGTGGATATTTGGCTAGTTTGGAGGATTTCGTTGGAAGCGGGAATTCATACAAATTGCAGACTGCAGCGTTCTGAGAAACATCTTTGTGATGTTTGTATTCAGGACACAGAGTTGAACATTCCCTATCATAGAGCAGGTTTGAATCACTCCTTTTGTAGTATCTGGAAGTGGACATTTGGAGCGCTTTCAGGCCTATGTTGGAAAAGGAAATATCTTCCCATAACAACTAGACAGAAGCATTCTCAGAAACTTATTTGAGATGTGTGTACTCAACTAAGAGAATTGAACCACCGTTTTGAAGGAGCAGTTTTGAAACACTCTTTTTCTGGAATCTGCAAGTGGATATTTGGCTAGATTTGGGGATTTCGCTGGAAGCGGGAATACATATAAAAAGCACACAGCAGCGTTCTGAGAAACTGCTTTCTGATGTTTGCATTCAAGTCAAAAGTTGAACACTCCCTTTCATAGAGCAGTCCTGAAACACCCCTTTTGTAGTATCTGGAACTGGACTTTTGGAGCGCTTTCAGGGCTAAGGTGAAAAAGGAAATATCTTCCCATAAAAACTGGACAGAAGCATTCTCAGAAACTTGTTTATGCTGTATCTACTCAACTAACAAAGTTGAACCTTTCTTTTGATAGAGCAGTTTTGAAATGCTCTTTTTGTGGAATCTGCAAGTGGATATTTGGCTAGTTTTGAGGATTTCGCTGGAAGCGGGAATTCATACAAATTGCAGACTGCAGCGTTCTGAGAAACATCTTTGTGATGTTTGTATTCAGGACAGAGAGTTGAACATTCCCTATCATAGAGCAGGTTGGAATCACTCCTTTTGTAGTATCTGGAAGTGGACATTTGGAGCGCTTTCAGGCCTATGTTGAAAAAGGAAATATCTTCCCATAACAACTAGACACAAGCATTCTCAGAAACTTGTTTGTGATGTGTGCCCTCTAGTGACAGAGTTGAACCTTTCTTTTCATAGAGCAGTTTTGAAACACTCTTTTTGTAGAATCTGCAAGAGGATATTTGAATAGCTTTGAGGATTTCGTGGGAAACGGGATTGTCTTCAGGTAAAATCTAGACAGAAGCATTCTCAGAAACTTCTTTGGGATGTTTGCATTCAAGTCACAGAGCAGAACATTCCCTTTGGTAGAGCAGGTTTGAAACACTCTTTTTGTAGTATCTGGAAGTGGACATTTGGAGTGCTTTCAGGCCTATGTTGGAAAGGGAAATATCTTCCCGTAACAACTACGCAGAAGCATTCTCAGAAACTTATTTGAGATGTGTGTACTCAACTAAGAGAATTGAACCACCGTTTTGAAGGAGCAGTTTTGAAACACTCTTTTTCTGGAATCTGCAAGAGTATATCTTCCTAGCTTTGTGGATTTCGTTGGAAACGGGATTGTCTTCAGATAAAATCTAGACAGAAGCATTCTCAGAAACTTCTTTGGGATGTTTGCATTCAAGTCACAGAGTAGAACATTCCCTTTGGTAGAGCAGGTTTGAAACACTCTTTTTTTAGTATATGGAAGTGGACATTTTGATCGCTTTCAGGCCTACGTTGGAAAAGGAAATATCTTCCCATAACAACTAGACAGAAGCATTCTCAGAAACTAGTTTCTGATGTGTGTCCTCAACTAACACAGTTGAACATTTCTTTAGACAGAACAGTTTTGAAACACTCTTTTTGTGGAATCTGCAAGTGGCTATTTGGCTAGATTTGAGGATTTCGTTGGAAACGGGATTACATATAAAAAGCAGTCAGCAGCATTCTCAGAAAGTTCTTTGTGATGATTGCATTCAAGTCACAGAATTGAACACTCCCTTTCACAGAGCAGGTTTGAAACACTCTTTTTGTAGTGTGTGTAAGTGGACATTTGGAGCGCTTTCCGGCCTAAGGTGAAAAAGGAAATATCTTCCCATAAAAACTAGACAGAAGCATTCTCAGAAACTTACTCGTGATGTGTGTCCTCAACTAAAGGAGTAGAACCTTTCTTTTCATAGAGAAGTTTTGAAACGCTCTTTTTGTGGAATCTGCAAGTGGATATTTGGCTAGTTTTGAGGATTTCGTTGGAAGCGGGAATTCATACAAATTGCAGACTGCAGCGTTCTGAGAATCATCTTTGTGATGTTTGTATTCAGGACACAGAGTTGAACATTCCCTATCATAGAGCAGGTTTGAATCACTCCTTTTGTAATATCTGGAAGTGGACATTTGGAGCGCTTTCAGGCCTATGTTGGAAAAGGAAATATCTTCCCATAACAACTAGACAGAAGCATTCTCAGAAACTTATTTGAGATGTGTGTACTCAACTAAGAGAATTGAACCACCGTTTTGAAGGAGCAGTTTTGAAACACTCTTTTTCTGGAATCTGCAAGTGGATATTTGGCTAGCTTTGGGGATTTCGCTGGAAGCGGGAATACATATAAAAAGCACACAGCAGCGTTCTGAGAAACTGCTTTCTGATGTTTGCATTCAAGTCAAAAGTTGAACACTCCCTTTCATAGAGCAGTCTTGAAACACCCCTTTTGTAGTATCTGGAACTGGACTTTTGGAGCGATTTCAGGGCTAAGGTGAAAAAGGAAATATCTTCCCATAAAAACTGGACAGAAGCATTCTCAGAAACTTGGTTATGCTGTATCTACTCAACTAACAAAGTTGAACCTTTCTTTTGATAGAGCAGTTTTGAAATGGTCTTTTTGTGGAATCTGCAAGTGGATATTTGGCTAGTTTTGAGGATTTCGTTGGAAGCGGGAATTCATACAAATTGCAGACTGCAGCGTTCTGAGAAACATCTTTGTGATGTTTGTATTCAGGACACAGAGTTGAACATTCCCTATCATAGAGCAGGTTGGAATCACTCCTTTTGTAGTATCTGGAAGTGGACATTTGGAGCGCTTTCAGGCCTATTTTGGAAAGGGAAATATCTTCCCGTAACAACTATGCAGAAGCATTCTCAGAAACTTGTTTGTGATGTGTGCCCTCTACTGACAGAGTTGAACCTTTCTTTTCATAGAGCAGTTTTGAAACACTCTTTTTGTAGAATCTGCAAGAGGATATTTGCATAGCTTTGAGGATTTCGTGGGAAACGGGATTGTCTTCAGGTAAAATCTAGACAGAAGCATTCTCAGAAACTTCTTTGGGATGTTTGCATTCAAGTCACAGAGTAGAACATTCCCTTTGGTAGAGCAGGTTTGAAACACTCTTTTTGTAGTATCTGGAAGTGGACATTTGGAGCGCTTTCAGGCCTATGTTGGAAAGGGAAATATCTTCCGGTAACAACTAGGCAGAAACATTCTCAGAAACTTATTTGAGATGTGTGTACTCAACTAAGAGAATTGAACCACCGTTTTGAAGGAGCAGTTTTGAAACACTCTTTTTCTGGAATCTGCAAGAGGATATTTGCCTAGCTTTGAGGATTTCGTTGGAAACGGGATTGTGTTCAGATCAAATCTAGACAGAAGCATTCTCAGAAACTTCTTTGGGATGTTTGCATTCAAGTCACAGAGTAGAACATTCCCTTTGGTAGAGCAGGTGTGAAACACTCTTTTTTTAGTATATGGAAGTGGACATTTGGAGCGCTTTCAGGCCTACGTTGGAAAAGGAAATATCTTCCCATAACAACTAGACAGAAGCATTCTCAGAAACTAGTTTCTGATGTGTGTCCTCAACTAACACAGTTGAACATTTCTTTAGACAGAACAGTTTTGAAACTCTCTTTTTGTGGAATCTGCAAGTGGCTATTTGGCTAGATTTGAGGATTTCGTTGGAAACGGGATTACATATAAAAAGCAGACAGCAGCATTCTCAGAAAGTTCTTTGTGATGATTGCATTCAAGTCACAGAATTGAACATTCCCTTTCACAGAGCAGGTTTGAAACACTCTTTTTGTAGTGTGTGTAAGTGGACATTTGGAGCACTTTCCGGCCTAAGGTGAAAAAGGAAATATCTTCCCATAAAAACTAGACAGAAGCATTCTCAGAAACTTACTCGTGATGTGTGTCCTCAACTAAAGGAGTAGAACCTTTGTTTTCATAGAGAAGTTTTGAAACGCTCTTTTTGTGGAATCTGCAAGTGGATATTTGGCTAGTTTGGAGGATTTCGTTGGAAGCGGGAATTCATACAAATTGCAGACTGCAGCGTTCTGAGAAACATCTTTGTGATGTTTGTATTCAGGACACAGAGTTGAACATTCCCTATCATAGAGCAGGTTGGAATCACTCCTTTTGTAGTATCTGGAAGTGGACATTTGGAGCGCTTTCAGGCCTATGTTGGAAAAGGAAATATCTTCCCATAACAACTAGACAGAAGCATTCTCAGAAACTTATTTGAGATGTGTGTACTCAACTAAGAGAATTGAACCACCGTTTTGAAGGAGCAGTTTTGAAACACTCTTTTTCTGGAATCTGCAAGTGGATATTTGGCTAGCTTTGGGGATTTCGCTGGAAGCGGGAATACATATAAAAAGCACACAGCAGCGTTCTGAGAAACTGCTTTCTGATGTTTGCATTCAAGTCAAAAGTTGAACACTCCCTTTCATAGAGCAGTCCTGAAACACTCCTTTTGTAGTATCTGGAACTGGACTTTTGGAGCGCTTTCAGGGCTAAGGTGAAAAAGGAAATATCTTCCCATAAAAACTGGACAGAAGCATTCTCAGAAACTTGTTTATGCTGTATCTACTCAACTAACAAAGTTGAACCTTTCTTTTGATAGAGCAGTTTTGAAATGCTCTTTTTGTGGAATCTGCAAGTGGATATTTGGCTAGTTTTGAGGATTTCGTTGGAAGCGGGAACTCATACAAATTGCAGACTGCAGCGTTCTGAGAAACATCTTTGTGATGTTTGTATTCAGGACACAGAGTTGAACATTCCCTATCATAGAGCAGGTTGGAATCACTCCTTTTGTAGTATCTGGAAGTGGACATTTGGAGCGCTTTCAGGCCTATTTTGGAAAGGGAAATATCTTCCCGTAACAACTATGCAGAAGCATTCTCAGAAACTTGTTTGTGATGTGTGCCCTCTACTGACAGAGTTGAACCTTTCTTTTCATAGAGCAGTTTTGAAACACTCTTTTTGTAGAATCTGCAAGAGGATATTTGCATAGCTTTGAGGATTTCGTGGGAAACGGGATTGTCTTCAGGTAAAATCTAGACAGAAGCATTCTCAGAAACTTCTTTGGGATGTTTGCATTCAAGTCACAGAGTAGAACATTCCCTTTGGTAGAGCAGGTTTGAAACACTCTTTTTGTAGTATCTGGAAGTGGACATTTGGAGCGCTTTCAGGCCCATGTTGGAAAGGGAAATATCTTCCCGTAACAACTAGGCAGAAGCATTCTCAGAAACTTATTTGAGATGTGTGTACTCAACTAAGAGAATTGAACCACCGTTTTGAAGGAGCAGTTTTGAAACACTCTTTTTCTGGAATCTGCAAGAGTATATTTGCCTAGCCTTGAGGATTTCGTTGGAAACGGGATTGTCTTCAGAGAAAATCTAGACAGAAGCATTCTCAGAAACTTCTTTGGGATGTTTGCATTCAAGTCACAGAGTAGAACATTCCCTTTGGTAGAGCAGGTTTGAAACACTCTTTTTTTAGTATATGGAAGTGGACATTTGGATCGCTTTCAGGCCTACGTTGGAAAAGGAAATATCTTCCCATAACAACTAGACAGAAGCATTCTCAGAAACTAGTTTCTGATGTGTGTCCTCAACTAACACAGTTGAACATTTCTTTAGACAGAACAGTTTTGAAACACTCTTTTTGTGGAATCTGCAAGTGGCTATTTGGCTAGATTTGAGGATTTCGTTGGAAACGGGATTACATATAAAAAGCAGTCAGCAGCATTCTCAGAAAGTTCTTTGTGATGATTGCATTCAAGTCACAGAATTGAACATTCCCTTTCACAGAGCAGGTTTGAAACACTCTTTTTGTAGTGTGTGTAAGTGGACATTTGGAGCACTTTCCGGCCTAAGGTGAAAAAGGAAATATCTTCCCATAAAAAGAAGACAGAAGCATTCTCAGAAACTTACTCGTGATGTGTGTCCTCAACTAAAGGAGTAGAACCTTTCTTTTCATAGAGAAGTTTTGAAACGCTCTTTTTGTGGAATCTGCAAGTGGATATTTGGCTAGTTTTGAGGATTTCGTTGGAAGCGGGAATTCATACAAATTGCAGACTGCAGCGTTCTGAGAAACATCTTTGTGATGTTTGTATTCAGGACACAGAGTTGAACATTCCCTATCATAGAGCAGGTTTGAATCACTCCTTTTGTAGTATCTGGAAGTGGACATTTGGAGCGCTTTCAGGCCTATGTTGGAAAAGGAAATATCTTCCCATAACAACTAGACAGAAGCATTCTCAGAAACTTATTTGAGATGTGTGTACTCAACTAAGAGAATTGAACCACCGTTTTGAAGGAGCAGTTTTGAAACTCTCTTTTTCTGGAATCTGCAAGTGGATATTTGGCTAGCTTTGGGGATTTCGCTGGAAGCGGGAATACATATAAAAAGCACACAGCAGCGTTCTGAGAAACTGCTTTCTGATGTTTGCATTCAAGTCAAAAGTTGAACACTCCCTTTCATAGAGCAGTCTTGAAACACCCCTTTTGTAGTATCTGGAACTGGACTTTTGGAGCGATTTCAGGGCTAAGGTGAAAAAGGAAATATCTTCCCATAAAAACTGGACAGAAGCATTCTCAGAAACTTGTTTATGCTGTATCTACTCAACTAACAAAGTTGAACCTTTCTTTTGATAGAGCAGTTTTGAAATGGTCTTTTTGTGGAATCTGCAAGTGGATATTTGGCTAGTTTTGAGGATTTCGTTGGAAGCGGGAATTCATACAAATTGCAGACTGCAGCGTTCTGAGAAACATCTTTGTGATGTTTGTATTCAGGACACAGAGTTGAACATTCCCTATCATAGAGCAGGTTGTAATCACTCCTTTTGTAGTATCTGGAAGTGGACATTTGGAGCGCTTTCAGGCCTATTTTGGAAAGGGAAATATCTTCCCGTAACAACTATGCAAAAGCATTCTCAGAAACTTGTTTGTGATGTGTGCCCTCTACTGACAGAGTTGAACCTTTCTTTTCATAGAGCAGTTTTGAAACACTCTTTTTGTAGAATCTGCAAGAGGATATTTGCATAGCTTTGAGGATTTCGTGGGAAACGGGATTGTCTTCAGGTAAAATCTAGACAGAAGCATTCTCAGAAACTTCTTTGGGATGTTTGCATTCAAGTCACAGAGTAGAACATTCCCTTTGGTAGAGCAGGTTTGAAACACTCTTTTTGTAGTATCTGGAAGTGGACATTTGGAGCGCTTTCAGGCCCATGTTGGAAAGGGAAATATCTTCCCGTAACAACTAGGCAGAAGCATTCTCAGAAACTTATTTGAGATGTGTGTACTCAACTAAGAGAATTGAACCACCGTTTTGAAGGAGCAGTTTTGAAACACTCTTTTTCTGGAATCTGCAAGAGTATATTTGCCTAGCCTTGAGGATTTCGTTGGAAACGGGATTGTCTTCAGAGAAAATCTAGACAGAAGCATTCTCAGAAACTTCTTTGGGATGTTTGCATTCAAGTCACAGAGTAGAACATTCCCTTTGGTAGAGCAGGTTGGAAACACTCTTTTTTTAGTATATGGAAGTGGACATTTGGAGCGCTTTCAGGCCTACGTTGGAAAAGGAAATATCTTCCCATAACAACTAGACAGAAGCATTCTCAGAAACTAGTTTCTGATGTGTGTCCTCAACTAACACAGTTGAACTTTTCTTTAGACAGAACAGTTTTGAAACACTCTTTTTGTGGAATCTGCAAGTGGCTATTTGGCTAGATTTGAGGATTTCGTTGGAAACGGGATTACATATAAAAAGCAGACAGCAGCATTCTCAGAAAGTTCTTTGTGATGACTGCATTCAAGTCACAGAATTGAGCATTCTCTTTCACAGAGGAGGTTTGAAACACTCTTTTTGTAGTGTGTGTAAGTGGACATTTGGAGCGCTTTCCGGCCTAAGGTGAAAAAGGAAATATCTTCCCATAAAAACTAGACAGAAGCATTCTCAGAAACTTACTCGTGATGTGTGTCCTCAACTAAAGGAGTAGAACCTTTCTATTCATAGAGAAGTTTTCAAACGCTCTTTTTGTGGAATCTCCAAGTGGATATTTGGCTAGTTTTGAGGATTTCGTTGGAAGCGGGAATTCATACAAATTGCAGACTGCAGCGTTCTGAGAAACATCTTTGTGATGTTTGTATTCAGGACACAGAGAGGAACATTCCCTATCATAGAGCAGGTTGGAATCACTCCTTTTGTAGTATCTGGAAGTGGACATTTGGAGCGCTTTCAGGCCTATGTTGAAAAAGGAAATATCTTCCCATAACAACTAGACACAAGCATTCTCAGAAACTTGTTTGTGATGTGTGCCCTCTACTGACAGAGTTGAACCTTTCTTTTCATAGAGCAGTTTTGAAACACTCTTTTTGTAGAATCCGCAAGAGGATATTTGCATAGCTTTGAGGATTTCGTGGGAAACGGGATTGTCTTCAGGTAAAATCTAGACAGAAGCATTCTCAGAAACTTCTTTGGGATGTTTGCATTCAAGTCACAGAGTAGAACATTCCCTTTGGTAGAGCAGGTTTGAAACCCTCTTTTTGTAGTATCTGGAAGTGGACATTTGGAGCGCTTTCAAGCCCATGTTGGAAAGGGAAATATCTTCCCGTAACAACTAGGCAGAAGCATTCTCAGAAACTTATTTGAGATGTGTGTACTCAACTAAGAGAATTGAACCACCGTTTTGAAGGAGCAGTTTTGAAACACTCTTTTTCTGGAATCTGCAAGAGTATATTTGCCTAGCCTTGAGGATTTCGTTGGAAACGGGATTGTCTTCAGATAAAATCTAGACAGAAGCATTCTCAGAAACTTCTTTGGGATGTTTGCATTCAAGTCACAGAGTAGAACATTCCCTTTGGTAGAGCAGGTTTGAAACACTCTTTTTTTAGTATATGGAAGTGGACATTTGGAGCGCTTTCAGGCCTACGTTGGAAAAGGAAATATCTTCCCATAACAACTAGACAGAAGCATTCTCAGAAACTAGTTTCTGATGTGTGTCCTCAACTAACACAGTTGAACTTTTCTTTAGACAGAACAGTTTTGAAACACTCTTTTTGTGGAATCTGCAAGTGGATATTGGGCTAGATTTGAGGATTTCGTTGGAAACGGGATTACATATAAAAAGCAGACAGCAGCATTCTGAGAAAGTTCTTTGTGATGATTGCATTCAAGTGACAGAATTGAACATTCCCTTTCACAGAGCAGGTTTGAAACACTCTTTTTGTAGTGTGTGTAAGTGGACATTTGGAGCGCTTTCCGGCCTAAGGTGAAAAAGGACATATCTTCCCATAAAAATTAGACAGAAGCATTCTCAGAAACTTACTCGTGATGTGTGTCCTCAACTAAAGGAGTAGAACCTTTCTTTTCATAGAGAAGTTTTGAAACGCTCTTTTTGTGGAATCTGCAAGTGGATATTTGGCTAGTTTTGAGGATTTCGTTGGAAGCGGGAATTCATACAAATTGCAGACTGCAGCGTTCTGAGAAACATCTTTGTGATGTTTGTATTCAGGACACAGAGTTGAACATTCCCTATCATAGAGCAGGTTGGAATCACTCCTTTTGTAGTATCTGGAAGTGGACATTTGGAGCGCTTTCAGGCCTATGTTGGAAAAGGAAATATCTTCCCATAACAACTAGACAGAAGCATTCTCAGAAACTTATTTGAGATGTGTGTACTCAACTAAGAGAATTGAACCACCGTTTTGAAGGAGCAGTTTTGAAACACTCTTTTTCTGGAATCTGCAAGTGGATATTTGGCTAGCTTTGGGGATTTCGCTGGAAGCGGGAATACATATAAAAAGCACACAGCAGCGTTCTGAGAAACTGCTTTCTGATGTTTGCATTCAAGTCAAAAGTTGAACACTCCCTTTCATAGAGCAGTCTTGAAACACCCCTTTTGTAGTATCTGGAACTGGACTTTTGAAGCGCTTTCAGGGCTAAGGTGAAAAAGGAAATATCTTCCCATAAAAACTGGACAGAAGCATTCTCAGAAACTTGTTTATGCTGTATCTACTCAACTAACAAAGTTGAACCTTTCTTTTGATAGAGCAGTTTTGAAATGGTCTTTTTGTGGAATCTGCAAGTGGATATTTGGCTAGTTTTGAGGATTTCGTTGGAAGCGGGAATTCATACAAATTGCAGACTGCAGCGTTCTGAGAAACATCTTTGTGATGTTTGTATTCAGGACACAGAGTTGAACATTCCCTATCATAGAGCAGGTTGGAATCACTCCTTTTGTAGTATCTGGAAGTGGACATTTGGAGCGCTTTCAGGCCTATTTTGGAAAGGGAAATATCTTCCCGTAACAACTATGCAGAAGCATTCTCAGAAACTTGTTTGTGATGTGTGCCCTCTACTGACAGAGTTGAACCTTTCTTTTCATAGAGCAGTTTTGAAACACTCTTTTTGTAGAATCTGCAAGAGGATATTTGCATAGCTTTGAGGATTTCGTGGGAAACGGGATTGTCTTCAGGTAAAATCTAGACAGAAGCATTCTCAGAAACTTCTTTGGGATGTTTGCATTCAAGTCACAGAGTAGAACATTCCCTTTGGTAGAGCAGGTTTGAAACACTCTTTTTGTAGTATCTGGAAGTGGACATTTGGAGCGCTTTCAGGCCTATGTTGGAAAGGGAAATATCTTCCCGTAACAACTAGGCAGAAGCATTCTCAGAAACTTATTTGAGATGTGTGTACTCAACTAAGAGAATTGAACCACCGTTTTGAAGGAGCAGTTTTGAAACACTCTTTTTCTGGAATCTGCAAGAGGATATTTGCCTAGCCTTGAGGATTTCGTTGGAAACGGGATTGTCTTCAGATCAAATCTAGACAGAAGCATTCTCAGAAACTTCTTTGGGATGTTTGCATTCAAGTCACAGAGTAGAACATTCCCTTTGGTAGAGCAGGTGTGAAACACTCTTTTTTTAGTATATGGAAGTGGACATTTGGAGCGCTTTCAGGCCTACGTTGGAAAAGGAAATATCTTCCCATAACAACTAGACAGAAGCATTCTCAGAAACTAGTTTCTGATGTGTGTCCTCAACTAACACAGTTGAACATTTCTTTAGACAGAACAGTTTTGAAACACTCTTTTTGTGGAATCTGCAAGTGGCTATTTGGCTAGATTTGAGGATTTCGTTGGAAACGGGATTACATATAAAAAGCAGACAGCAGCATTCTCAGAAAGTTCTTTGTGATGATTGCATTCAAGTCAAAGAATTGAACATTCCCTTTCACAGAGCAGGTTCGAAACACTCTTTTTGTAGTGTGTGTAAGTGGACATTTGGAGCACTTTCCGGCCTAAGGTGAGAAAGGAAATATCTTCCCATAAAAACTAGACAGAAGCATTCTCAGAAACTTACTCGTGATGTGTGTCCTCAACTAAAGGAGTAGAACCTTTCTTTCATAGAGAAGTTTTGAAACGCTCTTTTTGTGGAATCTGCAAGTGGATATTTGGCTAGTTTGGAGGATTTCGTTGGAAGCGGGAATTCATACAAATTGCAGACTGCAGCGTTCTGAGAAACATCTTTGTGATGTTTGTATTCAGGACACAGAGTTGAACATTCCCTATCATAGAGCAGGTTGGAATCACTCCTTTTGTAGTATCTGGAAGTGGACATTTGGAGCGCTTTCAGGCCTATGTTGGAAAAGGAAATATCTTCCCATAACAACTAGACAGAAGCATTCTCAGAAACTTATTTGAGATGTGTGTACTCAACTAAGAGAATTGAACCACCGTTTTGAAGGAGCAGTTTTGAAACACTCTTTTTCTGGAATCTGCAAGTGGATATTTGGCTAGCTTTGGGGATTTCGCTGGAGGCGGGAATACATATAAAAAGCACACAGCAGCGTTCTGAGAAACTGCTTTCTGATGTTTGCATTCAAGTCAAAAGTTGAACACTCCCTTTCATAGAGCAGTCCTGAAACACTCCTTTTGTAGTATCTGGAACTGGACTTTTGGAGCGCTTTCAGGGCTAAGGTGAAAAAGGAAATATATTCCCATAAAAACTGGACAGAAGCATTCTCAGAAACTTGTTTATGCTGTATCTACTCAACTAACAAAGTTGAACCTTTCTTTTGATAGAGCAGTTTTGAAATGGTCTTTTTGTGGAATCTGCAAGTGGATATTTGGCTAGTTTTGAGGATTTCGTTGGAAGCGGGAATTCATACAAATTGCAGACTGCAGCGTTCTGAGAAACATCTTTGTGATGTTTGTATTCAGGACACAGAGTTGAACATTCCCTATCATAGAGCAGGTTGGAATCACTCCTTTTGTAGTATCTGGAAGTGGACATTTGGAGCGCTTTCAGGCCTATTTTGGAAAGGGAAATATCTTCCCGTAACAACTATGCAGAAGCATTCTCAGAAACTTGTTTGTGATGTGTGCCCTCTACTGACAGAGTTGAACCTTTCTTTTCATAGAGCACTTTTGAAACACTCTTTTTGTAGAATCTGCAAGAGGATATTTGCATAGCTTTGAGGATTTCGTGGGAAACGGGATTGTCTTCAGGTAAAATCTAGACAGAAGCATTCTCAGAAACTTCTTTGGGATGTTTGCATTCAAGTCACAGAGTAGAACATTCCCTTTGGTAGAGCAGGTTTGAAACACTCTTTTTGTAGTATCTGGAAGTGGACATTTGGAGCGCTTTTCAGGCCTATGTTGGAAAGGGAAATATCTTCCCGTAACAACTAGGCAGAAGCATTCTCAGAAACTTATTTGAGATGTGTGTACTCAACTAAGAGAATTGAACCACCGTTTTGAAGGAGCAGTTTTGAAACACTCTTTTTCTGGAATCTGCAAGGGGATATTTGCCTAGCCTTGAGGATTTCGTTGGAAACGGGATTGTCTTCAGATCAAATCTAGACGGAAGCATTCTCAGAAACTTCTTTGGGATGTTTGTATTCAAGTCACAGAGTAGAACATTCCCTTTGATAGAGCAGGTTTGAAACACTCTTTTTTTAGTATATGGAAATGGACATTTGGAGCGCTTTCAGGCCTACGTTGGAAAAGGAAATATCTTCCCGTAACAACTAGACAGAAGCATTCTCAGAAACTAGTTTCTGATGTGTGTCCTCAACTAACACAGTTGAACTTTTCTTTAGACAGAACAGTTTTGAAACACTCTTTTTGTGGAATCTGCAAGTGGATATTTGGCTAGATTTGAGGATTTCGTTGGAAACGGGATTACATATAAAAAGCAGACAGCAGCATTCTCAGAAAGTTCTTTGTGATGATTGCATTCAAGTCACAGAATTGAACATTCCCTTTCACAGAGCAGGTTTGAAACACTCTTTTTGTAGTGTGTGTAAGTGGACATTTGGAGCGCTTTCCGGCCTAAGGTGAAAAAGGACATATCTTCCCATAAAAACTAGACAGAAGCATTCTCAGAAACTTACTCGTGATGTGTGTCCTCAACTAAAGGAGTAGAACCTTTCTATTCATAGAGAAGTTTTGAAACGCTCTTTTTGTGGAATCTCCAAGTGGATATTTGGCTAGTTTTGAGGATTTCGTTGGAAGCGGGAATTCATACAAATTGCAGACTGCAGCGTTCTGAGAAACATCTTTGTGATGTTTGTATTCAAGACACAGAGATGAACATTCCCTATCATAGAGCATGTTGGAATCACTCCTTTTGTAGTATCTGGAAGTGGACATTTGGAGCGCTTTCAGGCCTATGTTGAAAAAGGAAATATCTTCCCATAACAACTAGACACAAGCATTCTCAGAAACTTGTTTGTGATGTGTGCCCTCTACTGACAGAGTTGAACCTTTCTTTTCATAGAGCAGTTTTGAAACACTCTTTTTGTAGAATCCGCAAGAGGATATTTGCATAGCTTTGAGGATTTCGTGGGAAACGGGATTGTCTTCAGGTAAAATCTAGACAGAAGCATTCTCAGAAACTTCTTTGGGATGTTTGCATTCAAGTCACAGAGTAGAACATTCCCTTTGGTAGAGCAGGTTTGAAACACTCTTTTTGTAGTATCTGGAAGTGGACATTTGGAGCGCTTTCAGGCCCATGTTGGAAAGGGAAATATCTTCCCGTAACAACTAGGCAGAAGCATTCTCAGAAACTTATTTGAGATGTGTGTACTCAACTAAGAGAATTGAACCACCGTTTTGAAGGAGCAGTTTTGAAACACTCTTTTTCTGGAATCTGCAAGAGTATATTTGCCTAGCCTTGAGGATTTCGTTGGAAACGGGATTGTCTTCAGAGAAAATCTAGACAGAAGCATTCTCAGAAACTTCTTTGGGATGCTTGCATTCAAGTCACAGAGTAGAACATTCCCTTTGGTAGAGCAGGTTTGAAACACTCTTTTTGTAGTATCTGGAAGTGGACATTTGGAGCGCTTTCAGGCCTACGTTGGAAAAGGAAATATCTTCCCATAACAACTAGACAGAAGCATTCTCAGAAACTAGTTTCTGATGTGTGTCCTCAACTAACACAGTTGAACATTTCTTTAGACAGAACAGTTTTGAAACACTCTTTTTGTGGAATCTGCAAGTGGCTATTTGGCTAGATTTGAGGATTTCGTTGGAAACGGGATTACATATAAAAAGCAGCCAGCAGCATTCTCAGAAAGTTCTTTGTGATGATTGCATTCAAGTCACAGAATTGAACATTCCCTTTCACAGAGCAGGTTTGAAACACTCTTTTTGTAGTGTGTGTAAGTGGACATTTGGAGCACTTACCGGCCTAAGGTGAAAAAGGAAATAATCTTCCCATAAAAACTAGACAGAAGCATTCTCAGAAACTTACTCGTGATGTGTGTCCTCAACTAAAGGAGTAGAACCTTTCTTTTCATAGAGAAGTTTTGAAACGCTCTTTTTGTGGAATCTGCAAGTGGATATTTGGCTAGTTTTGAGGATTTCGTTGGAAGCGGGAATTCATACAAATTGCAGACTGCAGCGTTCTGAGAAACATCTTTGTGATGTTTGTATTCAGGACACAGAGTTGAACGTTCCCTATCATAGAGCAGGTTTGAATCACTCCTTTTGTAGTATCTGGAAGTGGACATTTGGAGCGCTTTCCGGCCTCAGGTGAAAAAGGAAATATCTTCCCATAAAAACTAGACAGAAGCATTCTCAGAAACTTACTCGTGATGTGTGTCCTCAACTAAAGGGGTAGAACCTTTCTTTTGATAGAGCAGTTTTGAAACACTCTTTTTGTAGAATCTGCAAGTGGATATTTTGATAGCTTTGTGGATTTCGTTGGAAACGGGAATATCTTCATATAAAATCTAGAGAGAAGGGTTCTGAGAAACATCTTTGTGATGTTTGTATTCAGGACACAGAGATGAACATTCCCTATCATAGAGCAGGTTGGAATCACTCCTTTTGTAGTATCTGGAAGTGGACATTTGGAGCGCTTTCAGGCCTATGTTGATAAAGGAAATATCTTCCCATAACAACTAGACACAAGCATTCCCAGAAACTTATTTGAGATGTGTGTACTCAACTAAGAGAATTGAACCACCGTTTTGAAGGAGCAGTTTGGAAACACTCTTTTTCTGGAATCTGCAAGTGGATATTTGGCTAGCTTTGGGGATTTCGCTGGAAGCGGGAATACATATAAAAAGCACACAGCAGCGTTCTGAGAAACTGCTTTCTGATGTTTGCATTCAAGTCAAAAGTTGAACACTCCCTTTCATAGAGCAGTCTTGAAACACCCCTTTTGTAGTATCTGGAACTGGAAATTTGGAGCGCTTTCAGGGCTAAGGTGAAAAAGGAAATATCTTCCCATAAAAACTGGACAGAAGCATTCTCAGAAACTTGTTTATGCTGTATCTACTCAACTAACAAAGTTGAACCTTTCTTTTGATAGAGCAGTTTTGAAATGCTCTTTTTGTGGAATCTGCAAGTGGATATTTGGCTAGTTTGGAGGATTTCGTTGGAAGCGGGAATTCATACAAATTGCAGACTGCAGCGTTCTGAGAAACATCTTTGTGATGTTTGTATTCAGGACAGAGAGTTGAACATTCCCTATCATAGAGCAGGTTGGAATCACTCCTTTTGTAGTATCTGGAAGTGGACATTTGGAGCGCTTTCAGGCCTATGTTGAAAAAGGAAATATCTTCCCATAACAACTAGACACAAGCATTCCCAGAAACTTGTTTGTGATGTGTGCCCTCTACTGACAGATTTGAACCTTTCTTTTCATAGAGCAGTTTTGAAACACTCTTTTTGTAGAATCTGCAAGAGGATATTTGCATAGCTTTGAGGATTTCGTGGGAAACGGGATTGTCTTCAGGTAAAATCTGGACAGAAGCATTCTCAGAAACTTCTTTGGGATGTTTGCATTCAAGTCACAGAGTAGAACATTCCCTTTGGTAGAGCAGGTTTGAAACACTCTTTTTGTAGTATCTGGAAGTGGACATTTGGAGCGCTTTCAGGCCCATGTTGGAAAGGGAAATATCTTCCCGTAACAACTAGGCAGAAGCATTCTCAGAAACTTATTTGAGATGTGTGTACTCAACTAAGAGAATTGAACCACCGTTTTGAAGGAGCAGTTTTGAAACACTCTTTTTCTGGAATCTGCAAGAGTATATTTGCCTAGCCTTGAGGATTTCGTTGGAAACGGGATTGTCTTCAGAGAAAATCTAGACAGAAGCATTCTCAGAAACTTCTTTGGGATGTTTGCATTCAAGTCACAGAGTAGAACATTCCCTTTGGTAGAGCAGGTTTGAAACACTCTTTTTTTAGTATATGGAAGTGGACATTTTGATCGCTTTCAGGCCTATGTTGGAAAAGGAAATATCTTCCCATAACAACTAGACAGAAGCATTCTCAGAAACTAGTTTCTGATGTGTGTCCTCAACTAACACAGTTGAACATTTCTTTAGACAGAACAGTTTTGAAACACTCTTTTTGTGGAATCTGCAAGTGGCTATTTGGCTAGATTTGAGGATTTCGTTGGAAACGGGATTACATATAAAAAGCAGTCAGCAGCATTCTCAGAAAGTTCTTTGTGATGATTGCATTCAAGTCACAGAATTGAACATTCCCTTTCACAGAGCAGGTTTGAAACACTCTTTTTGTAGTGTGTGTAAGTGGACATTTGGAGCACTTACCGGCCTAAGGTGAAAAAGGAAATATCTTCCCATAAAAACTAGACAGAAGCATTCTCAGAAACTTACTCGTGATGTGTGTCCTCAACTAAAGGAGTAGAACCTTTCTTTTCATAGAGAAGTTTTGAAACGCTCTTTTTGTGGAATCTGCAAGTGGATATTTGGCTAGTTTTGAGGATTTCGTTGGAAGCGGGAATTCATACAAATTGCAGACTGCAGCGTTCTGAGAAACTGCTTTCTGATGTTTGCATTCAAGTCAAAAGTTGAACACTCCCTTTCATAGTGCAGTCCTGAAACACTCCTTTTGTAGTATCTGGAACTGGACTTTTGGAGCGCTTCAGGGCTAAGGTGAAAAAGGAAATATCTTCCCATAAAAACTGGACAGAAGCATTCTCAGAAACTTATTTGAGATGTGTGTACTCAACTAAGAGAATTGAACCACCGTTTTGAAGGAGCAGTTTTGAAACACTCTTTTTCTGGAATCTGCAAGTGGATATTTGGCTAGCTTTGGGGATTTCGCTGGAAGCGGGAATACATATAAAAAGCACACAGCAGCGTTCTGAGAAACTGCTTTCTGATGTTTGCATTCAAGTCAAAAGTTGAACACTCCCTTTCATAGAGCAGTCCTGAAACACTCCTTTTGTAGTATCTGGAACTGGACTTTTGGAGCGCTTTCAGGGCTAAGGTGAAAAAGGAAATATCTTCCCATAAAAACTGGACAGAAGCATTCTCAGAAACTTGTTTATGCTGTATCTACTCAACTAACAAAGTTGAACCTTTCTTTTGATAGAGCAGTTTTGAAATGCTCTTTTTGTGGAATCTGCAAGTGGATATTTGGCTAGTTTTGAGGATTTCGTTGGAAGCGGGAATTCATACAAATTGCAGACTGCAGCGTTCTGAGAAACATCTTTGTGATGTTTGTATTCAGGACACAGAGTTGAACATTCCCTATCATAGAGCAGGTTTGAATCACTCCTTTTGTAGTATCTGGAAGTGGACATTTGGAGCGCTTTCAGGCTTATGTTGGAAAAGGAAATATCTTCCCATAACAACTAGACAGAAGCATTCTCAGAAACTTGTTTGTGATGTGTGCCCTCTACTGACAGAGTTGAACCTTTCTTTTCATAGAGCAGTTTTGAAACACTCTTTTTGTAGAATCTGCAAGAGGATATTTGCATAGCTTTGAGGATTTCGTGGGAAACGGGATTGTCTTCAGGTAAAATCTAGACAGAAGCATTCTCAGAAACTTCTTTGGGATGTTTGCATTCAAGTCACAGAGTAGAACATTCCCTTTGGTAGAGCAGGTTTGAAACACTCTTTTTGTAGTATCTGGAAGTGGACATTTGGAGCGCTTTCAGGCCTATGTTGGAAAGGGAAATATCTTCCCGTAACAACTAGGCAGAATCATTCTCAGAAACTTATTTGAGATGTGTGTACTCAACGAAGAGAATTGAACCACCGTTTTGAAGGAGCAGTTTTGAAACCCTCTTTTTCTGGAATCTGCAAGAGTATATTTGCCTAGCCTTGAGGATTTCGTTGGAAACGGGATTGTCTTCAGATAAAATCTAGACAAAAGCATTCTCAGAAACTTCTTTGGGATGTTTGCATTCAAGTCACAGAGTAGAACATTCCCTTTGGTAGAGCAGGTTTGAAACACTCTTTTTTTAGTATATGGAAGTGGACATTTGGAGCGCTTTCAGGCCTACGTTGGAAAAGGAAATATCTTCCCATAACAACTAGACAGAAGCATTCTCAGAAACTAGTTTCTGATGTGTGTCCTCAACTAACACAGTTGAACATTTCTTTAGACAGAACAGTTTTGAAACACTCTTTTTGTGGAATCTGCAAGTGGCTATTTGGCTAGATTTGAGGATTTCGTTGGAAACGGGATTACATATAAAAAGCAGACAGCAGCATTCTCAGAAAGTTCTTTGTGATGATTGCATTCAAGTCACAGAATTGAACAATCCCTTTCACAGAGCAGGTTTGAAACACTCTTTTTGTAGTGTGTGTAAGTGGACATTTGGAGCACTTTCCGGCCTAAGGTGAAAAAGGAAATATCTTCCCATAAAAACTAGACAGAAGCACTCTCAGAAACTTACTCGTGATGTGTGTCCTCAACTAAAGGAGTAGAACCTTTCTTTTCATAGAGAAGTTTTGAAACGCTCTTTTTGTGGAATCTGCAAGTGGATATTTGGCTAGTTTGGAGGATTTCCTTGGAAGCGGGAATTCATACAAATTGCAGACTGCAGCATTCTCAGAAACTTGTTTATGCTGTATCTGCTCAACTAACAAAGTTGAACCTTTCTTTTGATAGAGCAGTTTTGAAATGCTCTTTTTGTGGAATCTGCAAGTGGATATTTGGCTAGTTTTGAGGATTTCGTTGGAAGCGGGAATTCATACAAATTGCAGACTGCAGCGTTCTGAGAAACATCTTTGTGATGTTTGTATTCAGGACAGAGAGTTGAACATTCCCTATCATAGAGCAGGTTGGGATCACTCCTTTTGTAGTATCTGGAAGTGGACATTTGGAGCGCTTTCAGGCCTATGTTGAAAAAGGAAAAATCTTCCCATAACAACTAGACAGAAGCATTCTCAGAAACTTGTTGGTGATGTGTTTCCTCTACTGACAGAGTTGAACCTTTCTTTTCATAGAGCAGTTTCGAAACACTCTTTTTGTAGAATCTGCAAGAGGATATTTGCATAGCTCTGAGGATTTCGTGGGAAACGGGATTGTCTTCAGGTAAAATCTAGACAGAAGCATTCTCAGAAACTTCTTCGGGATGTTTGCATTCAAGTCACAGAGTAGAACATTCCCTTTGGTAGAGCAGGTTTGAAACACTCTTTTTGTCGTATCTGGAAGTGGACATTTGTTGCGCTTTCAGGCCTATGTTGGAAAGGGAAATATCTTCCCGTAACAACTAGGCAGAAGCATTCTCAGAAACTTATTTGAGATGTGTGTACTCAACTAAGAGAATTGAACCACCGTTTTGAAGGAGCAGTTTGGAAACACTCTTTTTCTGGAATCTGCAAGAGGATATTTGCCTAGCTTTGAGGATTTCGTTGGAAAAGGGATTGTCTTCAGATCAAATCTAGACAGAAGCATTCTCAGAAACTTCTTTGGGATGTTTGCATTCAAGTCACAGAGTAGAACATTCCTTTGGTAGAGCAGGTTTGAAACACTCTTTTTTTAGTATATGGAAGTGGACATTTGGAGCGCTTTCAGGCCTACGTTGGAAAAGGAAATATCTTCCCATAACAACTAGACAGAAGCATTCTCAGAAACTAGTTTCTGATGTGTGTCCTCAACTAACACAGTTGAACATTTCTTTAGACAGAACAGTTTTGAAACACTCTTTTTGTGGAATCTGCAAGTGGATATTTGGCTAGATGTGAGGATTTCGTTGGAAACGGGATTACATATAAAAAGCAGACAGCAGCATTCTCAGAAACTTCTTTGTGATGATTGCATTCAAGTCACAGAATTGAACATTCCCTTTCACAGAGCAGGTTTGAAACACTCTTTTTGTAGTGTGTGTAAGTGGACATTTGGAGCGCTTTCCGGCCTAAGGTGAACAAGGAAATATCTTCCCATAAAAACTAGACAGAAGCATTCTCAGAAACTTACTCGTGATGTGTGTCCTCAACTAAAGGAGTAGAACCTTTCTTTTCATAGAGAAGTTTTGAAACGCTCTTTTTGTGGAATCTGCAAGTGGATATTTGGCTAGTTTGGAGGATTTCGTTGGAAGCGGGAATTCATACAAGATGCAGACTGCAGCGTTCTGAGAAACATCTTTGTGATGTTTGTATTCAGGACACAGAGTTGAACATTCCCTATCATAGAGCAGGTTTGAATCACTCCTTTTGTAGTGTCTGGAAGTGGACATTTGGAGCGCTTTCAGGCCTATGTTGGAAAAGGAAATATCTTCCCATAACAACTAGACAGAAGCATTCCCAGAAACTTATTGGAGATGTGTGTACTCAACTATGAGAATTGAACCACCGTTTTGAAGGAGCAGTTTGGAAACACTCTTTTTCTGGAATCTGCAAGTGGATATTTGGCTAGCTTTGGGGATTTCGCTGGAAGCGGGAATACATATAAAAAGCACACAGCAGCGTTCTGAGAAACTGCTTTCTGATGTTTGCATTCAAGTCAAAAGTTGAACACTCCCTTTCATAGAGCAGTCTTGAAACACCCCTTTTGTAGTATCTGGAACTGGACATTTGGAGCGCCTTCAGGGCTAAGGTGAAAAAGGAAATATCTTCCCATAAAAACTGGACAGAAGCATTCTCAGAAACTTGTTTATGCTGTATCTACTCAACTAACAAAGTTGAACCTTTCTTTTGATAGAGCAGTTTTGAAATGCTCTTTTTGTGGAATCTGCAAGTGGATATTTGGCTAGTTTTGAGGATTTCGTTGGAAGCGGGAATTCATACAAATTGCAGACTGCAGCGTTCTGAGAAACATCTTTGTGATGTTTGTATTCAGGACAGAGAGTTGAACATTCCCTATCATAGAGCAGGTTGGAATCACTCCTTTTGTAGTATCTGGAAGTGGACATTTGGAGCGCTTTCAGGCCTATGTTGAAAAAGGAAATATCTTCCCATAACAACTAGACACAAGCATTCTCAGAAACTTGTTTGTGATGTGTGCCCTCTACTGACAGAGTTGAACCTTTCTTTTCATAGAGCAGTTTTGAAACACTCTTTTTGTAGAATCTGCAAGAGGATATTTGCATAGTTTTGAGGATTTCGTGAGAAACGGGATTGTCTTCAGGTAAAATCTAGACAGAAGCATTCTCAGAAACTTCTTTGGGATGTTTGCATTCAAGTCACAGAGTAGAACATTCCCTTTGGTAGAGCAGGTTTGAAACCCTCCTTTTGTAGTATCTGGAAGTGGACATTTGGAGCGCTTTCAGGCCCATGTTGGAAAGGGAAATATCTTCCCGTAACAACTAGGCAGAAGCATTCTCAGAAACTTATTTGAGATGTGTGTACTCAACTAAGAGAATTGAACCACCGTTTTGAAGGCGCAGTTTTGAAACACTCTTTTTCTGGAATCTGCAAGAGTATATTTGCCTAGCCTTGAGGATTTCGTTGGAAACGGGATTGTCTTCAGATAAAATCTAGACAGAAGCATTCTCAGAAACTTCTTTGGGATGTTTGCATTCAAGTCACAGAGTAGAACATTCCCTTTGGTAGAGCAGGTTTGAAACACTCTTTTTTTAGTATATGGAAGTGGACATTTGGAGCGCTTTCAGGCCTACGTTGGAAAAGGAAATATCTTCCCATAACAACTAAACAGAAGCATTCTCAGAAACTAGTTTCTGATGTGTGTCCTCAACTAACACAGTTGAACTTTTCTTTAGACAGAACAGTTTTGAAACACTCTTTTTGTGGAATCTGCAAGTGGCTATTTGGCTAGATTTGAGGATTTCGTTGGAAACGGGATTACATATAAAAAGCAGTCAGCAGCATTCTCAGAAAGTTCTTTGTGATGATTGCATTCAAGTCACAGAATTGAACATTCCCTTTCACAGAGCAGGTTTGAAACACTCTTTTTGTAGTGTGTGTAAGTGGACATTTGGAGCACTTACCGGCCTAAGGTGAAAAAGGAAATATCTTCCCATAAAAACTAGACAGAAGCATTCTCAGAAACTTACTCGTGATGTGTGTCCTCAACTAAAGTAGTAGAACCTTTCTTTTCATAGAGAAGTTTTGAAACGCTCTTTTTGTGGAATCTGCAAGTGGATATTTGGCTAGTTTTGAGGATTTCGTTGGAAGCGGGAATTCATACAAATTGCAGACTGCAGCGTTCTGAGAAACATCTTTGTGATGTTTGTATTCAGGACACAGAGTTGAACATGCCCTATCATAGAGCAGGTTTGAATCACTCCTTTTGTAGTATCTGGAAGTGGACATTTGGAGCGCTTTCAGGCCTATGTTGGAAAAGGAAATATCTTCCCATAACAACTAGACAGAAGCATTCTCAGAAACTTATTTGAGACGTGTCTACTCAACTAAGAGAATTGAACCACCGTTTTGAAGGAGCAGTTTTGAAACACTCTTTTTCTGGAATCTGCAAGTGGATATTTGGCTAGCTTTGGGGATTTCGCTGGAAGCGGGAATACATATAAAAAGCACACAGCAGCGTTCTGAGAAACTGCTTTCTGATGTTTGCATTCAAGTCAAAAGTTGAACACTCCCTTTCATAGAGCAGTCTTGAAACACCCCTTTTGTAGTATCTGGAACTGGACTTTTGGAGCGATTTTAGGGCTAAGGTGAAAAAGGAAATATCTTCCCATAAAAACTGGACAGAAGCATTCTCAGAAACTTGTTTATGCTGTATCTACTCAACTAACAAAGTTGAACCTTTCTTTTGATAGAGCAGTTTTGAAATGGTCTTTTTGTGGAATCTGCAAGTGGATATTTGGCTAGTTTTGAGGATTTCGTTGGAAGCGGGAATTCATACAAATTGCAGACTGCAGCGTTCTGAGAAACATCTTTGTGATGTTTGTATTCAGGACACAGAGTTGAACATTCCCTATCATAGAGCAGGTTGGAATCACTCCTTTTGTAGTATCTGGAAGTGGACATTTGGAGCGCTTTCAGGCCTATTTTGGAAAGGGAAATATCTTCCCGTAACAACTATGCAGAAGCATTCTCAGAAACTTGTTTGTGATGTGTGCCCTCTACTGACAGAGTTGAACCTTTCTTTTCATAGAGCAGTTTTGAAACACTCTTTTTGTAGAATCTGCAAGAGGATATTTGCATAGCTTTGAGGATTTCGTGGGAAACGGGATTGTCTTCAGGTAAAATCTAGACAGAAGCATTCTCAGAAACTTCTTTGGGATGTTTGCATTCAAGTCACAGAGTAGAACATTCCCTTTGGTAGAGCAGGTTTGAAACACTCTTTTTGTAGTATCTGGAAGTGGACATTTGGAGCGCTTTCAGGCCCATGTTGGAAAGGGAAATATCTTCCCGTAACAACTAGGCAGAAGCATTCTCAGAAACTTATTTGAGATGTGTGTACTCAACTAAGAGAATTGAACCACCGTTTTGAAGGAGCAGTTTTGAAACACTCTTTTTCTGGAATCTGCAAGAGTATATTTGCCTAGCCTTGAGGATTTCGTTGGAAACGGGATTGTCTTCAGAGAAAATCTAGACAGAAGCATTCTCAGAAACTTCTTTGGGATGCTTGCATTCAAGTCACAGAGTAGAACATTCCCTTTGGTAGAGCAGGTTTGAAACACTCTTTTTGTAGTATCTGGAAGTGGACATTTGGAGCGCTTTCAGGCCTACGTTGGAAAAGGAAATATCTTCCCATAACAACTAGACAGAAGCATTCTCAGAAACTAGTTTCTGATGTGTGTCCTCAACTAACACAGTTGAACATTTCTTTAGACAGAACAGTTTTGAAACACTCTTTTTGTGGAATCTGCAAGTGGCTATTTGGCTAGATTTGAGGATTTCGTTGGAAACGGGATTACATATAAAAAGCAGTCAGCGGCATTCTCAGAAAGTTCTTTGTGATGATTGCATTCAAGTCACAGAATTGAACATTCCCTTTCACAGAGCAGGTTTGAAACACTCTTTTTGTAGTGTGTGTAAGTGGACATTTGGAGCACTTACCGGCCTAAGGTGAAAAAGGAAATATCTTCCCATAAAAACTAGACAGAAGCATTCTCAGAAACTTACTCGTGATGTGTGTCCTCAACTAAAGGAGTAGAACCTTTCTTTTCATAGAGAAGTTTTGAAACGCTCTTTTTGTGGAATCTGCAAGTGGATATTTGGCTAGTTTTGAGGATTTCGTTGGAAGCGGGAATTCATACAAATTGCAGACTGCAGCGTTCTGAGAAACATCTTTGTGATGTTTTGTATTCAGGACACAGAGTTGAACATTCCCTATCATAGAGCAGGTTGGAATCACTCCTTTTGTAGTATCTGGAAGTGGACATTTGGAGCGCTTTCAGGCCTATGTTGGAAAAGGAAATATCTTCCCATAACAACTAGACAGAAGCATTCTCAGAAACTTATTTGAGATGTGTGTACTCAACTAAGAGAATTGAACCACCGTTTTGAAGGAGCAGTTTTGAAACTCTCTTTTTCTGGAATCTGCAAGTGGATATTTGGCTAGCTTTGGGGATTTCGCTGGAAGCGGGAATACATATAAAAAGCACACAGCAGCGTTCTGAGAAACTGCTTTCTGATGTTTGCATTCAAGTCAAAAGTTGAACACTCCCTTTCATAGGGCAGTCCTGAAACACCCCTTTTGTAGTATCTGGAACTGGACTTTTGGAGCGATTTCAGGGCTAAGGTGAAAAAGGAAATATCTTCCCATAAAAACTGGACAGAAGCATTCTCAGAAACTTGTTTATGCTGTATCTACTCAACTAACAAAGTTGAACCTTTCTTTTGATAGAGCAGTTTTGAAATGGTCTTTTTGTGGAATCTGCAAGTGGATATTTGGCTAGTTTTGAGGATTTCGTTGGAAGCGGGAATTCATACAAATTGCAGACTGCAGCGTTCTGAGAAACATCTTTGTGATGTTTGTATTCAGGACACAGAGTTGAACATTCCCTATCATAGAGCAGGTTGGAATCACTCCTTTTGTAGTATCTGGAAGTGGACATTTGGAGCGCTTTCAGGCCTATTTTGGAAAGGGAAATATCTTCCCGTAACAACTATGCAGAAGCATTCTCAGAAACTTGTTTGTGATGTGTGCCCTCTACTGACAGAGTTGAACCTTTCTTTTCATAGAGCAGTTTTGAAACACTCTTTTTGTAGAATCTGCAAGAGGATATTTGCATAGCTTTGAGGATTTCGTGGGAAACGGGATTGTCTTCAGGTAAAATCTAGACAGAAGCATTCTCAGAAACTTCTTTGGGATGTTTGCATTCAAGTCACAGAGTAGAACATTCCCTTTGGTAGAGCAGGTTTGAAACACTCTTTTTGTAGTATCTGGAAGTGGACATTTGGAGCGCTTTCAGGCCTATGTTGGAAAGGGAAATATCTTCCCGTAACAACTAGGCAGAAGCATTCTCAGAAACTTATTTGAGATGTGTGTACTCAACTAAGAGAATTGAACCACCGTTTTGAAGGAGCAGTTTTGAAACACTCTTTTTCTGGAATCTGCAAGAGTATATTTGCCTAGCCTTGAGGATTTCGTTGGAAACGGGATTGTCTTCAGAGAAAATCTAGACAGAAGCATTCTCAGAAACTTCTTTGGGATGTTTGCATTCAAGTCACAGAGTAGAACATTCCCTTTGGTAGAGCAGGTTTGAAACACTCTTTTTTTAGTATATGGAAGTGGACATTTTGATCGCTTTCAGGCCTACGTTGGAAAAGGAAATATCTTCCCATAACAACTAGACAGAAGCATTCTCAGAAACTAGTTTCTGATGTGTGTCCTCAACTAACACAGTTGAACATTTCTTTAGACAGAACAGTTTTGAAACACTCTTTTTGTGGAATCTGCAAGTGGCTATTTGGCTAGATTTGAGGATTTCGTTGGAAACGGGATTACATATAAAAAGCAGTCAGCAGCATTCTCAGAAAGTTCTTTGTGATGATTGCATTCAAGTCACAGAATTGAACATTCCCTTTCACAGAGCAGGTTTGAAACACTCTTTTTGTAGTGTGTGTAAGTGGACATTTGGAGCGCTTTCCGGCCTAAGGTGAAAAAGGAAATATCTTCCCATAAAAACTAGACAGAAGCATTCTCAGAAACTTACTCGTGATGTGTGTCCTCAACTAAAGGAGTAGAACCTTTCTATTCATAGAGAAGGTTTGAAACGCTCTTTTTGTGGAATCTCCAAGTGGATATTTGGCTAGTTTTGAGGATTTCGTTGGAAGCGGGAATTCATACAAATTGCAGAGTGCAGCGTTCTGAGAAACATCTTTGTGATGTTTGTATTCAAGACACAGAGATGAACATTCCCTATCATAGAGCAGGTTGGAATCACTCCTTTTTTAGTATCTGGAAGTGGACATTTGGAGCGCTTTCAGGCCTATGTTGAAAAAGGAAATATCTTCCCATAACAACTAGACACAAGCATTCTCAGAAACTTGTTTGTGATGTGTGCCCTCTACTGACAGAGTTGAACCTTTCTTTTCATAGAGCAGTTTTGAAACACTCTTTTTGTAGAATCCGCAAGAGGATATTTGCATAGCTTTGAGGATTTCGTGGGAAACGGGATTGTCTTCAGGTAAAATCTAGACAGAAGCATTCTCAGAAACTTCTTTGGGATGTTTGCATTCAAGTCACAGAGTAGAACATTCCCTTTGGTAGAGCAGGTTTGAAACACTCTTTTTGTAGTATCTGGAAGTGGACATTTGGAGCGCTTTCAGGCCCATGTTGGAAAGGGAAATATCTTTCCCGTAACAACTAGGCAGAAAGCATTCTCAGAAACTTATTTGAGATGTGTGTACTCAACTAAGTAGCAATTGAACCACCGTTTTGAAGGAGCAGTTTTGAAACACTCTTTTTCTGGAATCTGCAAGAGGATATTTGCCTAGCCTTGAGGATTTCGTTGGAAACGGGATTGTCTTCAGATCAAATCTAGACAGAAGCATTCTCAGAAACTTCTTTGGGATGTTTGCATTCAAGTCACAGAGTAGAACATTCCCTTTGGTAGAGCAGGTTTGAAACACTCTTTTTTTAGTATATGGAAGTGGACATTTGGAGCGCTTTCAGGCCTACGTTGGAAAAGGAAATATCTTCCCATAACAACTAGACAGAAGCATTCTCAGAAACTAGTTTCTGATGTGTGTCCTCAACTAACACAGTTGAACATTTCTTTAGACAGAACAGTTTTGAAACACTCTTTTTGTGGAATCTGCAAGTGGCTATTTGGCTAGATTTGAGGATTTCGTTGGAAACGGGATTACATATAAAAAGCAGACAGCAGCATTCTCAGAAAGTTCTTTGTGATGATTGCATTCAAGTCACAGAATTGAACATTCCCTTTCACAGAGCAGGTTTGAAACACTCTTTTTGTAGTGTGTGTAAGTGGACATTTGGAGCACTTTCCGGCCTAAGGTGAAAAAGGAAATATCTTCCCATAAAAACTAGACAGAAGCACTCTCAGAAACTTACTCGTGATGTGTGTCCTCAACTAAAGGAGTAGAACCTTTCTTTTCATAGAGAAGTTTTGAAACGCTCTTTTTGTGGAATCTGCAAGTGGATATTTGGCTAGTTTTGAGGATTTCGTTGGAAGCGGGAATTCATACAAATTGCAGACTGCAGCGTTCTGAGAAACATCTTTGTGATGTTTGTATTCAGGACACAGAGTTGAACGTTCCCTATCATAGAGCAGGTTTGAATCACTCCTTTTGTAGTATCTGGAAGTGGACATTTGGAGCGCTTTCCGGCCTCAGGTGAAAAAGGAAATATCTTCCCATAAAAACTAGACAGAAGCATTCTCAGAAACTTACTCGTGATGTGTGTCCTCAACTAAAGGGGTAGAACCTTTCTTTTGATAGAGCAGTTTTGAAACACTCTTTTTGTAGAATCTGCAAGTGGATATTTTGATAGCTTTGTGGATTTCGTTGGAAACGGGAATATCTTCATATAAAATCTAGAGAGAAGCGTTCTGAGAAACATCTTTGTGATGTTTGTATTCAGGACACAGAGATGAACATTCCCTATCATAGAGCAGGTTGGAATCACTCCTTTTGTAGTATCTGGAAGTGGACATTTGGAGCGCTTTCAGGCCTATGTTGAAAAAGGAAATATCTTCCCATAACAACTAGACACAAGCATTCTCAGAAACTTGTTTGTGATGTGTGCCCTCTACTGACAGAGTTGAACCTTTCTTTTCATAGAGCAGTTTTGAAACACTCTTTTTGTAGAATCTGCAAGAGGATATTTGCATAGCTTTGAGGATTTCGTGGGAAACGGGATTGTCTTCAGGTAAAATCTAGACAGAAGCATTCTCAGAAACTTCTTTGGGATGTTTGCATTCAAGTCACAGAGTAGAACATTCCCTTTGGTAGAGCAGGTTTGAAACACTCTTTTTGTAGTATCTGGAAGTGGACATATGGAGCGCTTTCAGGCTCATGTTGGAAAGGGAAATATCTTCCCTTAACAACTAGGCAGAAGCATTCTCAGAAACTTATTTGAGATGTGTGTACTCAACTAAGAGAATTGAACCACCGTTTTGAAGGAGCAGTTTTGAAACACTCTTTTTCTGGATTCTGCAAGAATATATTTGCCTAGCCTTGAGGATTTCGTTGGAAACTGGATTGTCTTCAGATAAAATCTAGACAGAAGCATTCTCAGAAACTTCTTTGGGATGTTTGCATTCAAGTCACAGAGTAGAACATTCTCTTTGGTAGAGCAGGTTTGAAACACTCTTTTTTTAGTATATGGAAGTGGACATTTGGAGCGCTTTCAGGCCTACGTTGGAAAAGGAAATATCTTCCCATAAGAACTAGACAGAAGCATTCTCAGAAACTAGTTTCTGATGTGTGTCCTCAACTAACACAGTTGTACATTTCTTTAGACAGAACAGTTTTGAAACACTCTTTTTGTGGAATCTGCAAGTGGATATTTGGCTAGATTTGAGGATTTCGTTGGAAACGGGATTACATATAAAAAGCAGTCAGCAGCATTCTCAGAAAGTTCTTTGTGATGATTGTATTCAAGTCACAGAATTGAACATTCCCTTTCACAGAGCAGGTTTGAAACACTCTTTTTGTAGTATGTGTAAGTGGACATTTGGAGCCCTTCTGGCCTAAGGTGAAAAAGGAAATATCTTCCCATAAAAACTAGACAGAAGCATTCTCAGAAACTTACTCGTGATGTGTGTCCTCAACTAAAGGAGTAGAACCTTTCTTTTCATAGAGAAGTTTTGAAACGCTCTTTTTGTGGAATCTGCAAGTGGATATTTGGCTAGTTTGGAGGATTTCGTTGGAAGCGGGAATTCATACAAATTGCAGACTGCAGCGTTCTGAGAAACATCTTTGTGATGTTTGTATTCAGGACACAGAGTTGAACATTCCCTATCATAGAGCAGGTTTGAATCACTCCTTTTGTAGTATCTGGAAGTGGACATTTGGAGCGCTTTCAGGCCTATGTTGGAAAAGGAAATATCTTCCCGTAACAACTAGACAGAAGCATTCTCAGAAACTTATTTGAGATGTGTGTACTCAACTAAGAGAATTGAACCACCGTTTTGAAGGAGCAGTTTTGAAACACTCTTTTTCTGGAATCTGCAAGTGGATATTTGGCTAGCTTTGGGGATTTCGCTGGAAGCGGGAATACATATAAAAAGCACACAGCAGCGTTCTGAGAAACTGCTTTCTGATGTTTGCATTCAAGTCAAAAGTTGAACACTCCCTTTCATAGAGCAGTCCTGAAACACCCCTTTTGTAGTATCTGGAACTGGACTTTTGGAGCGATTTCAGGGCTAAGGTGAAAAAGGAAATATCTTCCCATAAAAACTGGACAGAAGCATTCTCAGAAACTTGTTTATGCTGTATCTACTCAACTAACAAAGTTGAACCTTTCTTTTGATAGAGCAGTTTTGAAATGCTCTTTTTGTGGAATCTGCAAGTGGATATTTGGCTAGTTTTGAGGATTTCGTTGGAAGCGGGAATTCATACAAATTGCAGACTGCAGCGTTCTGAGAAACATCTTTGTGATGTTTGTATTCAGGACAGAGAGTTGAACATTCCCTATCATAGAGCAGGTTGGAATCACTCCTTTTGTAGTATCTGGAAGTGGACATTTGGAGCGCTTCAGGCCTATGTTGAAAAAGGAAATATCTTCCCATAACAACTAGACACAAGCATTCTCAGCAAACTTGTTTGTGATGTGTGCCCTCTACTGACAGAGTTGAACCTTTCTTTTCTTAGAGCAGTTTTGAAACACTCTTTTTGTAGAATCTGCAAGAGGATATTTGCATAGCTTTGAGGATTTCGTGGGAAACGGGATTGTCTTCAGGTAAAATCTAGACAGAAGCATTCTCAGAAACTTCTTTGGGATGTTTGCATTCAAGTCACAGAGTAGAACATTCCCTTTGGTAGAGCAGGTTTGAAACACTCTTTTTGTAGTATCTGGAAGTGGACATTTGGAGCGCTTTCAGGCCCATGTTGGAAAGGGAAATATCTTCCCGTAACAACTAGGCAGAAGCATTCTCAGAAACTTATTTGAGATGTGTGTACTCAACTAAGAGAATTGAACCACCGTTTTGAAGGAGCAGTTTTGAAACACTCTTTTTCTGGAATCTGCAAGAGTATATTTGCCTAGCCTTGAGGATTTCGTTGGAAACGGGATTGTCTTCAGAGAAAATCTAGACAGAAGCATTCTCAGAAACTTCTTTGGGATGTTTGCATTCAAGTCACAGAGTAGAACATTCCCTTTGGTAGAGCAGGTTTGAAACACTCTTTTTGTAGTATCTGGAAGTGGACATTTGGAGCGCTTTCAGGCCTACGTTGGAAAAGGAAATATCTTCCCATAACAACTAGACAGAAGCATTCTCAGAAACTAGTTTCTGATGTGTGTCCTCAACTAACACAGTTGAACATTTCTTTAGACAGAACAGTTTTGAAACACTCTTTTTGTGGAATCTGCAAGTGGCTATTTGGCTAGATTTGAGGATTTCGTTGGAAACGGGATTACATATAAAAAGCAGTCAGCAGCATTCTCAGAAAGTTCTTTGTGATGATTGCATTCAAGTCACAGAATTGAACATTCCCTTTCACAGAGCAGGTTTGAAACACTCTTTTTGTAGTGTGTGTAAGTGGACATTTGGAGCACTTACCGGCCTAAGGTGAAAAAGGAAATATCTTCCCATAAAAACTAGACAGAAGCATTCTCAGAAACTTACTCGTGATGTGTGTCCTCAACTAAAGGAGTAGAACCTTTCTTTTCATAGAGAAGTTTTGAAACGCTCTTTTTGTGGAATCTGCAAGTGGATATTGGGCTAGTTTTGAGGATTTCGTTGGAAGCGGGAATTCATACAAATTGCAGACTGCAGCGTTCTGAGAAACATCTTTGTGATGTTTGTATTCAGGACACAGAGTTGAACATTCCCTATCATAGAGCAGGTTGGAATCACTCCTTTTGTAGTATCTGGAAGTGGACATTTGGAGCGCTTTCAGGCCTATGTTGAAAAAGGAAATATCTTCCCATAACAACTAGACAGAAGCATTCTCAGAAACTTATTTGAGATGTGTGTACTCAACTAAGAGAATTGAACCACCGTTTTGAAGGAGCAGTTTTGAAACACTCTTTTTCTGGAATCTGCAAGTGGATATTTGGCTAGCTTTGGGGATTTCGCTGGAGGCGGGAATACATATAAAAAGCACACAGCAGCGTTCTGAGAAACTGCTTTCTGATGTTTGCATTCAAGTCAAAAGTTGAACACTCCCTTTCATAGAGCAGTCCTGAAACACTCCTTTTGTAGTATCTGGAACTGGACTTTTGGAGCGCTTTCAGGGCTAAGGTGAAAAAGGAAATATCTTCCCATAAAAACTGGACAGAAGCATTCTCAGAAACTTGTTTATGCTGTATCTACTCAACTAACAAAGTTGAACCTTTCTTTTGATAGAGCAGTTTTGAAATGCTCTTTTTGTGGAATCTGCAAGTGGATATTTGGCTAGTTTTGAGGATTTCGCTGGAAGCGGGAATTCATACAAATTGCAGACTGCAGCGTTCTGAGAAACATCTTTGTGATGTTTGTATTCAGGACAGAGAGTTGAACATTCCCTATCATAGAGCAGGTTGGAATCACTCCTTTTGTAGTATCTGGAAGTGGACATTTGGAGCGCTTTCAGGCCTATGTTGAAAAAGGAAATATCTTCCCATAACAACTAGACACAAGCATTCTCAGAAACTTGTTTGTGATGTGTGCCCTCTAGTGACAGAGTTGAACCTTTCTTTTCATAGAGCAGTTTTGAAACACTCTTTTTGTAGAATCTGCAAGAGGATATTTGAATAGCTTTGAGGATTTCGTGGGAAACGGGATTGTCTTCAGGTAAAATCTAGACAGAAGCATTCTCAGAAACTTCTTTGGGATGTTTGCATTCAAGTCACAGAGTAGAACATTCCCTTTGGTAGAGCAGGTTTGAAACCCTCTTTTTGTAGTATCTGGAAGTGGACATTTGGAGCGCTTTCAGGCCCATGTTGGAAAGGGAAATATCTTCCCGTAACAACGAGGCAGAAGCATTCTCAGAAACTTATTTGAGATGTGTGTACTCAACTAAGAGAATTGAACCACCGTTTTGAAGGAGCAGTTTTGAAACACTCTTTTTCTGGAATCTGCAAGAGGATATTTGCCTAGCCTTGAGGATTTCGTTGGAAACGGGATTGTCTTCAGATCAAATCTAGACAGAAGCATTCTCAGAAACTTCTTTGGGATGTTTGCATTCAAGTCACAGAGTAGAACATTCCCTTTGGTAGAGCAGGTTTGAAACACTCTTTTTTTAGTATATGGAAGTGGACATTTGGAGCGCTTTCAGGCCTACGTTGGAAAAGGAAATATCTTCCCATAACAACTAGACAGAAGCATTCTCAGAAACTAGTTTCTGATGTGTGTCCTCAACTAACACAGTTGAACATTTCTTTAGACAGAACAGTTTTGAAACTCTCTTTTTCTGGAATCTGCAAGTGGCTATTTGGCTAGATTTGAGGATTTCGTTGGAAACGGGATTACATATAAAAAGCAGACAGCAGCATTCTCAGAAAGTTCTTTGTGATGATTGCATTCAAGTCACAGAATTGAACATTCCCTTTCACAGAGCAGGTTTGAAACACTCTTTTTATAGTGTGTGTAAGTGGACATTTGGAGCACTTTCCGGCCTAAGGTGAAAAAGGAAATATCTTCCCATAAAAACTAGACAGAAGCATTCTCAGAAACTTACTCGTGATGTGTGTCCTCAACTAAAGGAGTAGAACCTTTGTTTTCATAGAGAAGTTTTGAAACGCTCTTTTTGTGGAATCTGCAAGTGGATATTTGGCTAGTTTGGAGGATTTCGTTGGAAGCGGGAATTCATACAAATTGCAGACTGCAGCGTTCTGAGAAACATCTTTGTGATGTTTGTATTCAGGACACAGAGTTGAACATTCCCTATCATAGAGCAGGTTTGAATCACTCCTTTTGTAGTATCTGGAAGTGGACATTTGGAGCGCTTTCAGGCCTATGTTGGAAAAGGAAATATCTTCCCATAACAACTAGACAGAAGCATTCTCAGAAACTTATTTGAGATGTGTGTACTCAACTAAGAGAATTGAACCACCGTTTTAAAGGAGCAGTTTTGAAACACTCTTTTTCTGGAATCTGCAAGTGGATATTTGGCTAGCTTTGGGGATTTCGCTGGAAGCGGGAATACATATAAAAAGCACACAGCAGCGTTCTGAGAAACTGCTTTCTGATGTTTGCATTCAAGTCAAAAGTTGAACACTCCCTTTCATAGAGCAGTCCTGAAACACTCCTTTTGTAGTATCTGGAACTGGACTTTTGGAGCGCTTTCAGGGCTAAGGTGAAAAAGGAAATATCTTCCCATAAAAACTGGACAGAAGCATTCTCAGAAACTTGTTTATGCTGTATCTACTCAACTAACAAAGTTGAACATTTCTTTTGATAGAGCAGTTTTGAAATGCTCTTTTTGTGGAATCTGCAAGTGGATATTTGGCTAGTTTTGAGGATTTCGTTGGAAGCGGGAATTCATACAAATTGCAGACTGCAGCGTTCTGAGAAACATCTTTGTGATGTTTGTATTCAGGACACAGAGATGAACATTCCCTATCATAGAGCAGGTTGGAATCACTCCTTTTGTAGTATCTGGGACATTTGGAGCGCTTTCAGGCCTATGTTGAAAAACGAAATATCTTCCCATAACAACTAGACACAAGCATTCTCAGAAACTTGTTTGTGATGTGTGCCCTCTACTGACAGAGTTGAACCTTTCTTTTCATAGAGCAGTTTTGAAACACTCTTTTTGTAGAATCTGCAAGACGATATTTGCATAGCTTTGAGGATTTCGTGGGAAACCGGATTGTCTTCAGGTAAAATCTAGACAGAAGCATTCTCAGAAACTTCTTTGGGATGTTTGCATTCAAGTCACAGAGTAGAACATTCCCTTTGGTAGAGCAGGTTTGAAACACTCTTTTTGTAGTATCTGGAAGTGGACATTTGGAGCGCTTTCAGGCCCATGTTGGAAAGGGAAATATCTTCCCGTAACAACTAGGCAGAAGCATTCTCAGAAACTTATTTGAGATGTGTGTACTCAACTAAGAGAATTGAACCACCGTTTTGAAGGAGCAGTTTTGAAACACTCTTTTTCTGGAATCTGCAAGAGTATATTTGCCTAGCCTTGAGGATTTCGTTGGAAACGGGATTGTCTTCAGAGAAAATCTAGACAGAAGCATTCTCAGAAACTTCTTTGGGATGTTTGCATTCAAGTCACAGAGTAGAACATTCCCTTTGGTAGAGCAGGTTTGAAACACTCTTTTTTTAGTATATGGAAGTGGACATTTGGATCGCTTTCAGGCCTACGTTGGAAAAGGAAATATCTTCCCATAACAACTAGACAGAAGCATTCTCAGAAACTAGTTTCTGATGTGTGTCCTCAACTAACACAGTTGAACATTTCTTTAGACAGAACAGTTTTGAAACACTCTTTTTGTGGAATCTGCAAGTGGCTATTTGGCTAGATTTGAGGATTTCGTTGGAAACGGGATTACATATAAAAAGCAGTCAGCAGCATTCTCAGAAAGTTCTTTGTGATGATTGCATTCAAGTCACAGAATTGAACATTCCCTTTCACAGAGCAGGTTTGAAACACTCTTTTTGTAGTGTGTGTAAGTGGACATTTGGAGCACTTACCGGCCTAAGGTGAAAAAGGAAATATCTTCCCATAAAAACTAGACAGAAGCATTCTCAGAAACTTACTCGTGATGTGTGTCCTCAACTAAAGGAGTAGAACCTTTCTTTTCATAGAGAAGTTTTGAAACGCTCTTTTTGTGGAATCTGCAAGTGGATATTTGGCTAGTTTTGAGGATTTCGTTGGAAGCGGGAATTCATACAAATTGCAGACTGCAGCGTTCTGAGAAACATCTTTGTGATGTTTGTATTCAGGACACAGAGTTGAACATTCCCTATCATAGAGCAGGTTTGAATCACTCCTTTTGTAGTATCTGGAAGTGGACATTTGGAGCGCTTTCAGGCCTATGTTGGAAAAGGAAATATCTTCCCATAACAACTAGACAGAAGCATTCTCAGAAACTTATTTGAGATGTGTGTACTCAACTAAGAGAATTGAACCACCGTTTTGAAGGAGCAGTTTTGAAACTCTCTTTTTCTGGAATCTGCAAGTGGATATTTGGCTAGCTTTGGGGATTTCGCTGGAAGCGGGAATACATATAAAAAGCACACAGCAGCGTTCTGAGAAACTGCTTTCTGATGTTTGCATTCAAGTCAAAAGTTGAACACTCCCTTTCATAGAGCAGTCCTGAAACACCCCTTTTGTAGTATCTGGAACTGGACTTTTGGAGCGATTTCAGGGCTAAGGTGAAAAAGGAAATATCTTCCCATAAAAACTGGACAGAAGCATTCTCAGAAACTTGTTTATGCTGTATCTACTCAACTAACAAAGTTGAACCTTTCTTTTGATAGAGCAGTTTTGAAATGCTCTTTTTGTGGAATCTGCAAGTGGATATTTGGCTAGTTTTGAGGATTTCGTTGGAAGCGGGAATTCATACAAATTGCAGACTGCAGCGTTCTGAGAAACATCTTTGTGATGTTTGTATTCAGGACAGAGAGTTGAACATTCCCTATCATAGAGCAGGTTGGAATCACTCCTTTTGTAGTATCTGGAAGTGGACATTTGGAGCGCTTTCAGGCCTATGTTGAAAAAGGAAATATCTTCCCATAACAACTAGACACAAGCATTCTCAGAAACTTGTTTGTGATGTGTGCCCTCTACTGACAGAGTTGAACCTTTCTTTTCATAGAGCAGTTTTGAAACACTCTTTTTGTAGAATCTGCAAGAGGATATTTGCATAGCTTTGAGGATTTCGTGGGAAACGGGATTGTCTTCAGGTAAAATCTAGACAGAAGCATTCTCAGAAACTTCTTTGGGATGTTTGCATTCAAGTCACAGAGCAGAACATTCCCTTTGGTAGAGCAGGTTTGAAACACTCTTTTTGTAGTATCTGGAAGTGGACATTTGGAGCGCTTTCAGGCCTATGTTGGAAAGGGAAATATCTTCCCGTAACAACTAGGCAGAAGCATTCTCAGAAACTTATTTGAGATGTGTGTACTCAACTAAGAGAATTGAACCACCGTTTTGAAGGAGCAGTTTTGAAACACTCTTTTTCTGGAATCTGCAAGAGGATATTTGCCTAGCCTTGAGGATTTCGTTGGAAACGGGATTGTCTTCAGATCAAATCTAGACAGAAGCATTCTCAGAAACTTCTTTGGGATGTTTGCATTCATGTCACAGAGTAGAACATTCCCTTTGGTAGAGCAGGTTTGAAACACTCTTTTTTAAGTATATGGAAGTGGACATTTGGAGCGCTTTCAGGCCTACGTTGGAAAAGGAAATATCTTCCCATAACAACTAGACAGAAGCATTCTCAGAAACTAGTTTCTGATGTGTGTCCTCAACTAACACAGTTGAACATTTCTTTAGACAGAACAGTTTTGAAACACTCTTTTTGTGGAATCTGCAAGTGGCTATTTGGCTAGATTTGAGGATTTCGTTGGAAACGGGATTACATATAAAAAGCAGACAGCAGCATTCTCAGAAAGTTCTTTGTGATGATTGCATTCAAGTCACAGAATTGAACATTCCCTTTCACAGAGCAGGTTTGAAACACTCTTTTTGTAGTGTGTGTAAGTGGACATTTGGAGCACTTTCCGGCCTAAGGTGAAAAAGGAAATATCTTCCCATAAAAACTAGACAGAAGCATTCTCAGAAACTTACTCGTGATGTGTGTCCTCAACTAAAGGAGTAGAACCTTTCTTTTCATAGAGAAGTTTTGAAACGCTCTTTTTGTGGAATCTGCAAGTGGATATTTGGCTAGTTTTGAGGATTTCGTTGGAAGCGGGAATTCATACAAATTGCAGACTGCAGCGTTCTGAGAAACATCTTTGTGATGTTTGTATTCAGGACACAGAGTTGAACATTCCCTATCATAGAGCAGGTTTGAATCACTCCTTTTGTAGTATCTGGAAGTGGACATTTGGAGCGCTTTCAGGCCTATGTTGGAAAAGGAAATATCTTCCCATAACAACTAGACAGAAGCATTCTCAGAAACTTATTTGAGATGTGTGTACTCAACTAAGAGAATTGAACCACCGTTTTGAAGGAGCAGTTTTGAAACTCTCTTTTTCTGGAATCTGCAAGTGGATATTTGGCTAGCTTTGGGGATTTCGCTGGAAGCGGGAATACATATAAAAAGCACACAGCAGCGTTCTGAGAAACTGCTTTCTGATGTTTGCATTCAAGTCAAAAGTTGAACACTCCCTTTCATAGAGCAGTCTTGAAACACCCCTTTTGTAGTATCTGGAACTGGACTTTTGGAGCGATTTCAGGGCTAAGGTGAAAAAGGAAATATCTTCCCATAAAAACTGGACAGAAGCATTCTCAGAAACTTGTTTATGCTGTATCTACTCAACTAACAAAGTTGAACCTTTCTTTTGATAGAGCAGTTTTGAAATGGTCTTTTTGTGGAATCTGCAAGTGGATATTTGGCTAGTTTTGAGGATTTCGTTGGAAGCGGGAATTCATACAAATTGCAGACTGCAGCGTTCTGAGAAACATCTTTGTGATGTTTGTATTCAGGACACAGAGTTGAACATTCCCTATCATAGAGCAGGTTGGAATCACTCCTTTTGTAGTATCTGGAAGTGGACATTTGGAGCGCTTTCAGGCCTATTTTGGAAAGGGAAATATCTTCCCGTAACAACTATGCAGAAGCATTCTCAGAAACTTGTTTGTGATGTGTGCCCTCTACTGACAGAGTTGAACCTTTCTTTTCATAGAGCAGTTTTGAAACACTCTTTTTGTAGAATCTGCAAGAGGATATTTGCATAGCTTTGAGGATTTCGTGGGAAACGGGATTGTCTTCAGGTAAAATCTAGACAGAAGCATTCTCAGAAACTTCTTTGGGATGTTTGCATTCAAGTCACAGAGTAGAACATTCCCTTTGGTAGAGCAGGTTTGAAACACTCTTTTTGTAGTATCTGGAAGTGGACATTTGGAGCGCTTTCAGGCCCATGTTGGAAAGGGAAATATCTTCCCGTAACAACTAGGCAGAAGCATTCTCAGAAACTTATTTGAGATGTGTGTACTCAACTAAGAGAATTGAACCACCGTTTTGAAGGAGCAGTTTTGAAACACTCTTTTTCTGGAATCTGCAAGAGTATATTTGCCTAGCCTTGAGGATTTCGTTGGAAACGGGATTGTCTTCAGAGAAAATCTAGACAGAAGCATTCTCAGAAACTTCTTTGGGATGTTTGCATTCAAGTCACAGAGTAGAACATTCCCTTTGGTAGAGCAGGTTTGAAACACTCTTTTTTTAGTATATGGAAGTGGACATTTGGAGCGCTTTCAGGCCTACGTTGGAAAAGGAAATATCTTCCCATAACAACTAGACAGAAGCATTCTCAGAAACTAGTTTCTGATGTGTGTCCTCAACTAACACAGTTGAACATTTCTTTAGACAGAACAGTTTTGAAACACTCTTTTTGTGGAATCTGCAAGTGGCTATTTGGCTGGATTTGAGGATTTCGTTGGAAACGGGATTACATATAAAAAGCAGTCAGCAGCATTCTCAAAAACTTCTTTGTGATGATTGCATTCAAGTCACAGAATTGAACATTCCCTTTCACAGAGCAGGTTTGAAACACTCTTTTTGTAGTGTGTGTAAGTGGACATTTGGAGCGCTTTCCGGCCTAAGGTGAACAAGGAAATATCTTCCCATAAAAACTAGACAGAAGCATTCTCAGAAACTTACTCGTGATGTGTGTCCTCAACTAAAGGAGTAGAACCTTTCTTTTCATAGAGAAGTTTTGAAACGCTCTTTTTGTGGAATCTGCAAGTGGATATTTGGCTAGTTTGGAGGATTTCGTTGGAAGCGGGAATTCATACAAATTGCAGACTGCAGCGTTCTGAGAAACATCTTTGTGATGTTTGTATTCAGGACACAGAGTTGAACATTCCCTATCATAGAGCAGGTTTGAATCACTCCTTTTGTAGTATCTGGAAGTGGACATTTGGAGCGCTTTCAGGCCTATGTTGGGAAAGGAAATATCTTCCCATAACAACTAGACAGAAGCATTCTCAGAAACTTATTTGAGATGTGTGTACTCAACTAAGAGAATTGAACCACCGTTTTGAAGGAGCAGTTTTGAAACACTCTTTTTCTGGAATCTGCAAGTGGATATTTGGCTAGCTTTGGGGATTTCGCTGGAAGCGGGAATACATATAAAAAGCACACAGCAGCGTTCTGAGAAACTGCTTTCTGATGTTTGCATTCAAGTCAAAAGTTGAACACTCCCTTTCATAGAGCAGTCTTGAAACACCCCTTTTGTAGTATCTGGAACTGGACATTTGGAGCGCTTTCAGGGCTAAGGTGAAAAAGGAAATATCTTCCCATAAAAACTGGACAGAAGCATTCTCAGAAACTTGTTTATGCTGTATCTACTCTACTAACAAAGTTGAACCTTTCTTTTGATAGAGCAGTTTTGAAATGCTCTTTTTGTGGAATCTGTAAGTGGATATTTGGCTAGTTTTGAGGATTTCGTTGGAAGCTGGAATTCATGCAAATTGCAGACTGCAGCGTTCTGAGAAACATCTTTGTGATGTTTGTATTCAGGACACAGAGTTGAACTTTCCCTATCATAGAGCAGGTTGGAATCACTCCTTTTGCAGTATCTGGAAGTGGACATTTGGAGCGCTTTCAGGCCTATTTTGGAAAGGGAAATATCTTCCCGTAACAACTAGGCAGAAGCATTCTCTGAAACTTATTTGAGATGTGTGTACTCAACTAAGAGAATTGAACCACCGTTTTGAAGGAGCAGTTTTGAAACACTCTTTTTCTGGAATCTGCTAGAGGATATTTGCCTAGCTTTGAGGATTTCGTTGGAAACGGGATTGTCTTCAGATCAAATCTAGACAGAAGCATTCTCAGAAACTTCTTTGGGATGTTTGTATTCAAGTCACAGAGTAGAACATGCCCTTTGGTAGAGCAGGTTTGAAACACTCTTTTTTTAGTATATGGAAGTGGACATTTGGAGCGCTTTCAGGCCTACGTTGGAAAAGGAAATATCTTCCCATAACAACTAGACAGAAGCATTCTCAGAAACTAGTTTCTGATGTGTGTCCTCAGGTAACACAGTTGAACTTTTCTTTAGACAGAAGAGTTTTGAAACACTCTTTTTGTGGAATCTGCAAGTGGATATTGGGCTAGATTTGAGGATTTAGTTGGAAACGGGATTACATATAAAAAGCAGACAGGCAGCATTCTCAGAAAGTTCTTTGTGATGATTGCATTCAAGTCACAGAATTGAACATTCCCTTTCACAGAGCAGGTTTGAAACCCTCTTTTTGTAGTGTGTGTAAGTGGACATTTGGAGCGCTTTCCGGCCTAAGGTGAAAAAGGAAATATCTTCCCATAAAAACTAGACAGAAGCATTCTCAGAAACTTACTCGTGATGTGTGTCCTCAACTAAAGGAGTAGAACCTTTCTTTTCATAGAGAAGTTTTGAAACGCTCTTTTTGTGGAATCTGCAAGTGGATATTTGGCTAGTTTTGAGGATTTCGTTGGAAGCGGGAATTCATACAAATTGCAGACTGCAGCGTTCTGAGAAACATCTTTGTGATGTTTGTATTCAGGACACAGAGAGGAACATTCCCTATCATAGAGCAGGTTGGAATCACTCCTTTTGTAGTATCTGGAAGTGGACATTTGGAGCGCTTTCAGGCCTATGTTGAAAAAGGAAATATCTTCCCATAACAACTAGACACAAGCATTCTCAGAAACTTGTTTGTGATGTGTGCCCTCTACTGACAGAGTTGAACCTTTCTTTTCATAGAGCAGTTTTGAAACACTCTTTTTGTAGAATCTGCAAGAGGATATTTGCATAGCTTTGAGGATTTCGTGGGAAACGGGATTGTCTTCAGGTAAAATCTAGACAGAAGCATTCTCAGAAACTTCTTTGGGATGTTTGCATTCAAGTCACAGAGTAGAACATTCCCTTTGGTAGAGCAGGTTTGAAACCCTCTTTTTGTAGTATCTGGAAGTGGACATTTGGAGCGCTTTCAGGCCCATGTTGGAAAGGGAAATATCTTCCCGTAACAACTAGGCAGAAGCATTCTCAGAAACTTATTTGAGATGTGTGTACTCAACTAAGAGAATTGAACCACCGTTTTGAAGGAGCAGTTTTGAAACACTCTTTTTCTGGAATCTGCAAGAGTATATTTGCCTAGCCTTGAGGATTTCGTTGGAAACGGGATTGTCTTCAGATAAAATCTAGACAGAAGCATTCTCAGAAACTTCTTTGGGATGTTTGCATTCAAGTCACAGAGTAGAACATTCCCTTTGGTAGAGCAGGTTTGAAACACTCTTTTTTTAGTATATGGAAATGGACATTTGGAGCGCTTTCAGGCCTACGTTGGAAAAGGAAATATCTTCCCATAACAACTAGACAGAAGCATTCTCAGAAACTAGTTTCTGATGTGTGTCCTCAACTAACACAGTTGAACTTTTCTTTAGACAGAACAGTTTTGAAACACTCTTTTTGTGGAATCTGCAAGTGGATATTTGGCTAGATTTGAGGATTTCGTTGGAAACGGGATTACATATAAAAAGCAGACAGCAGCATTCTCAGAAAGTTCTTTGTGATGATTGCATTCAAGTCACAGAATTGAACATTCCCTTTCACAGAGCAGGTTTGAAACACTCTTTTTGTAGTGTGTGTAAGTGGACATTTGGAGCACTTTCCGGCCTAAGGTGAAAAAGGAAATATCTTCCCATACAAACTAGACAGAAGCATTCTCAGAAACTTACTCGTGATGTGTGTCCTCAACTAAAGGAGTAGAACCTTTCTATTCATAGAGAAGGTTTGAAACGCTCTTTTTGTGGAATCTCCAAGTGGATATTTGGCTAGTTTTGAGGATTTCGTTGGATGCGGGAATTCATACAAATTGCAGACTGCAGCGTTCTGAGAAACATCTTTGTGATGTTTGTATTCAGGACACAGAGATGAACATTCCCTATCATAGAGCAGGTTGGAATCACTCCTTTTGTAGTATCTGGAAGTGGACATTTGGAGCGCTTTCAGGCCTATGTTGAAAAAGGAAATATCTTCCCATAACAACTAGACACAAGCATTCTCAGAAACTTGTTTGTGATGTGTGCCCTCTACTGACAGAGTTGAACCTTTCTTTTCATAGAGCAGTTTTGAAACACTCTTTTTGTAGAATCTGCAAGAGGATATTTGCATAGCTTTGAGGATTTCGTGGGAAACGGGATTGTCTTCAGGTAAAATCTAGACAGAAGCATTCTCAGAAACTTCTTTGGGATGTTTGCATTCAAGTCACAGAGTAGAACATTCCCTTTGGTAGAGCAGGTTTGAAACACTCTTTTTGTAGTATCTGGAAGTGGACATTTGGAGCGCTTTCAGGCCTATGTTGGAAAGGGAAATATCTTCCCGTAACAACTAGGCAGAAGCATTCTCAGAAACTTATTTGAGATGTGTGTACTCAACTAAGAGAATTGAACCACCGTTTTGAAGGAGCAGTTTTGAAACACTCTTTTTCTGGAATCTGCAAGAGTATATTTGCCTAGCCTTGAGGATTTCGTTGGAAACGGGATTGTCTTCAGATAAAATGTAGACAGAAGCATTCTCAGAAACTTCTTTGGGATGTTTGCATTCAAGTCACAGAGTAGAACATTCCCTTTGGTAGAGCAGGTTTGAAACACTCTTTTTTTAGTATATGGAAGTGGACATTTGGAGCGCTTTCAGGCCTACGTTGGAAAAGGAAATATCTTCCCATAACAACTAGACAGAAGCATTCTCAGAAACTAGTTTCTGATGTGTGTCCTCAACTAACACAGTTGAACATTTCTTTAGACAGAACAGTTTTGAAACACTCTTTTTGTGGAATCTGCAAGTGGCTATTTGGCTAGATTTGAGGATTTCGTTGGAAACGGGATTACATATAAAAAGCAGTCAGCAGCATTCTCAGAAAGTTCTTTGTGATGATTGCATTCAAGTCACAGAATTGAACATTCCCTTTCACAGAGCAGGTTTGAAACACTCTTTTTGTAGTGTGTGTAAGTGGACATTTGGAGCACTTTCCGGCCTAAGGTGAAAAAGGAAATATCTTCCCATACAAACTAGACAGAAGCATTCTCAGAAACTTACTCGTGATGTGTGTCCTCAACTAAAGGAGTAGAACCTTTCTTTTCATAGAGAAGTTTTGAAACGCTCTTTTTGTGGAATCTGCAAGTGGATATTTGGCTAGTTTTGAGGATTTCGTTGGAAGCGGGAATTCATACAAATTGCAGACTGCAGCGTTCTGAGAAACATCTTTGTGATGTTTGTATTCAGGACACAGAGTTGAACATTCCCTATCATAGAGCAGGTTTGAATCACTCCTTTTCTAGTATCTGGAAGTGGACATTTGGAGCGCTTTCAGGCCTATGTTGGAAAAGGAAATATCTTCCCATAACAAATAGACAGAAGCATTCTCAGAAACTTATTTGAGATGTGTGTACTCAACTAAGAGAATTGAACCACCGTTTTGAAGGAGCAGTTTTGAAACACTCTTTTTCTGGAATCTGCAAGTGGATATTTGGCTAGCTTTGGGGATTTCGCTGGAAGCGGGAATACATATAAAAAGCACACAGCAGCGTTCTGAGAAACTGCTTTCTGATGTTTGCATTCAAGTCAAAAGTTGAACACTCCCTTTCATAGAGCAGTCCTGAAACACTCCTTTTGTAGTATCTGGAACTGGACTTTTGGAGCGCTTTCAGGGCTAAGGTGAAAAAGGAAATATCTTCCCATAAAAACTGGACAGAAGCATTCTCAGAAACTTGTTTATGCTGTATCTACTCAACTAACAAAGTTGAACCTTTCTTTTGATAGAGCAGTTTTGAAATGCTCTTTTTGTGGAATCTGCAAGTGGATATTTGGCTAGTTTTGAGGATTTCGTTGGAAGCGGGAATTCATACAAATTGCAGACTGCAGCGTTCTGAGAAACATCTTTGTGATGTTTGTATTCAGGACACAGAGTTGAACATTCCCTATCATAGAGCAGGTTGGAATCACTCCTTTTGTAGTATCTGGAAATGGACATTTGGAGCGCTTTCAGGCCTATTTTGAAAAAGGAAATATCTTCCCGTAACAACTATGCAGAAGCATTCTCAGAAACTTGTTTGTGATGTGTGCCCTCTACTGACAGAGTTGAACCTTTCTTTTCATAGAGCAGTTTTGAAACACTCTTTTTGTAGAATCTGCAAGAGGATATTTGCATAGCTTTGAGGATTTCGTGGGAAACGGGATTGTCTTCAGGTAAAATCTAGACAGAAGCATTCTCAGAAACTTCTTTGGGATGTTTGCATTCAAGTCACAGAGTAGAACATTCCCTTTGGTAGAGCAGGTTTGAAACACTCTTTTTTTAGTATCTGGAAGTGGACATTTGGAGCGCTTTCAGGCCCATGTTGGAAAGGGAAATATCTTCCCGTAACAACTAGGCAGAAGCATTCTCAGAAACTTATTTGAGATGTGTGTACTCAACTAAGAGAATTGAACCACCGTTTTGAAGGAGCAGTTTTGAAACACTCTTTTTCTGGAATCTGCAAGAGTATATTTGCCTAGCCTTGAGGATTTCGTTGGAAACGGGATTGTCTTCAGAGAAAATCTAGACAGAAGTATTCTCAGAAACTTCTTTGGGATGTTTGCATTCAAGTCACAGAGTAGAACATTCCCTTTGGTAGAGCAGGTTTGAAACACTCTTTTTGTAGTATCTGGAAGTGGACATTTGGAGCGCTTTCAGGCCTACGTTGGAAAAGGAAATATCTTCCCATAACAACTAGACAGAAGCATTCTCAGAAACTAGTTTCTGATGTGTGTCCTCAACTAACACAGTTGAACATTTCTTTAGACAGAACAGTTTTGAAACACTCTTTTTGTGGAATCTGCAAGTGGCTATTTGGCTAGATTTGAGGATTTCGTTGGAAACGGGATTACATATAAAAAGCAGTCAGCAGCATTCTCAGAAAGTTCTTTGTGATGATTGCATTCAAGTCACAGAATTGAACATTCCCTTTCACAGAGCAGGTTTGAAACACTCTTTTTGTAGTGTGTGTAAGTGGACATTTGGAGCACTTACCGGCCTAAGGTGAAAAAGGAAATATCTTCCCATAAAAACTAGACAGAAGCATTCTCAGAAACTTACTCGTGATGTGTGTCCTCAACTAAAGGAGTAGAACCTTTCTTTTCATAGAGAAGTTTTGAAACGCTCTTTTTGTGGAATCTGCAAGTGGATATTTGGCTAGTTTTGAGGATTTCGTTGGAAGCGGGAATTCATACAAATTGCAGACTGCAGCGTTCTGAGAAACATCTTTGTGATGTTTGTATTCAGGACACAGAGTTGAACATTCCCTATCATAGAGCAGGTTGGAATCACTCCTTTTGTAGTATCTGGAAGTGGACATTTGGAGCGCTTTCAGGCCTATGTTGGAAAAGGAAATATCTTCCCATAACAACTAGACAGAAGCATTCTCAGAAACTTATTTGAGATGTGTGTACTCAACTAAGAGAATTGAACCACCGTTTTGAAGGAGCAGTTTTGAAACTCTCTTTTTCTGGAATCTGCAAGTGGATATTTGGCTAGCTTTGGGGATTTCGCTGGAAGCGGGAATACATATAAAAAGCACACAGCAGCGTTCTGAGAAACTGCTTTCTGATGTTTGCATTCAAGTCAAAAGTTGAACACTCCCTTTCATAGAGCAGTCTTGAAACACCCCTTTTGTAGTATCTGGACCTGGACTTTTGGAGCGATTTCAGGGCTAAGGTGAAAAAGGAAATATCTTCCCATAAAAACTGGACAGAAGCATTCTCAGAAACTTGGTTATGCTGTATCTACTCAACTAACAAAGTTGAACCTTTCTTTTGATAGAGCAGTTTTGAAATGGTCTTTTTGTGGAATCTGCAAGTGGATATTTGGCTAGTTTTGAGGATTTCGTTGGAAGCGGGAATTCATACAAATTGCAGACTGCAGCGTTCTGAGAAACATCTTTGTGATGTTTGTATTCAGGACACAGAGATGAACATTCCCTATCATACAGCAGGTTGGAATCACTCCTTTTGTAGTATCTGGAAGTGGACATTTGGAGCGCTTTCAGGCCTATGTTGAAAAAGGAAATATCTTCCCATAACAACTAGACACAAGCATTCTCAGAAACTTGTTTGTGATGTGTGCCCTCTACTGACAGAGTTGAACCTTTCTTTTCATAGAGCAGTTTTGAAACACTCTTTTTGTAGAATCTGCAAGAGGATATTTGCATAGCTTTGAGGATTTCGTGGGAAACGGGATTGTCTTCAGGTAAAATCTAGACAGAAGCATTCTCAGCAAACTTCTTTGGGATGTTTACATTCAAGTCACAGAGTAGAACATTCCCTTTGGTAGAGCAGGTTTGAAACCCTCTTTTTGTAGTATCTGGAAGTGGACATTTGGAGCGCTTTCTGGCCCATGTTGCAAAGGGAAATATCTTCCCGTAACAACTAGGCAGAAGCATTCTCAGAAACTTATTTGAGATGTGTGTACTCAACTAAGAGAATTGAACCACCGTTTTGAAGGAGCAGTTTTGAAACACTCTTTTTCTGGAATCTGCAAGAGGATATTTGCCTAGCCTTGAGGATTTCGTTGGAAACGGGATTGTCTTCAGATCAAATCTAGACAGAAGCATTCTCAGAAACTTCTTTGGGATGTTTGCATTCAAGTCACAGAGTAGAACATTCCCTTTGGTAGAGCAGGTTTGAAACACTCTTTTTTTAGTATATGGAAGTGGACATTTGGAGCGCTTTCAGGCCTACGTTGGAAAAGGAAATATCTTCCCATAACAACTAGACAGAAGCATTCTCAGAAACTAGTTTCTGATGTGTGTCCTCAACTAACACAGTTGAACATTTCTTTAGACAGAACAGTTTTGAAACTCTCTTTTTGTGGAATCTGCAAGTGGCTATTTGGCTAGATTTGAGGATTTCGTTGGAAACGGGATTACATATAAAAAGCAGACAGCAGCATTCTCAGAAAGTTCTTTGTGATGATTGCATTCAAGTCACAGAATTGAACATTCCCTTTCACAGAGCAGGTTTGAAACACTCTTTTTATAGTGTGTGTAAGTGGACATTTGGAACACTTTCCGGCCTAAGGTGAAAAAGGAAATATCTTCCCATAAAAACTAGACAGAAGCATTCTCAGAAACTTACTCGTGATGTGTGTCCTCAACTAAAGGAGTAGAACCTTTCTTTTCATAGAGAAGTTTTGAAACGCTCTTTTTGTGGAATCTGCAAGTGGATATTTGGCTAGTTTGGAGGATTTCGTTGGAAGCGGGAATTCATACAAATTGCAGACTGCAGCGTTCTGAGAAACATCTTTGTGATGTTTGTATTCAGGACACAGAGTTGAACATTCCCTATCATAGAGCAGGTTGGAATCACTCCTTTTGTAGTATCTGGAAGTGGACATTTGGAGCGCTTTCAGGCCTATGTTGGAAAAGGAAATATCTTCCCATAACAACTAGACAGAAGCATTCTCAGAAACTTATTTGAGATGTGTGTACTCAACTAAGAGAATTGAACCACCGTTTTGAAGGAGCAGTTTTGAAACACTCTTTTTCTGGAATCTGCAAGTGGATATTTGGCTAGCTTTGGGGATTTCGCTGGAAGCGGGAATTCATATAAAAAGCACACAGCAGCGTTCTGAGAAACTGCTTTCTGATGTTTGCATTCAAGTCAAAAGTTGAACACTCCCTTTCATAGAGCAGTCTTGAAACACCCCTTTTGTAGTATCGGGAACTGGACATTTGGAGCGCTTTCAGGGCTAAGGTGAAAAAGGAAATATCTTCCCATAAAAACTGGACAGAAGCATTCTCAGAAACTTGTTTATGCTGTATCTACTCAACTAACAAAGTTGAACCTTTCTTTTGATAGAGCAGTTTTGAAATGCTCTTTTTGTGGAATCTGCAAGTGGATATTTGGCTAGGTTTGAGGATTTCGTTGGAAGCGGGAATTCATACAAATTGCAGACTGCAGCGTTCTGAGAAACGTCTTTGTGATGTTTGTATTCAGGACACAGAGTTGAACATTCCCTATCATAGAGAAGGCTGGAATCACTCCTTTTGTACTATCTGGAAGTGGACATTTGGAGCGCTTTCAGGCCTATGTTGAAAAAGGAAATATCTTCCCATAACAACTAGACAGAAGCATTCTCAGAAACTTATTTGAGATGTGTGTACTCAACTAAGAGAATTGAACCACCGTTTTGAAGGAGCAGTTTTGAAACTCTCTTTTTCTGGAATCTGCAAGTGGATATTTGGCTAGCTTTGGGGATTTCGCTGGAAGCGGGAATACATATAAAAAGCACACAGCAGCGTTCTGAGAAACTGCTTTCTGATGTTTGCATTCAAGTCAAAAGTTGAACACTCCCTTTCATAGAGCAGTCTTGAAACACCCCTTTTGTAGTATCTGGAACTGGACTTTTGGAGCGATTTCAGGGCTAAGGTGAAAAAGGAAATATCTTCCCATAAAAACTGGACAGAAGCATTCTCAGAAACTTGTTTATGCTGTATCTACTCAACTAACAAAGTTGAACCTTTCTTTTGATAGAGCAGTTTTGAAATGGTCTTTTTGTGGAATCTGCAAGTGGATATTTGGCTAGTTTTGAGGATTTCGTTGGAAGCGGGAATTCATACAAATTGCAGACTGCAGCGTTCTGAGAAACATCTTTGTGATGTTTGTATTCAGGACACAGAGTTGAACATTCCCTATCATAGAGCAGGTTGGAATCACTCCTTTTGTAGTATCTGGAAGTGGACATTTGGAGCGCTTTCAGGCCTATTTTGGAAAGGGAAATATCTTCCCGTAACAACTATGCAGAAGCATTCTCAGAAACTTGTTTGTGATGTGTGCCCTCTACTGACAGAGTTGAACCTTTCTTTTCATAGAGCAGTTTTGAAACACTCTTTTTGTAGAATCTGCAAGAGGATATTTGCATAGCTTTGAGGATTTCGTGGGAAACGGGATTGTCTTCAGGTAAAATCTAGACAGAAGCATTCTCAGAAACTTCTTTGGGATGTTTGCATTCAAGTCGCAGAGTAGAACATTCCCTTTGGTAGAGCAGGTTTGAAACACTCTTTTTGTAGTATCTGGAAGTGGACATTTGGAGCGCTTTCAGGCCTATGTTGGAAAGGGAAATATCTTCCCGTAACAACTAGGCAGAAGCATTCTCAGAAACTTATTTGAGATGTGTGTACTCAACTAAGAGAATTGAACCACCGTTTTGAAGGAGCAGTTTTGAAACACTCTTTTTCTGGAATCTGCAAGAGGATATTTGCCTAGCCTTGAGGATTTCGTTGGAAACGGGATTGTCTTCAGATCAAATCTAGACAGAAGCATTCTCAGAAACTTCTTTGGGATGTTTGCATTCAAGTCACAGAGTAGAACATTCCCTTTGGTAGAGCAGGTTTGAAACACTCTTTTTTTAGTATATGGAAGTGGACATTTGGAGCGCTTTCAGGCCTATGTTGGAAAAGGAAATATCTTCCCATAACAACTAGACAGAAGCATTCTCAGAAACTAGTTTCTGATGTGTGTCCTCAACTAACACAGTTGAACATTTCTTTAGACAGAACAGTTTTGAAACACTCTTTTTGTGGAATCTGCAAGTGGCTATTTGGCTAGATTTGAGGATTTCGTTGGAAACGGGATTACATATAAAAAGCAGACAGCAGCATTCTCAGAAAGTTCTTTGTGATGATTGCATTCAAGTCACAGAATTGAACATTCCCTTTCACAGAGCAGGTTTGAAACACTCTTTTTGTAGTGTGTGTAAGTGGACATTTGGAGCACTTTCCGGCCTAAGGTGAAAAAGGAAATATCTTCCCATAAAAACTAGACAGAAGCATTCTCAGAAACTTACTCGTGATGTGTGTCCTCAACTAAAGGAGTAGAACCTTTCTTTTCATAGAGAAGTTTTGAAACGCTCTTTTTGTGGAATCTGCAAGTGGATATTTGGCTAGTTTGGAGGATTTCGTTGGAAGCGGGAATTCATACAAATTGCAGACTGCAGCGTTCTGAGAAACATCTTTGTGATGTTTGTATTCAGGACACAGGGTTGAACATTCCCTATCATAGAGCAGGTTTGAATCACTCCTTTTGTAGTATCTGGAAGTGGACATTTGGAGCGCTTTCAGGCCTATGTTGGAAAAGGAAATATCTTCCCATAACAACTAGACAGAAGCATTCTCAGAAACTTATTTGAGATGTGTGTACTCAACTAAGAGAATTGAACCACCGTTTTGAAGGAGCAGTTTTGAAACTCTCTTTTTCTGGAATCTGCAAGTGGATATTTGGCTAGCTTTGGGGATTTCGCTGGAAGCGGGAATACATATAAAAAGCACACAGCAGCGTTCTGAGAAACTGCTTTCTGATGTTTGCATTCAAGTCAAAAGTTGAACACTCCCTTTCATAGAGCAGTCTTGAAACACCCCTTTTGTAGTATCTGGAACTGGACTTTTGGAGCGATTTCAGGGCTAAGGTGAAAAAGGAAATATCTTCCCATAAAAACTGGACAGAAGCATTCTCAGAAACTTGGTTATGCTGTATCTACTCAACTAACAAAGTTGAACCTTTCTTTTGATAGAGCAGTTTTGAAATGGTCTTTTTGTGGAATCTGCAAGTGGATATTTGGCTAGTTTTGAGGATTTCGTTGGAAGCGGGAATTCATACAAATTGCAGACTGCAGCGTTCTGAGAAACATCTTTGTGATGTTTGTATTCAGGACACAGAGATGAACATTCCCTATCATAGAGCAGGTTGGAATCACTCCTTTTGTAGTATCTGGGACATTTGGAGAGCTTTCAGGCCTATGTTGAAAAAGGAAATATCTTCCCATAACAACTAGACACAAGCATTCTCAGAAACTTGTTTGTGATGTGTGCCCTCTACTGACAGAGTTCAACCTTTCTTTTCATAGAGCAGTTTTGAAACACTCTTTTTGTAGAATCTGCAAGAGGATATTTGCATAGCTTTGAGGATTTCGTGGGAAACGGGATTGTCTTCAGGTAAAATCTAGACAGAAGCATTCTCAGAAACTTCTTTGGGATGTTTGCATTCAAGTCACAGAGTAGAACATTCCCTTTGGTAGAGCAGGTTTGAAACACTCTTTTTTTAGTATATGGAAGTGGACATTTGGAGCGCTTTCAGGCCTACGTTGGAAAAGGAAATATCTTCCCATAACAACTAGACAGAAGCATTCTCAGAAACTAGTTTCTGATGTGTGTCCTCAACTAACACAGTTGAACTTTTCTTTAGACAGAACAGTTTTGAAACACTCTTTTTGTGGAATCTGCAAGTGGATATTTGGCTAGATTTGAGGATTTCGTTGGAAACGGGATTACATATAAAAAGCAGACAGCAGCATTCTCAGAAAGTTCTTTGTGATGATTGCATTCAAGTCACAGAATTGAACATTCCCTTTCACAGAGCAGGTTTGAAACCCTCTTTTTGTAGTGTGTGTAAGTGGACATTTGGAGCGCTTTCCGGCCTAAGGTGAAAAAGGAAATATCTTCCCATAAAAACTAGACAGAAGCATTCTCAGAAACTTACTCGTGATGTGTGTCCTCAACTAAAGGAGTAGAACATTTCTATTCATAGAGAAGTTTTGAAACGCTCTTTTTGTGGAATCTGCAAGTGGATATTTGGCTAGTTTTGAGGATTTCGTTGGAAGCGGAAATTCATACAAATTGCAGACTGCAGCGTTCTGAGAATCATCTTTGTGATGTTTGTATTCAGGACACAGAGATGAACATTCCCTATCATAGAGTAGGTTGGAATCACTCCTTTTGTAGTATCTGGAAGTGGACATTTGGAGCGCTTTCAGTCCTATGTTGAAAAAGGAAATATCTTCCCATAACAACTAGACACAAGCATTCTCAGAAACTTGTTTGTGATGTGTGCCCTCTACTGACAGAGTTGAACCTTTCTTTTCATAGAGCAGTTTTGAAACACTCTTTTTGTAGAATCTGCAAGAGGATATTTGCATAGCTTTGAGGATTCCGTGGGAAACGGGATTGTCTTCAGGTAAAATCTAGACAGAAGCATTCTCAGAAACTTCTTTGGGATGTTTGCATTCAAGTCACAGAGTAGAACATTCCCTTTGGTAGAGCAGGTTTGAAACACTCTTTTTGTAGTATCTGGAAGTGGACATTTGGAGCACTTTCAGGCCCATGTTGGAAAGGGAAATATCTTCCCGTAACAACTAGGCAGAAGCATTCTCAGACACTTATTTGAGATGTGTGTACTCAACTAAGAGAATTGAACCACCGTTTTGAAGGAGCAGTTTTGAAACACTCTTTTTCTGGAATCTGCAAGAGTATATTTGCCTAGCCTTGAGGATTTCGTTGGAAACGGGATTGTCTTCAGATCAAATCTAGACAGAAGCATTCTCAGAAACTTCTTTGGGATGTTTGCATTCAAGTCACAGATTAGAACATTCCCTTTGGTAGAGCAGGTTTGAAACACTCTTTTTTTAGTATCTGGAAGTGGACATTTGGAGCGCTTTCAGAGCACTACGTTGGAAAAGGAAATATCTTCCCATAACAACTAGACAGAAGCATTCTCAGAAACTAGTTTCTGATGTGTGTCCTCAACTAACACAGTTGAACTTTTCTTTAGACAGAACAGTTTTGAAACACTCTTTTTGTGGAATCTGCAAGTGGATATTTGGCTAGATTTGAGGATTTCGTTGGAAACGGGATTACATATAAAAAGCAGACAGCAGCATTCTCAGAAAGTTCTTTGTGATGATTGCATTCAAGTCACAGAATTGAACATTCCCTTTCACAGAGCAGGTTTGAAACACTCTTTTTGTAGTGTGTGTAAGTGGACATTTGGAGCGCTTTCCGGCCTAAGGTGAAAAAGGAAATATCTTCCCATAAAAACTAGACAGAAGCATTCTCAGAAACTTACTCGTGATGTGTGTCCTCAACTAAAGGAGTAGAACCTTTCTATTCGTAGAGAAGCTTTGAAATGCTCTTTTTGTGGAATCTCCAAGTGGATATTTGGCTAGTTTTGAGGATTTCGTTGGAAGCGGGAATTCATACAAATTGCAGACTGCAGCGTTCTGAGAAACATCTTTGTGATGTTTGTATTCAGGACACAGAGAGGAACATTCCCTATCATAGAGCAGGTTGGAATCACTCCTTTTGTAGTATCTGGAAGTGGACATTTGGAGCGCTTTCAGGCCTATGTTGAAAAAGGAAATATCTTCCCATAACAACTAGACACAAGCATTCTCAGAAACTTGTTTGTGATGTGTGCCCTCTACTGACAGAGTTGAACCTTTCTTTTCATAGAGCAGTTTTGAAACACTCTTTTTGTAGAATCTGCAAGAGGATATTTGCATAGCTTTGAGGATTTCGTGGGAAACGGGATTGTCTTCAGGTAAAATCTAGACAGAAGCATTCTCAGAAACTTCTTTGGGATGTTTGCATTCAAGTCACAGAGTAGAACATTCCCTTTGGTAGAGCAGGTTTGAAACACTCTTTTTGTAGTATCTGGAAGTGGACATTTGGAGCGCTTTCAGGCCTATGTTGGAAAGGGAAATATCTTCCCGTAACAACTAGGCAGAAGCATTCTCAGAAACTTATTTGAGATGTGTGTACTCAACTAAGAGAATTGAACCACCGTTTTGAAGGAGCAGTTTTGAAACACTCTTTTTCTGGAATCTGCAAGAGTATATTTGCCTAGCCTTGAGGATTTCGTTGGAAACGGGATTGTCTTCAGAGAAAATCTAGACAGAAGCATTCTCAGAAACTTCTTTGGGATGTTTGCATTCAAGTCACAGAGTAGAACATTCCCTTTGGTAGAGCAGGTTTGAAACACTCTTTTTTTAGTATATGGAAGTGGACATTTGGATCGCTTTCAGGCCTACGTTGGAAAAGGAAATATCTTCCCATAACAACTAGACAGAAGCATTCTCAGAAACTAGTTTCTGATGTGTGTCCTCAACTAACACAGTTGAACATTTCTTTAGACAGAACAGTTTTGAAACACTCTTTTTGTGGAATCTGCAAGTGGCTATTTGGCTAGATTTGAGGATTTCGTTGGAAACGGGATTACATATAAAAAGCAGTCAGCAGCATTCTCAGAAAGTTCTTTGTGATGATTGCATTCAAGTCACAGAATTGAACATTCCCTTTCACAGAGCAGGTTTGAAACACTCTTTTTGTAGTGTGTGTAAGTGGACATTTGGAGCACTTACTGGCCTAAGGTGAAAAGGGAAATATCTTCCCATAAAAACTAGACAGAAGCATTCTCAGAAACTTACTCGTGATGTGTGTCCTCAACTAAAGGAGTAGAACCTTTCTTTTCATAGAGAAGTTTTGAAACGCTCTTTTTGTGGAATCTGCAAGTGGATATTTGGCTAGTTTTGAGGATTTCGTTGGAAGCGGGAATTCATACAAATTGCAGACTGCAGCGTTCTGAGAAACATCTTTGTGATGTTTGTATTCAGGACACAGAGTTGAACATTCCCTATCATAGAGCAGGTTTGAATCACTCCTTTTGTAGTATCTGGAAGTGGACATTTGGAGCGCTTTCAGGCCTATGTTGGAAAAGGAAATATCTTCCCATAACAACTAGACAGAAGCATTCTCAGAAACTTATTTGAGATGTGTGTACTCAACTAAGAGAATTGAACCACCGTTTTGAAGGAGCAGTTTTGAAACTCTCTTTTTCTGGAATCTGCAAGTGGATATTTGGCTAGCTTTGGGGATTTCGCTGGAAGCGGGAATACATATAAAAAGCACACAGCAGCGTTCTGAGAAACTGCTTTCTGATGTTTGCATTCAAGTCAAAAGTTGAACACTCCCTTTCATAGAGCAGTCCTGAAACACCCCTTTTGTAGTATCTGGAACTGGACTTTTGGAGCGATTTCAGGGCTAAGGTGAAAAAGGAAATATCTTCCCATAAAAACTGGACAGAAGCATTCTCAGAAACTTGTTTATGCTGTATCTACTCAACTAACAAAGTTGAACCTTTCTTTTGATAGAGCAGTTTTGAAATGGTCTTTTTGTGGAATCTGCAAGTGGATATTTGGCTAGTTTTGAGGATTTCGTTGGAAGCGGGAATTCATACAAATTGCAGACTGCAGCGTTCTGAGAAACATCTTTGTGATGTTTGTATTCAGGACACAGAGTTGAACATTCCCTATCATAGAGCAGGTTGGAATCACTCCTTTTGTAGTATCTGGAAGTGGACATTTGGAGCGCTTTCAGGCCTATTTTGGAAAGGGAAATATCTTCCCGTAACAACTATGCAGAAGCATTCTCAGAAACTTGTTTGTGATGTGTGCCCTCTACTGACAGAGTTGAACCTTTCTTTTCATAGAGCAGTTTTGAAACACTCTTTTTGTAGAATCTGCAAGAGGATATTTGCATAGCTTTGAGGATTTCGTGGGAAACGGGATTGTCTTCAGGTAAAATCTAGATAGAAGCATTCTCAGAAACTTCTTTGGGATGTTTGCATTCAAGTCACAGAGTAGAACATTCCCTTTGGTAGAGCAGGTTTGAAACACTCTTTTTGTAGTATCTGGAAGTGGACATTTGGAGCGCTTTCAGGCCTATGTTGGAAAGGGAAATATCTTCCCTTAACAACTAGGCAGAAGCATTCTCAGAAACTTATTTGAGATGTTTGTACTCAACTAAGAGAATTGAACCACCCTTTTGAAGGCGCAGTTTTGAAACACTCTTTTTCTGGAATCTGCAAGAGTATATTTGCCTAGCTTTGAGGATTTCGTTGGAAACGGGATTGTCTTCAGATCAAATCTAGACAGAAGCATTCTCAGAAACTTCTTTGGGATGTTTGCATTCAAGTCACAGAGTAGAACATTCCCTTTGGTAGAGCAGGTTTGAAACACTCTTTTTTTCGTATATGGAAGTGGACATTTGGAGCGCTTTCAGGCCTACGTTGGAAAAGGAAATATCTTCCCATAACAACTAGACAGAAGCATTCTCAGAAACTAGTTTCTGATGTGTGTCCTCAACTGACACAGTTGTACATTTCTTTAGACAGAACAGTTTTGAAACACTCTTTTTGTGGAATCTGCAAGTGGATATTGGGCTAGATTTGAGGATTTCGTTGGAAACGGGATTACATATAAAAAGCAGTCAGCAGCATTCTCAGAAAGTTCTTTGTGATGATTGCATTCAAGTCACAGAATTGAACATTCCCTTTCAAAGAGCAGGTTTGAAACACTCTTTTTGTAGTGTGTGTAAGTGGACATTTGGAGCGCTTTCCGGCCTAAGGTGAAAAAGGACATATCTTCCCATAAAAACTAGACGGAAGCATCCTCAGAAACTTACTCGTGATGTGTGTCCTCAACTAAAGGAGTAGAACCTTTCTATTCATAGAGAAGTTTTGAAACGCTCTTTTTGTGGAATCTCCAAGTGGATATTTGGCTAGTTTTGAGGATTTCGTTGGAAGCGGGAATTCATACAAATTGCAGACTGCAGCGTTCTGAGAAACATCTTTGTGATGTTTGTATTCAGGACACAGAGTTGAACATTCCCTATCATAGAGCAGGTTGGAATCACTCCTTTTGTAGTATCTGGAAGTGGACATTTGGAGCGCTTTCAGGCCTATGTTGATAAAGGAAATATCTTCCCATAACAACTAGACACAAGCATTCTCAGAAACTTGTTTGTGATGTGTGCCCTCTACTGACAGAGTTGAACCTTTCTTTTCATAGAGCAGTTTTGAAACACTCTTTTTGTAGAATCTGCAAGAGGATATTTGCATAGCTTTGAGGATTTCGTGGGAAACGGGATTGTCTTCAGGTAAAATCTAGACAGAAGCATTCTCAGAAACTTCTTTGGGATGTTTGCATTCAAGTCACAGAGTAGAACATTCCCTTTGGTAGAGCAGGTTTGAAACACTCTTTTTGTAGTATCTGGAAGTGGACATTTGGAGCGCTTTCAGGCCTATGTTGGAAAGGGAAATATCTTCCCGTAACAACTAGGCAGAAGCATTCTCAGAAACTTATTTGAGATGTGTGTACTCAACTAAGAGAATTGAACCACAGTTTTGAAGGAGCAGTTTTGAAACACTCTTTTTCTGGAATCTGCAAGAGGATATTTGCCTAGCCTTGAGGATTTCGTTGGAAACGGGATTGTCTTCAGATCAAATCTAGACAGAAGCATTCTCAGAAACTTCTTTGGGATGTTTGCATTCAAGTCACAGAGTAGAACATTCCCTTTGGTAGAGCAGGTTTGAAACACTCTTTTTTTAGTATATGGAAGTGGACATTTGGAGCGCTTTCAGGCCTACGTTGGAAAAGGAAATATCTTCCCATAACAACTAGACAGAAGCATTCTCAGAAACTAGTTTCTGATGTGTGTCCTCAACTAACACAGTTGAACATTTCTTTAGACAGAACAGTTTTGAAACACTCTTTTTGTGGAATCTGCAAGTGGCTATTTGGCTAGATTTGAGGATTTCGTTGGAAACGGGATTACATATAAAAAGCAGACAGCAGCATTCTCAGAAAGTTCTTTGTGATGATTGCATTCAAGTCACAGAATTGAACATTCCCTTTCACAGAGCAGGTTTGAAACACTCTTTTTGTAGTGTGTGTAAGTGGACATTTGGAGCACTTTCCGGCCTAAGGTGAAAAAGGAAATATCTTCCCATAAAAACTAGACACAAGCATTCTCAGAAACTTACTCGTGATGTGTGTCCTCCACTAAATGAGTAGAACCTTTCTTTTCATAGAGAAGTTTTGAAACGCTCTTTTTGTAGAATCTGCAAGAGGATATTTGCATAGCTTTGAGGATTTCGTGGGAAACGGGATTGTCTTCAGGTAAAATCTAGAGAGAAGCATTCTCAGAAACTTCTTTGGGATGTTTGCATTCAAGTCACAGAGTAGAACATTCCCTTTGGTAGAGCAGGTTTGAAACACTCTTTTTGTAGTATCTGGAAGTGGACATTTGGAGCGCTTTCAGGCCTATGTTGGAAAGGGAAATATCTTCCCGTAACAACTAGGCAGAAGCATTCTCAGAAACTTATTTGAGATGTGTGTACTCAACTAAGAGAATTGAACCACCGTTTTGAAGGAGCAGTTTTGAAACACTCTTTTTCTGCAATCTGCAAGAGGATATTTGCCTAGCCTTGAGGATTTCGTTGGAAACGGGATTGTCTTCAGATCAAATCTAGACAGAAGCATTCTCAGAAACTTCTTTGGGATGTTTGCATTCAAGTCACAGAGTAGAACATTCCCTTTGGTAGAGCAGGTTTGAAACACTCTTTTTTTAGTATATGGAAGTGGACATTTGGAGCGCTTTCAGGCCTACGTTGGAAAAGGAAATATCTTCCCATAACAACTAGACAGAAGCATTCTCAGAAACTAGTTTCTGATGTGTGTCCTCAACTAACACAGTTGAACATTTCTTTAGACAGAACAGTTTTGAAACACTCTTTTTGTGGAATCTGCAAGTGGCTATTTGGCTAGATTTGAGGATTTCGTTGGAAACGGGATTACATATAAAAAGCAGACAGCAGCATTCTCAGAAAGTTCTTTGTGATGATTGCATTCAAGTCACAGAATTGAACATTCCCTTTCACAGAGCAGGTTTGAAACACTCTTTTTGTAGTGTGTGTAAGTGGACATTTGGAGCACTTTCCGGCCTAAGGTGAAAAAGGAAATATCTTCCCATAAAAACTAGACAGAAGCATTCTCAGAAACTTACTCGTGATGTGTGTCCTCAACTAAAGGAGTAGAACATTCCTTTTCATAGAGAAGTTTTGAAACGCTCTTTTCGTGGAATCTGCAAGTGGATATTTGGCTAGTTTTGAGGATTTCGTTGGAAGCGGGAATTCATACAAATTGCAGACTGCAGCGTTCTGAGAAACATCTTTGTGATGTTTGTATTCAGGACACAGAGTTGAACATTCCCTATCATAGAGCAGGTTGGAATCACTCCTTTTGTAGTATCTGGAAGTGGACATTTGGAGCGCTTTCAGGCCTATGTTGAAAAAGGAAATATCTTCCCATAACAACTAGACACAAGCATTCTCAGAAACTTGTTTGTGATGTGTGCCCGCTACTGACAGAGTTGAACCTTTCTTTTCATAGAGCAGTTTTGAAACACTCTTTGTGTAGAATCTGCAAGAGGATATTTGCATAGCTTTGAGGATTTCGTGGGAAACGGGATTGTCTTCAGGTAAAATCTAGACAGAAGCATTCTCAGAAACTTTTTTGGGATGTTTGCATTCAAGTCACAGAGTAGAACATTCCCTTTGGTAGAGCAGGTTTGAAACACTCTTTTTGTAGTATCTGGAAGTGGACATTTGGAGCACTATCAGGCCCATGTTGGAAAGGGAAATATCTTCCCGTAACAACTAGGCAGAAGCATTCTCAGAAACTTATTTGAGATGTGTGTACTCAACTAAGAGAATTGAACCACCGTTTTGAAGGAGCAGTTTTGAAACACTCTTTTTCTGGAATCTGCAAGAGTATATTTGCCTAGCCTTGAGGATTTCGTTGGAAACGGGATTGTCTTCAGAGAAAATCTAGACAGAAGCATTCTCAGAAACTTCTTTGGGATGTTTGCATTCAAGTCACAGAGTAGAACATTCCCTTTGGTAGAGCAGGTTTGAAACACTCTTTTTTTAGTATCTGGAAGTGGACATTTGGAGCGCTTTCAGGCCTACGTTGGAAAAGGAAATATCTTCCCATAACAACTAGACAGAAGCATTCTCAGAAACTAGTTTCTGATGTGTGTCCTCAACTAACACAGTTGAACATTTCTTTAGACAGAACAGTTTTGAAACACTCTCTTTGTGGAATCTGCAAGTGGCTATTTGGCTAGATTTGAGGATTTCGTTGGAAACGGGATTACATATAAAAAGCAGTCAGCAGCATTCTCAGAAAGTTCTTTGTGATGATTGCATTCAAGTCACAGAATTGAACATTCCCTTTCACAGAGCAGGTTTGAAACACTCTTTTTGTAGTGTGTGTAAGTGGACATTTGGAGCACTTACCGGCCTAAGGTGAAAAAGGAAATATCTTCCCATAAAAACTAGACAGAAGCATTCTCAGAAACTTACTCGTGATGTGTGTCCTCAACTAAAGGAGTAGAACCTTTCTTTTCATAGAGAAGTTTTGAAACGCTCTTTTTGTGGAATCTGCAAGTGGATATTTGGCTAGTTTTGAGGATTTCGTTGGAAGCGGGAATTCATACAAATTGCAGACTGCAGCGTTCTGAGAAACATCTTTGTGATGTTTGTATTCAGGACACAGAGTTGAACATTCCCTATCATAGAGCAGGTTTGAATCACTCCTTTTGTAGTATCTGGAAGTGGACATTTGGAGCGCTTTCAGGCCTATGTTGGAAAAGGAAATATCTTCCCATAACAACTAGACAGAAGCATTCTCAGAAACTTATTTGAGATGTGTGTACTCAACTAAGAGAATTGAACCACCGTTTTGAAGGAGCAGTTTTGAAACTCTCTTTTTCTGGAATCTGCAAGTGGATATTTGGCTAGCTTTGGGGATTTCGCTGGAAGCGGGAATACATATAAAAAGCACACAGCAGCGTTCTGAGAAACTGCTTTCTGATGTTTGCATTCAAGTCAAAAGTTGAACACTCCCTTTCATAGAGCAGTCCTGAAACACCCCTTTTGTAGTATCTGGAACTGGACTTTTGGAGCGATTTCAGGGCTAAGGTGAAAAAGGAAATATCTTCCCATAAAAACTGGACAGAAGCATTCTCAGAAACTTGTTTATGCTGTATCTACTCAACTAACAAAGTTGAACCTTTCTTTTGATAGAGCAGTTTTGAAATGGTCTTTTTGTGGAATCTGCAAGTGGATATTTGGCTAGTTTTGAGGATTTCGTTGGAAGCGGGAATTCATACAAATTGCAGACTGCAGCGTTCTGAGAAACATCTTTGTGATGTTTGTATTCAGGACACAGAGTTGAACATTCCCTATCATAGAGCAGGTTGGAATCACTCCTTTTGTAGTATCTGGAAGTGGACATTTGGAGCGCTTTCAGGCCTATTTTGGAAAGGGAAATATCTTCCCGTAACAACTATGCAGAAGCATTCTCAGAAACTTGTTTGTGATGTGTGCCCTCTACTGACAGAGTTGAACCTTTCTTTTCATAGAGCAGTTTTGAAACACTCTTTTTGTAGAATCTGCAAGAGGATATTTGCATAGCTTTGAGGATTTCGTGGGAAACGGGATTGTCTTCAGGTAAAATCTAGACAGAAGCATTCTCAGAAACTTCTTTGGGATGTTTGCATTCAAGTCACAGAGTAGAACATTCCCTTTGGTAGAGCAGGTTTGAAACACTCTTTTTGTAGTATCTGGAAGTGGACATTTGGAGCGCTTTCAGGCCCATGTTGGAAAGGGAAATATCTTCCCGTAACAACTAGGCAGAAGCATTCTCAGAAACTTATTTGAGATGTGTGTACTCAACTAAGAGAATTGAACCACCGTTTTGAAGGAGCAGTTTTGAAACACTCTTTTTCTGGAATCTGCAAGAGTATATTTGCCTAGCCTTGAGGATTTCGTTGGAAACGGGATTGTCTTCAGAGAAAATCTAGACAGAAGCATTCTCAGAAACTTCTTTGGGATGCTTGCATTCAAGTCACAGAGTAGAACATTCCCTTTGGTAGAGCAGGTTTGAAACACTCTTTTTGTAGTATCTGGAAGTGGACATTTGGAGCGCTTTCAGGCCTACGTTGGAAAAGGAAATATCTTCCCATAACAACTAGACAGAAGCATTCTCAGAAACTAGTTTCTGATGTGTGTCCTCAACTAACACAGTTGAACATTTCTTTAGACAGAACAGTTTTGAAACACTCTTTTTGTGGAATCTGCAAGTGGCTATTTGGCTAGATTTGAGGATTTCGTTGGAAACGGGATTACATATAAAAAGCAGTCAGCGGCATTCTCAGAAAGTTCTTTGTGATGATTGCATTCAAGTCACAGAATTGAACATTCCCTTTCACAGAGCAGGTTTGAAACACTCTTTTTGTAGTGTGTGTAAGTGGACATTTGGAGCACTTACCGGCCTAAGGTGAAAAAGGAAATAATCTTCCCATAAAAACTAGACAGAAGCATTCTCAGAAACTTACTCGTGATGTGTGTCCTCAACTAAAGGAGTAGAACCTTTCTTTTCATAGAGAAGTTTTGAAACGCTCTTTTTGTGGAATCTGCAAGTGGATATTTGGCTAGTTTGGAGGATTTCGTTGGAAGCGGGAATTCATACAAATTGCAGACTGCAGCGTTCTGAGAACCATCTTTGTGATGTTTGTATTCAGGACACAGAGTTGAACATTCCCTATCATAGAGCAGGTTGGAATCACTCCTTTTGTAGTATCTGGAAGTGGACATTTGGAGCGCTTTCAGGCCTATGTTGAAAAAGGAAATATCTTCCCATAACAACTAGACACAAGCATTCTCAGAAACTTATTTGAGATGTGTGTACTCAACTAAGAGAATTGAACCACCGTTTTGAAGGAGCAGTTTTGAAACACTCTTTTTCTGGAATCTGCAAGTGGATATTTGGCTAGCTTTGGGGATTTCGCTGGAAGCGGGAATACATATAAAAAGCACACAGCAGCGTTCTGAGAAACTGCTTTCTGATGTTTGCATTCAAGTCAAAAGTTGAACACTCCCTTTCATAGAGCAGTCCTGAAACACTCCTTTTGTAGTATCTGGAACTGGACTTTTGGAGCGCTTTCAGGGCTAAGGTGAAAAAGGAAATATCTTCCCATAAAAACTGGACAGAAGCATTCTCAGAAACTTGTTTATGCTGTATCTACTCAACTAACAAAGTTGAACCTTTCTTTTGATAGAGCAGTTTTGAAATGCTCTTTTTGTGGAATCTGCAAGTGGATATTTGGCTAGTTTTGAGGATTTCGTTGGAAGCGGGAATTCATACAAATTGCAGACTGCAGCGTTCTGAGAAACATCTTTGTGATGTTTGTATTCAGGACACAGAGTTGAACATTCCCTATCATAGAGCAGGTTTGAATCACTCCTTTTGTAGTATCTGGAAATGGACATTTGGAGCGCTTTCAGGCCTATGTTGGAAAAGGAAATATCTTCCCATAACAAATAGACAGAAGCATTCTCAGAAACTTGTTTGTGATGTGTGCCCTCTACTGACAGAGTTGAACCTTTCTTTTCATAGAGCAGTTTTGAAACACTCTTTTTGTAGAATCCGCAAGAGGATATTTGCATAGCTTTGAGGATTTCGTGGGAAACGGGATTGTCTTCAGGTAAAATCTAGACAGAAGCATTCTCAGAAACTTCTTTGGGATGTTTGCATTCAAGTCACAGAGTAGAACATTCCCTTTGGTAGAGCAGGTTTGAAACACTCTTTTTGTAGTATCTGGAAGTGGACATTTGGAGCGCTTTCAGGCCCATGTTGGAAAGGGAAATATCTTCCCGTAACAACTAGGCAGAAGCATTCTCAGAAACTTATTTGAGATGTGTGTACTCAACTAAGAGAATTGAACCACCGTTTTGAAGGAGCAGTTTTGAAACACTCTTTTTCTGGAATCTGCAAGAGTATATTTGCCTAGCCTTGAGGATTTCGTTGGAAACGGGATTGTCTTCAGATCAAATCTAGACAGAAGCATTCTCAGAAACTTCTTTGGGATGTTTGCATTCAAGTCACAGAGTAGAACATTCCCTTTGGTAGAGCAGGTTTGAAACACTCTTTTTTTAGTATATGGAAGGACATTTGGAGCGCTTTCAGGCCTACGTTGGAAAAGGAAATCTCTTCCCATAACAACTAGACAGAAGCATTCTCAGAAACTACTTTCTGATATGTGTCCTCAACTAACACAGTTGAACTTTTCTTTAGACAGAACAGTTTTGAAACACTCTTTTTGTGGAATCTGCAAGTGGATATTGGGCTAGATTTGAGGATTTCGTTGGAAACGGGATTACATATAAAAAGCAGACAGCAGCATTCTCAGAAAGTTCTTTGTGATGATTGCATTCAAGTCACAGAATTGAACATTCCCTTTCACAGAGCAGGTTTGAAACACTCTTTTTGTAGTGTGTGTAAGTGGACATTTGGAGCGCTTTCCGGCCTAAGGTGAAAAAGGACATATCTTCCCATAAAAACTAGACAGAAGCATTCTCAGAAACTTACTCGTGATGTGTGTCCTCAACTAAAGGAGTAGAACCTTTCTATTCATAGAGAAGTTTTGAAACGCTCTTTTTGTGGAATCTCCAAGTGGATATTTGGCTAGTTTTGAGGATTTCGTTGGAAGCGGGAATTCATACAAATTGCAGACTGCAGCGTTCTGAGAAACATCTTTGTGATGTTTGTATTCAAGACACAGAGATGAACATTCCCTATCATAGAGCATGTTGGAATCACTCCTTTTGTAGTATCTGGAAGTGGACATTTGGAGCGCTTTCAGGCCTATGTTGAAAAAGGAAATATCTTCCCATAACAACTAGACACAAGCATTCTCAGAAACTTGTTTGTGATGTGTGCCCTCTACTGACAGAGTTGAACCTTTCTTTTCATAGAGCAGTTTTGAAACACTCTTTTTGTAGAATCCGCAAGAGGATATTTGCATAGCTTTGAGGATTTCGTGGGAAACGGGATTGTCTTCAGGTAAAATCTAGACAGAAGCATTCTCAGAAACTTCTTTGGGATGTTTGCATTCAAGTCACAGAGTAGAACATTCCCTTTGGTAGAGCAGGTTTGAAACACTCTTTTTGTAGTATCTGGAAGTGGACATTTGGAGCGCTTTCAGGCCTATGTTGGAAAGGGAAATATCTTCCCGTAACAACTAGGCAGAAGCATTCTCAGAAACTTATTTGAGATGTGTGTACTCAACTAAGAGAATTGAACCACCGTTTTGAAGGAGCAGTTTTGAAACACTCTTTTTCTGGAATCTGCAAGAGTATATTTGCCTAGCCTTGACGATTTCGTTGGAAACGGGATTGTCTTCAGATAAAATCTAGACAGAAGCATTCTCAGAAACTTCTTTGGGATGTTTGCATTCAAGTCACAGAGTAGAACATTCCCTTTGGTAGAGCAGGTTTGAAACACTCTTTTTTTAGTATATGGAAGTGGACATTTGGAGCGCTTTCAGGCCTACGTTGGAAAAGGAAATATCTTCCCATAACAACTAGACAGAAGCATTCTCAGAAACTAGTTTCTGATGTGTGTCCTCAACTAACACAGTTGTACATTTCTTTAGACAGAACAGTTTTGAAACACTCTTTTTGTGGAATCTGCAAGTGGATATTGGGCTAGATTTGAGGATTTCGTTGGAAACGGGATTACATATAAAAAGCAGACAGCAGCATTCTCAGAAAGTTCTTTGTGATGATTGCATTGAAGTCACAGAATTGAACATTCCATTTCACAGAGCAGGTTTGAAACACTCTTTTTGTACTGTGTGTAAGTGGACATTTGGAGCGCTTTCCGGCCTAAGGTGAAAGAGGAAATATCTTCCCATAAAAACTAGACAGAAGCATTCTCAGAAACTTACTCGTGATGTGTGTCCTCAACTAAAGGAGTAGAACCTTTCTATTCATAGAGAAGTTTTGAAACGCTCTTTTTGTGGAATCTCCAAGTGGATATTTGGCTAGTTTTGAGGATTTCTTTGGAAGAGGGAATTCATACAAATTGCAGACTGCAGCATTCTCAGAAACTTGTTTATGCTGTATCTGCTCAACTAACAAAGTTGAACCTTTCTTTTGATAGAGCAGTTTTGAAATGCTCTTTTTGTGGAATCTGCAAGTGGATATTTGGCTAGTTTTGAGGATTTCGTTGGAAGCGGGAATTCGTACAAATTGCAGACTGCAGCGTTCTGAGAAACATCTTTGTGATGTTTGTATTCAGGACACAGAGTTGAACATTCCCTATCATAGAGCAGGTTGGGATCACTGCTTTTGTAGTATCTGGAAGTGGACATTTGGAGCGCTTTCAGGCCTATGTTGAAAAAGGAAAAATCTTCCCATAACAACTAGACAGAAGCATTCTCAGAAACTTGTTGGTGATGTGTTTCCTCTACTGACAGAGTTGAACCTTTCTTTTCATAGAGCAGTTTCGAAACACTCTTTTTGTAGAATCTGCAAGAGGATATTTGCATAGCTCTGAGGATTTCGTGGGAAACGGGATTGTCTTCAGGTAAAATCTAGACAGAAGCATTCTCAGAAACTTCTTCGGGATGTTTGCATTCAAGTCACAGAGTAGAACATTCCCTTTGGTAGAGCAGGTTTGAAACACTCTTTTTGTAGTATCTGGAAGTGGACATTTGTTGCGCTTTCAGGCCTATGTTGGAAAGGGAAATATCTTCCCGTAACAACTAGGCAGAAGCATTCTCAGAAACTTATTTGAGATGTGTGTACTCAACTAAGAGAATTGAACCACCGTTTTGAAGGACCAGTTTTGAAACACTCTTTTTCTGGAATCTGCTAGAGTATATTTGCCTAGCTTTGAGGATTTCATTGGAAACGGGATTGTCTTCAGCTAAAATCTAGACAGAAGCATTCTCAGAAACTTCTTTGGGATGTTTGCATTCAAGTCACAGAGTAGAACATTCCCTTTGGTAGAGCAGGTTTGAAACACTCTTTTTGTAGTATCTGGAAGTGGACATTTGGAGCGCTTTCAGGCCTACGTTGGAAAAGGAAATATCTTCCCATAACAACTAGACAGAAGCATTCTCAGAAACTAGTTTCTGATGTGTGTCCTCAACTAACACAGTTGAACTTTTCTTTAGACAGAACAGTTTTGAAACACTCTTTTTGTGGAATCTGCAAGTGGATATTGGGCTAGATTTGAGGATTTCGTTGGAAACGGGATTACATATAAAAAGCAGACAGCAGCATTCTCAGAAAGTTCTTTGTGATGATTGCATTCAAGTCACAGAATTGAACATTCCCTTTCACAGAGCAGGTTTGAAACACTCTTTTTGTAGTGTGTGTAAGTGGACATTTGGAGCGCTTTCCGGCCTAAGGTGAAAAAAGAAATATCTTCCCATAAAAACTAGACAGAAGCATTCTCAGAAACTTACTCGTGATGTGTGTCCTCAACTAAAGGAGTAGAACCTTTCTATTCATAGAGAAGTTTTGAAACGCTCTTTTTGTGGAATCTCCAAGTGGATATTTGGCTAGTTTTGAGGATTTCGTTGGAAGCGGGAATTCATACAAATTGCAGACTGCAGCGTTCTGAGAAACATCTTTGTGATGTTTGTATTCAGGACACAGAGATGAACATTCCCTATCATAGAGCAGGTTGGAATCACTCCTTTTGTAGTATCTGGAAGTGGACATTTGGAGCGCTTTCAGGCCTATGTTGAAAAAGGAAATATCTTCCCATAACAACTAGACACAAGCATTCTCAGAAACTTGTTTGTGATGTGTGCCCTCTACTGACAGAGTTGAACCTTTCTTTTCATAGAGCAGTTTTGAAACACTCTTTTTGTAGAATCTGCAAGAGGATATTTGCATAGCTTTGAGGATTTCGTGGGAAACGGGATTGTCTTCAGGTAAAATCTAGACAGAAGCATTCTCAGAAACTTCTTTGGGATGTTTGCATTCAAGTCACAGAGTAGAACATTCCCTTTGGTAGAGCAGGTTTGAAACACTCTTTTTGTAGTATCTGGAAGTGGACATTTGGAGCGCTTTCAGGCCTATGTTGGAAAGGGAAATATCTTCCCGTAACAACTAGGCAGAAGCATTCTCAGAAACTTATTTGAGATGTGTGTACTCAACTAAGAGAATTGAACCACCGTTTTGAAGGAGCAGTTTTGAAACACTCTTTTTCTGGAATCTGCAAGAGTATATTTGCCTAGCCTTGAGGATTTCGTTGGAAACGGGATTGTCTTCAGAGAAAATCTAGACAGAAGCATTCTCAGAAACTTCTTTGGGATGTTTGCATTCAAGTCACAGAGTAGAACATTCCCTTTGGTAGAGCAGGTTTGAAACACTCTTTTTTTAGTATATGGAAGTGGACATTTTGATCGCTTTCAGGCCTACGTTGGAAAAGGAAATATCTTCCCATAACAACTAGACAGAAGCATTCTCAGAAACTAGTTTCTGATGTGTGTCCTCAACTAACACAGTTGAACATTTCTTTAGACAGAACAGTTTTGAAACACTCTTTTTGTGGAATCTGCAAGTGGCTATTTGGCTGGATTTGAGGATTTCGTTGGAAACGGGATTACATATAAAAAGCAGTCAGCAGCATTCTCAGAAAGTTCTTTGTGATGATTGCATTCAAGTCACAGAATTGAACATTCCCTTTCACAGAGCAGGTTTGAAACACTCTTTTTGTAGTGTGTGTAAGTGGACATTTGGAGCACTTACCGGCCTAAGGTGAAAAAGGAAATATCTTCCCATAAAAACTAGACAGAAGCATTCTCAGAAACTTACTCGTGATGTGTGTCCTCAACTAAAGGAGTAGAACCTTTCTTTTCATAGAGAAGTTTTGAAACGCTCTTTTTGTGGAATCTGCAAGTGGATATTTGGCTAGTTTTGAGGATTTCGTTGGAAGCGGGAATTCATACAAATTGCAGACTGCAGCGTTCTGAGAAACATCTTTGTGATGTTTGTATTCAGGACACAGAGTTGAACATTCCCTATCATAGAGCAGGTTGGAATCACTCCTTTTGTAGTATCTGGAAGTGGACATTTGGAGCGCTTTCAGGCCTATGTTGGAAAAGGAAATATCTTCCCATAACAACTAGACAGAAGCATTCTCAGAAACTTATTTGAGATGTGTGTACTCAACTAAGAGAATTGAACCACCGTTTTGAAGGAGCAGTTTTGAAACTCTCTTTTTCTGGAATCTGCAAGTGGATATTTGGCTAGCTTTGGGGATTTCGCTGGAAGCGGGAATACATATAAAAAGCACACAGCAGCGTTCTGAGAAACTGCTTTCTGATGTTTGCATTCAAGTCAAAAGTTGAACACTCCCTTTCATAGAGCAGTCTTGAAACACCCCTTTTGTAGTATCTGGAACTGGACTTTTGGAGCGATTTCAGGGCTAAGGTGAAAAAGGAAATATCTTCCCATAAAAACTGGACAGAAGCATTCTCAGAAACTTGGTTATGCTGTATCTACTCAACTAACAAAGTTGAACCTTTCTTTTGATAGAGCAGTTTTGAAATGGTCTTTTTGTGGAATCTGCAAGTGGATATTTGGCTAGTTTTGAGGATTTCGTTGGAAGCGGGAATTCATACAAATTGCAGACTGCAGCGTTCTGAGAAACATCTTTGTGATGTTTGTATTCAGGACACAGAGTTGAACATTCCCTATCATAGAGCAGGTTGGAATCACTCCTTTTGTAGTATCTGGAAGTGGACATTTGGAGCGCTTTCAGGCCTATTTTGGAAAGGGAAATATCTTCCCGTAACAACTATGCAGAAGCATTCTCAGAAACTTGTTTGTGATGTGTGCCCTCTACTGACAGAGTTGAACCTTTCTTTTCATAGAGCAGTTTTGAAACACTCTTTTTGTAGAATCTGCAAGAGGATATTTGCATAGCTTTGAGGATTTCGTGGGAAACGGGATTGTCTTCAGGTAAAATCTAGACAGAAGCATTCTCAGAAACTTCTTTGGGATGTTTGCATTCAAGTCACAGAGTAGAACATTCCCTTTGGTAGAGCAGGTTTGAAACACTCTTTTTGTAGTATCTGGAAGTGGACATTTGGAGCGCTTTCAGGCCCATGTTGGAAAGGGAAATATCTTCCCGTAACAACTAGGCAGAAGCATTCTCAGAAACTTATTTGAGATGTGTGTACTCAACTAAGAGAATTAAACCACCGTTTTGAAGGAGCAGTTTTTAAACACTCTTTTTCTGGAATCTGCAAGAGTATATTTGCCTAGCCTTGAGGATTTCTTTGGAAACGGGATTGTCTTCAGAGAAAATCTAGACAGAAGCATTCTCAGAAACTTCTTTGGGATGTTTGCATTCAAGTCACAGAGTAGAACATTCCCTTTGGTAGAGCAGGTTTGAAACACTCTTTTTTTAGTATATGGAAGTGGACATTTGGAGCGCTTTCAGGCCTACGTTGGAAAAGGAAATATCTTCCCATAACAACTAGACAGAAGCATTCTCAGAAACTAGTTTCTGATGTGTGTCCTCAACTAACACAGTTGAACTTTTCTTTAGACAGAACAGTTTTGAAACACTCTTTTTGTGGAATCTGCAAGTGGATATTTGGCTAGATTTGAGGATTTCGGTGGAAACGGGATTACATATAAAAAGCAGACAGCAGCATTCTCAGAAAGTTCTTTGTGATGATTGCATTCAAGTCACAGAATTGAACATTCCCTTTCACAGAGCAGGTTTGAAACACTCTTTTTGTAGTGTGTGTAAGTGGACATTTGGAGCGCTTTCCGGCCTAAGGTGAAAAAGGACATATCTTCCCATAAAAACTAGACAGAAGCATTCTCAGAAACTTACTCGTGATGTGTGTCCTCAACTAAAAGAGTAGAACCTTTCTATTCATAGAGAAGTTTTGAAACGCTCTTTTTGTGGAATCTCCAAGTGGATATTTGGCTAGTTTTGAGGATTTCGTTGGAAGCGGGAATTCATACAATTTGCAGACTGCAGCGTTCTGAGAAACATCTTTGTGATGTTTGTATTCAAGACACAGAGATGAACATTCCCTATCATAGAGCAGGTTGGAATCACTCCTTTTGTAGTATCTGGAAGTGGACATTTGGAGCGCTTTCAGGCCTATGTTGAAAAAGGAAATATCTTCCCATAACAACTAGACACAAGCATTCTCAGAAACTTGTTTGTGATGTGTGCCCTCTACTGACAGAGTTGAACCTTTCTTTTCATAGAGCAGTTTTGAAACACTCTTTTTGTAGAATCCGCAAGAGGATATTTGCATAGCTTTGAGGATTTCGTGGGAAACGGGATTGTCTTCAGGTAAAATCTAGACAGAAGCATTCTCAGAAACTTCTTTGGGATGTTTGCATTCAAGTCACAGAGTAGAACATTCCCTTTGGTAGAGCAGGTTTGAAACACTCTTTTTGTAGTATCTGGAAATGGACATTTGGAGCGCTTTCAGGCCCATGTTGGAAAGGGAAATATCTTCCCGTAACAACTAGGCAGAAGCATTCTCAGAAACTTATTTGAGATGTGTGTACTCAACTAAGAGAATTGAACCACCGTTTTGAAGGAGCAGTTTTGAAACACTCTTTTTCTGGAATCTGCTAGAGTATATTTGCCTAGCCTTGAGGATTTCGTTGGAAACGTGATTGTCTTCAGATCAAATCTAGACAGAAGCATTCTCAGAAACTTCTTTGGGATGTTTGCATTCAAGTCACAGAGTAGAACATTCCCTTTGGTAGAGCAGGTTTGAAACACTCTTTTTTTAGTATATGGAAGGACATTTGGAGCGCTTTCAGGCCTACGTTGGAAAAGGAAATATCTTCCCATAACAACTAGACAGAAGCATTCTCAGAAACTAGTTTCTGATGTGTGTCCTCAACTAACACAGTTGAACTTTTCTTTAGACAGAACAGTTTTGAAACACTCTTTTTGTGGAATCTGCAAGTGGATATTGGGCTAGATTTGAGGATTTCGTTGGAAACGGGATTACATATAAAAAGCAGACAGCAGCATTCTCAGAAAGTTCTTTGTGATGATTGCATTCAAGTCACAGAATTGAACATTCCCTTTCACAGAGCAGGTTTGAAACACTCTTTTTGTAGTGTGTGTAAGTGGACATTTGGAGCGCTTTCCGGCCTAAGGTGAAAAAGGACATATCTTCCCATAAAAACTAGACAGAAGCATTCTCAGAAACTTACTCGTGATGTGTGTCCTCAACTAAAGGAGTAGAACCTTTCTTTTCATAGAGAAGTTTTGAAACGCTCTTTTTGTGGAATCTGCAAGTGGATATTTGGCTAGTTTTGAGGATTTCGTTGGAAGCGGGAATTCATACAAATTGCAGACTGCAGCGTTCTGAGAAACATCTTTGTGATGTTTGTATTCAGGACACAGAGTTGAACATTCCCTATCATAGAGCAGGTTTGAATCACTCCTTTTGTAGTATCTGGAAGTGGACATTTGGAGCGCTTTCAGGCCTATGTTGGAAAAGGAAATATCTTCCCATAACAACTAGACAGAAGCATTCTCAGAAACTTATTTGAGATGTGTGTACTCAACTAAGAGAATTGAACCACCGTTTTGAAGGAGCAGTTTTGAAACTCTCTTTTTCTGGAATCTGCAAGTGGATATTTGGCTAGCTTTGGGGATTTCGCTGGAAGCGGGAATACATATAAAAAGCACACAGCAGCGTTCTGAGAAACTGCTTTCTGATGTTTGCATTCAAGTCAAAAGTTGAACACTCCCTTTCATAGAGCAGTCTTGAAACACCCCTTTTGTAGTATCTGGAACTGGACTTTTGGAGCGATTTCAGGGCTAAGGTGAAAAAGGAAATATCTTCCCATAAAAACTGGACGGAAGCATTCTCAGAAACTTGTTTATGCTGTATCTACTCAACTAACAAAGTTGAACCTTTCTTTTGATAGAGCAGTTTTGAAATGGTCTTTTTGTGGAATCTGCAAGTGGATATTTGGCTAGTTTTGAGGATTTCGTTGGAAGCGGGAATTCATACAAATTGCAGACTGCAGCGTTCTGAGAAACATCTTTGTGATGTTTGTATTCAGGACACAGAGTTGAACATTCCCTATCATAGAGCAGGTTGGAATCACTCCTTTTGTAGTATCTGGAAGTGGACATTTGGAGCGCTTTCAGGCCTATGTTGGAAAGGGAAATATCTTCCCGTAACAACTATGCAGAAGCATTCTCAGAAACTTGTTTGTGATGTGTGCCCTCTACTGACAGAGTTGAACCTTTCTTTTCATAGAGCAGTTTTGAAACACTCTTTTTGTAGAATCTGCAAGAGGATATTTGCATAGCTTTGAGGATTTCGTGGGAAACGGGATTGTCTTCAGGTAAAATCTAGACAGAAGCATTCTCAGAAACTTCTTTGGGATGTTTGCATTCAAGTCACAGAGTAGAACATTCCCTTTGGTAGAGCAGGTTTGAAACACTCTTTTTGTAGTATCTGGAAGTGGACATTTGGAGCGCTTTCAGGCCCATGTTGGAAAGGGAAATATCTTCCCGTAACAACTAGGCAGAAGCATTCTCAGAAACTTATTTGAGATGTGTGTACTCAACTAAGAGAATTGAACCACCGTTTTGAAGGAGCAGTTTTGAAACACTCTTTTTCTGGAATCTGCAAGAGTATATTTGCCTAGCCTTGAGGATTTCGTTGGAAACGGGATTGTCTTCAGAGAAAATCTAGACAGAAGCATTCTCAGAAACTTCTTTGGGATGTTTGCATTCAAGTCACAGAGTAGAACATTCCCTTTGGTAGAGCAGGTTTGAAACACTCTTTTTTTAGTATATGGAAGTGGACATTTGGAGCGCTTTCAGGCCTACGTTGGAAAAGGAAATATCTTCCCATAACAACTAGACAGAAGCATTCTCAGAAACTAGTTTCTGATGTGTGTCCTCAACTAACACAGTTGAACATTTCTTTAGACAGAACAGTTTTGAAACACTCTTTTTGTGGAATCTGCAAGTGGCTATTTGGCTAGATTTGAGGATTTCGTTGGAAACGGGATTACATATAAAAAGCAGTCAGCAGCATTCTCAGAAAGTTCTTTGTGATGATTGCATTCAAGTCACAGAATTGAACATTCCCTTTCACAGAGCAGGTTTGAAACACTCTTTTTGTAGTGTGTGTAAGTGGACATTTGGAGCACTTACCGGCCTAAGGTGAAAAAGGAAATATCTTCCCATAAAAACTAGACAGAAGCATTCTCAGAAACTTACTCGTGATGTGTGTCCTCAACTAAAGGAGTAGAACCTTTCTTTTCATAGAGAAGTTTTGAAACGCTCTTTTTGTGGAATCTGCAAGTGGATATTTGGCTAGTTTTGAGGATTTCGTTGGAAGCGGGAATTCATACAAATTGCAGACTGCAGCGTTCTGAGAAACATCTTTGTGATGTTTGTATTCAGGACACAGAGTTGAACATTCCCTATCATAGAGCAGGTTTGAATCACTCCTTTTGTAGTATCTGGAAGTGGACATTTGGAGCGCTTTCAGGCCTATGTTGGAAAAGGAAATATCTTCCCATAACAACTAGACAGAAGCATTCTCAGAAACTTATTTGAGATGTGTGTACTCAACTAAGAGAATTGAACCACCGTTTTGAAGGAGCAGTTTTGAAACACTCTTTTTCTGGAATCTGCAAGTGGATATTTGGCTAGCTTTGGGGATTTCGCTGGAAGCGGGAATACATATAAAAAGCACACAGCAGCGTTCTGAGAAACTGCTTTCTGATGTTTGCATTCAAGTCAAAAGATGAACACTCCCTTTCATAGAGCAGTCTTGAAACACCCCTTTTGTAGTATATGGAACTGGACATTTGGAGCGCTTTCAGGGCTAAGGTGAAAAAGGAAATATCTTCCCATAAAAACTGGACAGAAGCATTCTCAGAAACTTGTTTATGCTGTATCTACTCAACTAACAAAGTTGAACCTTTCTTTTGATAGAGCAGTTTTGAAATGGTCTTTTTGTGGAATCTGCAAGTGGATATTTGGCTAGTTTTGAGGATTTCGTTGGAAGGGGGAATTCATACAAATTGCAGACTGCAGCGTTCTGAGAAACATCTTTGTGATGTTTGTATTCAGGACACAGAGTTGAACATTCCCTATCATAGAGCAGGTTGGAATCACTCCTTTTGCAGTATCTGGAAGTGGACATTTGGAGCGCTTTCAGGCCTATTTTGGAAAGGGAAATATCTTCCCGTAACAACTAGGCAGAAGCATTCTCAGAAACTTGTTTGTGATGTGTGCCCTCTACTGACAGAGTTGAACCTTTCTTTTCATAGAGCAGTTTCGAAACACTCTTTTTGTAGAATCTGCAAGAGGATATTTGCATAGCTTCGAGGATTTCGTGGGAAACGGGATTGTCTTCAGGTAAAATCTAGACAGAAGCATTCTCAGAAAATTCTTCGGGATGTTTGCATTCAAGTCACAGAGTAGAACATTCCCTTTGGTAGAGCAGGTTTGAAACACTCTTTTTGTAGTATCTGGAAGTGGACATTTGGAGCGCTTTCAGGCCTATGTTGGAAAGGGAAATATCTTCCCGTAACAACTAGGCAGAAGCATTCTCAGAAACTTATTTGAGATGTGTGTACTGAACTAAGAGAATTGAACCACCGTTTTGAAGGAGCAGGTTTGAAACACTCTTTTTGTAGTATCTGGAAGTGGACATTTGGAGCGCTTTCAGGCCTATGTTGGAAAGGGAAATATCTTCCCGTAACAACTAGGCAGAAGCATTCTCAGAAACTTATTTGAGATGTGTGTACTCAACTAAGAGAATTGAACCACCGTTTTGAAGGAGCAGTTTTGAAACACTCTTTTTCTGGAATCTGCAAGAGGATATTTGCATAGATTTGAGGATTTCGTTGGAAACGGGATTGTCTTCAGATCCAATCTAGACAGAAGCATTCTCAGAAACTTCTTTGGGATGTTTGCATTCAAGTCACAGAGTAGAACATTCCCTTTGGTAGAGCAGGTTTGAAACACTCTTTTTTTAGTATATGGAAGTGGACATTTGGAGCGCTTTCAGGCCTACGTTGGAAAAGGAAATATCTTCCCATAACAACTAGACAGAAGCATTCTCAGAAACTAGTTTCTGATGTGTGTCCTCAACTAACACAGTTGAACATTTCTTTAGACAGAGCAGATTTGAAACACTCTCTTTGTGGAATCTGCAAGTGGATATTTGGCTAGATTTGAGGATTTCGTTGGAAACGGGATTACATATAAAAAGCAGACAGCAGCATTCTCAGAAACTTCTTTGTGATGATTGCATTCAAGTCACAGAATTGAACATTCCCTTTCACAGAGCAGGTTTGAAACACTCTTTTTGTAGTGTGTGTAAGTGGACATTTGGAGCGCTTTCCGGCCTAAGGTGAACAAGGAAATATCTTCCTATAAAAACTAGACAGAAGTATTCTCAGAAACTTACTCGTGATGTGTGTCCTCAACTAAAGGAGTAGAACCTTTCTTTTCATAGAGAAGTTTTGAAACGCTCTTTTTGTGGAATCTGCAAGTGGATATTTGGCTAGTTTTGAGGATTTCGTTGGAAGCGGGAATTCATACAAATTGCAGACTGCAGCGTTCTGAGAAACATCTTTGTGATGTTTGTATTCAGGACACAGAGTTGAACGTTCCCTATCATAGAGCAGGTTTGAATCACTCCTTTTGTAGTATCTGGAAGTGGACATTTGGAGCGCTTTCAGGCCTATGTTGGAAAAGGAAATATCTTCCCATAACAAATAGACAGAAGCATTCTCAGAAACTTATTTGAGATGTGTGTACTCAACTAAGAGAATTGAACCACCGTTTTGAAGGAGCAGTTTTGAAACACTCTTTTTCTGGAATCTGCAAGTGGATATCTGGCTAGCTTTGGGGATTTCGCTGGAAGCGGGAATACATATAAAAAGCACACAGCAGCGTTCTGAGAAACTGCTTTCTGATGTTTGCATTCAAGTCAAAAGTTGAACACTCCCTTTCATAGTGCAGTCCTGAAACACTCCTTTTGTAGTATCTGGAACTGGACTTTTGGAGCGCTTTCAGGGCTAAGGTGAAAAAGGAAATATCTTCCCATAAAAACTGGACAGAAGCATTCTCAGAAACTTGTTTATGCTGTATCTACTCAACTAACAAAGTTGAACCTTTCTTTTGATAGAGCAGTTTTGAAATGCTCTTTTTGTGGAATCTGCAAGTGGATATTTGGCTAGTTTTGAGGATTTCGTTGGAAGCGGGAATTCATACAAATTGCAGACTGCAGCGTTCTGAGAAACATCTTTGTGATGTTTGTATTCAGGACAGAGAGTTGAACATTCCCTATCATAGAGCAGGTTGGAATCACTCCTTTTGTAGTATCTGGAAGTGGACATTTGGAGCGCTTTCTGGCCTATGTTGAAAAAGGAAATATCTTCCCATAACAGCTAGACACAAGCATTCTCAGAAACTTGTTTGTGATGTGTGCCCTCTACTGACAGAGTTGAACCTTTCTTTTCATAGAGCAGTTTTGAAACACTCTTTTTGTAGAATCTGCAAGAGGATATTTGCATAGCTTTGAGGATTTCGTGGGAAACGGGATTGTCTTCAGGTAAAATCTAGACAGAAGCATTCTCAGAAACTTCTTTGGGATGTTTGCATTCAAGTCACAGAGTAGAACATTCCCTTTGGTAGAGCAGGTTTGAAACACTCTTTTTGTAGTATCTGGAAGTGGACATTTGGAGCGCTTTCAGGCCTATGTTGGAAAGGGAAATATCTTCCGGTAACAACTAGGCAGAAGCATTCTCAGAAACTTATTTGAGATGTGTGTACTCAACTAAGAGAATTGAACCACCGTTTTGAAGGAGCAGTTTTGAAACACTCTTTTTCTGGAATCTGCAAGAGTATATTTGCCTAGCCTTGAGGATTTCGTTGGAAACGGGATTGTCTTCAGAGAAAATCTAGACAGAAGCATTCTCAGAAACTTCTTTGGGATGTTTGCATTCAAGTCACAGAGTAGAACATTCCCTTTGGTAGAGCAGGTTTGAAACAGTCTTTTTTTAGTATATGGAAGTGGACATTTGGAGCGCTTTCAGGCCTACGTTGGAAAAGGAAATATCTTCCCATAACAACTAGACAGAAGCATTCTCAGAAACTAGTTTCTGATGTGTGTCCTCAACTAACACAGTTGAACATTTCTTTAGACAGAACAGTTTTGAAACACTCTTTTTGTGGAATCTGCAAGTGGCTATTTGGCTAGATTTGAGGATTTCGTTGGAAACGGGATTACATATAAAAAGCAGTCAGCAGCATTCTCAGAAAGTTCTTTGTGATGATTGCATTCAAGTCACAGAATTGAACATTCCCTTTCACAGAGCAGGTTTGAAACACTCTTTTTGTAGTATATGGAAGTGGACATTTGGATCGCTTTCAGGCCTACGTTGGAAAAGGAAATATCTTCCCATAACAACTAGACAGAAGCATTCTCAGAAACTAGTTTCTGATGTGTGTCCTCAACTAACACAGTTGAACATTTCTTTAGACAGAACAGTTTTGAAACACTCTTTTTGTGGAATCTGCAAGTGGCTATTTGGCTAGATTTGAGGATTTCGTTGGAAACGGGATTACATATAAAAAGCAGTCAGCAGCATTCTCAGAAAGTTCTTTGTGATGATTGCATTCAAGTCACAGAATTGAACATTCCCTTTCACAGAGCAGGTTTGAAACACTCTTTTTGTAGTATATGGAAGTGGACATTTGGATCGCTTTCAGGCCTACGTTGGAAAAGGAAATATCTTCCCATAACAACTAGACAGAAGCATTCTCAGAAACTAGTTTCTGATGTGTGTCCTCAACTAACACAGTTGAACATTTCTTTAGACAGAACAGTTTTGAAACACTCTTTTTGTGGAATCTGCAAGTGGCTATTTGGCTAGATTTGAGGATTTCGTTGGAAACGGGATTACATATAAAAAGCAGTCAGCAGCATTCTCAGAAAGTTCTTTGTGATGATTGCATTCAAGTCACAGAATTGAACATTCCCTTTCACAGAGCAGGTTTGAAACACTCTTTTTGTAGTGTGTGTAAGTGGACCTTTGGAGCACTTACCGGCCTAAGGTGAAAAAGGAAATATCTTCCCATAAAAACTAGACAGAAATCATTCTCAGAAACTTGTTTATGCTGTATCTACTCAACTAACATAGTTGAACCTTTCTTTTGATAGAGCAGTTTTGAAATGCTCTTTTTGTGGAATCTGCAAGTGGATATTTGGCTAGTTTGGAGGATTTCGTTGGAAGCGGGAATTCATACAAATTGCAGACTGCAGCGTTCTGAGAAACATCTTTGTGATGTTTGTATTCAGGACACAGAGTTGAACATTCCCTATCATAGAGCAGGTTTGAATCACTCCTTTTGTAGTATCTGGAAGTGGACATTTGGAGCGCTTTCAGGCCTATGTTGGAAAAGGAAATATCTTCCCATAACAACTAGACAGAAGCATTCTCAGAAACTTATTTGAGATGTGTGTACTCAACTAAGAGAATTGAACCACCGTTTTGAAGGAGCAGTTTTGAAACACTCTTTTTCTGGAATCTGCAAGTGGATATTTGGCTAGCTTTGGGGATTTCGCTGGAAGCGGGAATACATATAAAAAGCACACAGCAGCGTTCTGAGAAACTGCTTTCTGATGTTTGCATTCAAGTCAAAAGTTGAACACTCCCTTTCATAGAGCAGTCCTGAAACACTCCTTTTGTAGTATCTGGAACTGGACTTTTGGAGCGCTTTCAGGGCTAAGGTGAAAAAGGAAATATCTTCCCATAAAAACTGGACAGAAGCATTCTCAGAAACTTACTCGTATTGTGTGTCCTCAACTAAAGGAGTAGAACCTTTCTTTTCATAGAGAAGTTTTGAAACGCTCTTTTTGTGGAATCTGCAAGTGGATATTTGGCTAGTTTTGAGGATTTCGTTGGAAGCGGGAATTCATACAAATTGCAGACTGCAGCGTTCTGAGAAACATCTTTGTGATGTTTGTATTCAGGACACAGAGTTGAACATTCCCTATCATAGAGCAGGTTTGAATCACTCCTTTTGTAGTATCTGGAAGTGGACATTTGGAGCGCTTTCAGGCCTATGTTGGAAAAGGAAATATCTTCCCATAACAACTAGACAGAAGCATTCTCAGAAACTTATTTGAGATGTGTGTACTCAACTAAGAGAATTGAACCACCGTTTTGAAGGAGCAGTTTTGAAACACTCTTTTTCTGGAATCTGCAAGTGGATATTTGGCTAGCTTTGGGGATTTCGCTGGAAGCGGGAATACATATAAAAAGCACACAGCAGCGTTCTGAGAAACTGCTTTCTGATGTTTGCATTCAAGTCAAAAGTTGAACACTCCCTTTCATAGAGCAGTCCTGAAACACTCCTTTTGTAGTATCTGGAACTGGACTTTTGGAGCGCTTTCAGGGCTAAGGTGAAAAAGGAAATATCTTCCCATAAAAACTGGACAGAAGCATTCTCAGAAACTTGTTTATGCTGTATCTACTCAACTAACAAAGTTGAACCTTTCTTTTGATAGAGCAGTTTTGAAATGCTCTTTTTGTGGAATCTGCAAGTGGATATTTGGCTAGTTTTGAGGATTTCGTTGGAAGCGGGAATTCATACAAATTGCAGACTGCAGCGTTCTGAGAAACATCTTTGTGATGTTTGTATTCAGGACACAGAGTTGAACATTCCCTATCATAGAGCAGGTTGGAATCACTCCTTTTGTAGTATCTGGAAGTGGACATTTGGAGCGCTTTCTGGCCTATGTTGAAAAAGGAAATATCTTCCCATAACAACTAGACACAAGCATTCTCAGAAACTTGTTTGTGATGTGTGCCCTCTACTGACAGAGTTGAACCTTTCTTTTCATAGAGCAGTTTTGAAACACTCTTTTTGTAGAATCTGCAAGAGGATATTTGCATAGCTTTGAGGATTTCGTGGGAAACGGGATTGTCTTCAGGTAAAATCTAGACAGAAGCATTCTCAGAAACTTCTTTGGGATGTTTGCATTCAAGTCACAGAGTAGAACATTCCCTTTGGTAGAGCAGGTTTGAAACACTCTTTTTGTAGTATCTGGAAGTGGACATTTGGAGCGCTTTCAGGCCTATGTTGGAAAGGGAAATATCTTCCCGTAACAACTAGGCAGAAGCATTCTCAGAAACTTATTTGAGATGTGTGTACTCAACTAAGAGAATTGAACCACCGTTTTGAAGGAGCAGTTTTGAAACACTCTTTTTCTGGAATCTGCAAGAGGATATTTGCCTAGCCTTGAGGATTTCGTTGGAAACGGGATTGTCTTCAGATCAAATCTAGACAGAAGCATTCTCAGAAACTTCTTTGGGATGTTTGCATTCAAGTCACAGAGTAGAACATTCCCTTTGGTAGAGCAGGTTTGAAACACTCTTTTTTTAGTATATGGAAGTGGACATTTGGAGCGCTTTCAGGCCTACGTTGGAAAAGGAAATATCTTCCCATAACAACTAGACAGAAGCATTCTCAGAAACTAGTTTCTGATGTGTGCCCTCAACTAATACAGTTGAACATTTCTTTAGACAGAACAGTTTTGAAACACTCTTTTTGTGGAATCTGCAAGTGGCTATTTGGCTAGATTTGAGGATTTCGTTGGAAACGGGATTACATATAAAAAACAGACAGCAGCATTCTCAGAAAGTTCTTTGTGATGACTGCATTCTAGTCACAGGATTGAACATTCCCTTTCACAGAGCAGGTTTGAAACACTCTTTTTGTAGTGTGTGTAAGTGGACATTTGGAGCGCTTTCCGGGCCTAAGGTGAAAAAGGAAATATCTTCCCATAAAAACTAGACAGAAGCATTCTCAGAAACTTACTCGTGATGTGTGTCCTCAACTAAAGGAGTAGAACCTTTCTATTCATAGAGAAGTTTTGAAACGCTCTTTTTGTGGAATCTCCAAGTGGATATTTGGCTAGTTTTGAGGATTTCCGTTGGAAGCGGGAATTCATACAAATTGCAGACTGCAGCGTTCTGAGAAACATCTTTGTGATGTTTGTATTCAAGACACAGAGATGAACATTCCCTATCATAGAGCATGTTGGAATCACTCCTTTTGTAGTATCTGGAAGTGGACATTTGGACCGCTTTCAGGCCTATGTTGAAAAAGGAAATATCTTCCCATAACAACTAGACACAAGCATTCTCAGAAACTTGTTTGTGATGTGTGCCCTCTACTGACAGAGTTGAACCTTTCTTTTCATAGAGCAGTTTTGAAACACTCTTTTTGTAGAATCTGCAAGAGGATATTTGCATAGCTTTGAGGATTTCGTGGGAAACGGGATTGTCTTCAGGTAAAATCTAGACAGAAGCATTCTCAGAAACTTCTTTGGGATGTTTGCATTCAAGTCACAGAGTAGAACATTCCCTTTGGTAGAGCAGGTTTGAAACACTCTTTTTGTAGTATCTGGAAGTGGACATTTGGAGCGCTTTCAGGCCCATGTTGGAAAGGGAAATATCTTCCCGTAACAACTAGGCAGAAGCATTCTCAGAAACTTATTTGAGATGTGTGTACTCAACTAAGAGAATTGAACCACCGTTTTGAAGGAGCAGTTTTGAAACACTCTTTTTCTGGAATCTGCAAGAGTATATTTGCCTAGCCTTGAGGATTTCGTTGGAAACGGGATTGTCTTCAGAGAAAATCTAGACAGAAGTATTCTCAGAAACTTCTTTGGGATGTTTGCATTCAAGTCACAGAGTAGAACATTCCCTTTGGTAGAGCAGGTTTGAAACACTCTTTTTGTAGTATCTGGAAGTGGACATTTGGAGCGCTTTCAGGCCTACGTTGGAAAAGGAAATATCTTCCCATAACAACTAGACAGAAGCATTCTCAGAAACTAGTTTCTGATGTGTGTCCTCAACTAACACAGTTGAACATTTCTTTAGACAGAACAGTTTTGAAACACTCTTTTTGTGGAATCTGCAAGTGGCTATTTGGCTAGATTTGAGGATTTCGTTGGAAACGGGATTACATATAAAAAGCAGTCAGCAGCATTCTCAGAAAGTTCTTTGTGATGATTGCATTCAAGTCACAGAATTGAACATTCCCTTTCACAGAGCAGGTTTGAAACACTCTTTTTGTAGTGTGTGTAAGTGGACATTTGGAGCGCTTTCCGGCCTAAGGTGAAAAAGGACATATCTTCCCATAAAAACTAGACAGAAGCATTCTCAGAAACTTACTCGTGATGTGTGTCCTCAACTAAAGGAGTAGAACCTTTCTTTTCATAGAGAAGTTTTGAAACGCTCTTTTTGTGGAATCTGCAAGTGGATATTTGGCTAGTTTGGAGGATTTCGTTGGAAGCGGGAATTCATACAAATTGCAGACTGCAGCGTTCTGAGAAACATCTTTGTGATGTTTGTATTCAGGACACAGAGTTGAACATTCCCTATCATAGAGCAGGTTGGAATCACTCCTTTTGTAGTATCTGGAAGTGGACATTTGGAGCGCTTTCAGGCCTATGTTGGAAAAGGAAATATCTTCCCATAACAACTAGACAGAAGCATTCTCAGAAACTTATTTGAGATGTGTGTACTCAACTAAGAGAATTGAACCACCGTTTTGAAGGAGCAGTTTTGAAACACTCTTTTTCTGGAATCTGCAAGTGGATATTTGGCTAGCTTTGGGGATTTCGCTGGAAGCGGGAATACATATAAAAAGCACACAGCAGCGTTCTGAGAAACTGCTTTCTGATGTTTGCATTCAAGTCAAAAGTTGAACACTCCCTTTCATAGAGCAGTCTTGAAACACCCCTTTTGTAGTATCGGGAACTGGACATTTGGAGCGCTTTCAGGGCTAAGGTGAAAAAGGAAATATCTTCCCATAAAAACTGGAGAAAAGCATTCTCAGAAACTTGTTTATGCTGTATCTACTCAACTAACAAAGTTGAACCTTTCTTTTGATAGAGCAGTTTTGAAATGCTCTTTTTGTGCAATCTGCAAGTGGATATTTGGCTAGTTTTGAGGATTTCGTTGGAAGCGGGAATTCATACAAATTGCAGACTGCAGCGTTCTGAGAAACATCTTTGTGATGTTTGTATTCAGGACAGAGAGTTGAACATTCCCTATCATAGAGCAGGTTGGAATCACTCCTTTTGTAGTATCTGGAAGTGGACATTTGGAGCGCTTTCTGGCCTATGTTGAAAAAGGAAATATCTTCCCATAACAACTAGACACAAGCATTCTCAGAAACTTGTTTGTGATGTGTGCCCTCTACTGACAGAGTTGAACCTTTCTTTTCATAGAGCAGTTTTGAAACACTCTTTTTGTAGAATCTGCAAGAGGATATTTGCATAGCTTTGAGGATTTCGTGGGAAACGGGATTGTCTTCAGGTAAAATCTAGACAGAAGCATTCTCAGAAACTTCTTTGGGATGTTTGCATTCAAGTCACAGAGTAGAACATTCCCTTTGGTAGAGCAGGTTTGAAACACTCTTTTTGTAGTATCTGGAAGTGGACATTTGGAGCGCTTTCAGGCCTATGTTGGAAAGGGAAATATCTTCCCGTAACAACTAGGCAGAAGCATTCTCAGAAACTTATTTGAGATGTGTGTACTCAACTAAGAGAATTGAACCACCGTTTTGAAGGAGCAGTTTTGAAACACTCTTTTTCTGGAATCTGCAAGAGGATATTTGCCTAGCCTTGAGGATTTCGTTGGAAACCGGATTGTCTTCAGATCAAATCTAGACAGAAGCATTCTCAGAAACTTCTTTGAGATGTTTGCATTCAAGTCACAGAGTAGAACATTCCCTTTGGTAGAGCAGGTTTGAAACACTCTTTTTTTAGTATATGGAAGTGGACATTTGGAGCGCTTTCAGGCCTACGTTGGAAAAGGAAATATCTTCCCATAACAACTAGACAGAAGCATTCTCAGAAACTAGTTTCTGATATGTGTCCTCAACTAACACAGTTGAACATTTCTTTAGACAGAACAGTTTTGAAACACTCTTTTTGTGGTATCTGCAAGTGGCTATTTGGCTAGATTTGAGGATTTCGTTGGAAACGGGATTACATATAAAAAGCAGACAGCAGCATTCTCAGAAAGTTCTTTGTGATGATTGCATTCAAGTCACAGAATTGAACATTCCCTTTCATAGAGCAGGTTTGAAACACTCTTTTTGTAGTGTGTGTAAGTGGACATTTGGAGCGCTTTCCGGCCTAAGGTGAAAAAGGACATATCTTCCCATAAAAACTAGACAGAAGCATTCTCAGAAACTTACTCGTGATGTGTGTCCTCAACTAAAGGAGTAGAACCTTTCTATTGATAGAGAAGTTTTGAAACGCTCTTTTTGTGCAATCTCCAAGTGGATATTTGGCTAGTTTTGAGGATTTCGTTGGAAGCGGGAATTCATACAAATTGCAGACTGCGGCATTCTCAGAAACTTCTTTGGGATGTTTGCATTCAAGTCACAGAGTAGAAGATTCCCTTTGGTAGAGCAGGTTTGAAACACTCTTTTTTTCGTATATGGAAGTGGACACTTGGAGCGCTTTCAGGCCTACGTTGGAAAAGGAAATATCTTCCCATAACAACTAGACAGAAGCATTCTCAGAAACTTATTTGAGATGTGTGTACTCAACTAAGAGAATTGAACCACCGTTTTGAAGGAGCAGTTTTGAAACACTCTTTTTCTGGAATCTGCAAGTGGATATTTAGCTAGATATGAGGATTTCGTTGGAAACGGGATTACATATACAAAGCAGACAGCAGCAGTCTCAGAAAGTTCTTTGTGATGATTGCATTCAAGTCACAGAATTGAACATTCCCTTTCACAGAGCAGGTTTGAAACACTCTTTTTGTAGTGTGTGTAAGTGGACATTTGGAGCACTTACCGGCCTAAGGTGAAAAAGGAAATATCTTCCCATAAAAACTAGACAAGCATTCTCAGAAACTTACTGGTGATGTGTGTCCTCAACTAAAGGAGTAGAACCTTTCTTTTTATAGAGAAGTTTTGAAACGCTCTTTTTGTGGAATCTGCAAGTGGATATTTGGCTAGTTTTGAGGATTTCGTTGGAAGCGGGAATTCATACAAATTGCAGACTGCAGCGTTCTGAGAAACATCTTTGTGATGTTTGTATTCAGGACACAGAGTTGAACATTCCCTATCATAGAGCAGGTTGGAATCACTCCTTTTGTAGTATCTGGAAGTGGACATTTGGAGCGCTTTCAGGCCTATGTTGAAAAAGGAAATATCTTCCCATAACAACTAGACACAAGCATTCTCAGAAACTTGTTTGTGATGTGTGCCCTCTACTGACAGAGTTGAACCTTTCTTTTCATAGAGCAGTTTTGAAACACTCTTTTTGTAGAATCTGCAAGAGGATATTTGCATAGCTTTGAGGATTTCGTGGGAAACGGGATTGTCTTCAGGTAAAATCTAGACAGAAGCATTCTCAGAAACTTCTTTGGGATGTTTGCATTCAAGTCACAGAGTAGAACATTCCCTTTGGTAGAGCAGGTTTGAAACACTCTTTTTGTAGTATCTGGAAGTGGACATTTGGAGCGCTTTCAGGCCTATGTTGGAAAGGGAAATATCTTCCGGTAACAACTAGGCAGAAGCATTCTCAGAAACTTATTTGAGATGTGTGTACTCAACTAAGAGAATTGAACCACCGTTTTGAAGGAGCAGTTTTGAAACACTCTTTTTCTGGAATCTGCAAGAGGATATTTGCCTAGCTTTGAGGATTTCGTTGGAAACGGGATTGTGTTCAGATCAAATCTAGACAGAAGCATTCTCAGAAACTTCTTTGGGATGTTTGCATTCAAGTCACAGAGTAGAACATTCCCTTTGGTAGAGCAGGTGTGAAACACTCTTTTTTTAGTATATGGAAGTGGACATTTGGAGCGCTTTCAGGCCTACGTTGGAAAAGGAAATATCTTCCCATAACAACTAGACAGAAGCATTCTCAGAAACTAGTTTCTGATGTGTGTCCTCAACTAACACAGTTGAACATTTCTTTAGACAGAACAGTTTTGAAACTCTCTTTTTGTGGAATCTGCAAGTGGCTATTTGGCTAGATTTGAGGATTTCGTTGGAAACGGGATTACATATAAAAAGCAGACAGCAGCATTCTCAGAAAGTTCTTTGTGATGATTGCATTCAAGTCACAGAATTGAACATTCCCTTTCACAGAGCAGGTTTGAAACACTCTTTTTGTAGTGTGTGTAAGTGGACATTTGGAGCACTTTCCGGCCTAAGGTGAGAAAGGAAATATCTTCCCATAAAAACTAGACAGAAGCATTCTCAGAAACTTACTCGTGATGTGTGTCCTCAACTAAAGGAGTAGAACCTTCCTTTTCATAGAGAAGTTTTGAAACGCTCTTTTTGTGGAATCTGCAAGTGGATATTTGGCTAGTTTTGAGGATTTCCGTTGGAAGCGGGAATTCATACAAATTGCAGACTGCAGCGTTCTGAGAAACATCTTTGTGATGTTTGTATTCAGGACACAGAGTTGAACATTCCCTATCATAGAGCAGGTTGGAATCACTCCTTTTGTAGTATCTGGAAGTGGACATTTGGAGCGCTTTCAGGCCTATGTTGGAAAAGGAAATATCTTCCCATAACAACTAGACAGAAGCATTCTCAGAAACTTATTTGAGATGTGTGTACTCAACTAAGAGAATTGAACCACCGTTTTGAAGGAGCAGTTTTGAAACACTCTTTTTCTGGAATCTGCAAGTGGATATTTGGCTAGCTTTGGGGATTTCGCTGGAAGCGGGAATACATATAAAAAGCACACAGCAGCGTTCTGAGAAACTGCTTTCTGATGTTTGCATTCAAGTCAAAAGTTGAACACTCCCTTTCATAGAGCAGTCTTGAAACACCCCTTTTGTAGTATCTGGAACTGGACATTTGGAGCGCTTTCAGGGCTAAGGTGAAAAAGGAAATATCTTCCCATAAAAACTGGACAGAAGCATTCTCAGAAACTTGTTTATGCTGTATCTACTCAACTAACAAAGTTGAACCTTTCTTTTGATAGAGCAGTTTTGAAATGCTCTTTTTGTGGAATCTGCAAGTGGATATTTGGCTAGGTTTGAGGATTTCGTTGGAAGCGGGAATTCATACAAATTGCAGACTGCAGCGTTGTGAGAAACATCTTTGTGATGTTTGTATTCAGGACACAGAGTTGAACATTCCCTATCATAGAGCAGGTTGGAATCACTCCTTTTGTAGTATCTGGAAGTGGACATTTGGAGCGCTTTCAGGCCTATGTTGAAAAAGGAAATATCTTCCCATAACAACTAGGCAGAAGCATTCTCAGAAACTTATTTGAGATGTGTGTACTCAACTAAGAGAATTGAACCACCGTTTTGAAGGAGCAGTTTTGAAACACTCTTTTTCTGGAATCTGCAAGTGGATATTTGGCTAGCTTTGGGGATTTCGCTGGAAGCGGGAATACATATAAAAAGCACACAGCAGCGTTCTGAGAAACTGCTTTCTGATGTTTGCATTCAAGTCAAAAGTTGAACACTCCCTTTCATAGAGCAGTCTTGAAACACCCCTTTTGTAGTATCTGGAACTGGACATTTGGAGCGCCTTCAGGGCTAAGGTGAAAAAGGAAATATCTTCCCATAAAAACTGGACAGAAGCATTCTCAGAAACTTGTTTATGCTGTATCTACTCAACTAACAAAGTTGAACCTTTCTTTTGATAGAGCAGTTTTGAAATGGTCTTTTTGTGGAATCTGCAAGTGGATATTTGGCTAGTTTTGAGGATTTCGTTGGAAGCGGGAATTCATACAAATTGCAGACTGCAGCGTTCTGAGAAACATCTTTGTGATGTTTGTATTCAGGACACAGAGTTGAACATTCCCTATCATAGAGCAGGTTGGAATCACTCCTTTTGTAGTATCTGGAAGTGGACATTTGGAGCGCTTTCAGGCCTATTTTGGAAAGGGAAATATCTTCCCGTAACAACTATGCAGAAGCATTCTCAGAAACTTGTTTGTGATGTGTGCCCTCTACTGACAGAGTTGAACCTTTCTTTTCATAGAGCAGTTTTGAAACACTCTTTTTGTAGAATCTGCAAGAGGATATTTGCATAGCTTTGAGGATTTCGTGGGAAACGGGATTGTCTTCAGGTAAAATCTAGACAGAAGCATTCTCAGAAACTTCTTTGGGATGTTTGCATTCAAGTCACAGAGTAGAACATTCCCTTTGGTAGAGCAGGTTTGAAACACTCTTTTTGTAGTATCTGGAAGTGGACATTTGGAGCGCTTTCAGGCCTATGTTGGAAAGGGAAATATCTTCCCGTAACAACTAGGCAGAAGCATTCTCAGAAACTTATTTGAGATGTGTGTACTCAACTAAGAGAATTGAACCACCGTTTTGAAGGAGCAGTTTTGAAACACTCTTTTTCTGGAATCTGCAAGAGGATATTTGCCTAGCCTTGAGGATTTCGTTGGAAACGGGATTGTCTTCAGATCAAATCTAGACAGAAGCATTCTCAGAAACTTCTTTGGGATGTTTGCATTCAAGTCACAGAGTAGAACATTCCCTTTGGTAGAGCAGGTTTGAAACACTCTTTTTTTAGTATATGGAAGTGGACATTTGGAGCGCTTTCAGGCCTACGTTGGAAAAGGAAATATCTTCCCATAACAACTAGACAGAAGCATTATCAGAAACTAGTTTCTGATGTGTGTCCTCAACTAACACAGTTGAACATTTCTTTAGACAGAACAGTTTTGAAACACTCTTTTTGTGGAATCTGCAAGTGGCTATTTGGCTAGATTTGAGGATTTCGTTGGAAACGGGATTACATATAAAAAGCAGACAGCAGCATTCTCAGAAAGTTCTTTGTGATGATTGCATTCAAGTCACAGAATTGAACATTCCCTTTCACAGAGCAGGTTTGAAACACTCTTTTTGTAGTGTGTGTAAGTGGACATTTGGAGCACTTTCCGGCCTAAGGTGAAAAAGGAAATATCTTCCCATAAAAACTAGACAGAAGCATTCTCAGAAACTTACTCGTGATGTGTGTCCTCAACTAAAGGAGTAGAACCTTTCTTTTCATAGAGAAGTTTTGAAACGCTCTTTTTGTGGAATCTGCAAGTGGATATTTGGCTAGTTTTGAGGATTTCGTTGGAAGCGGGAATTCATACAAATTGCAGACTGCAGCGTTCTGAGAAACATCTTTGTGATGTTTGTATTCAGGACACAGAGTTGAACATTCCCTATCATAGAGCAGGTTTGAATCACTCCTTTTGTAGTATCTGGAAGTGGACATTTGGAGCGCTTTCAGGCCTATGTTGGAAAAGGAAATATCTTCCCATAACAACTAGACAGAAGCATTCTCAGAAACTTATTTGAGATGTGTGTACTCAACTAAGAGAATTGAACCACCGTTTTGAAGGAGCAGTTTTGAAACTCTCTTTTTCTGGAATCTGCAAGTGGATATTTGGCTAGCTTTGGGGATTTCGCTGGAAGCGGGAATACATATAAAAAGCACACAGCAGCGTTCTGAGAAACTGCTTTCTGATGTTTGCATTCAAGTCAAAAGTTGAACACTCCCTTTCATAGAGCAGTCCTGAAACACCCCTTTTGTAGTATCTGGAACTGGACTTTTGGAGCGATTTCAGGGCTAAGGTGAAAAAGGAAATATCTTCCCATAAAAACTGGACAGAAGCATTCTCAGAAACTTGTTTATGCTGTATCTACTCAACTAACAAAGTTGAACCTTTCTTTTGATAGAGCAGTTTTGAAATGGTCTTTTTGTGGAATCTGCAAGTGGATATTTGGCTAGTTTTGAGGATTTCGTTGGAAGCGGGAATTCATACAAATTGCAGACTGCAGCGTTCTGAGAAACATCTTTGTGATGTTTGTATTCAGGACACAGAGTTGAACATTCCCTATCATAGAGCAGGTTGGAATCACTCCTTTTGTAGTATCTGGAAGTGGACATTTGGAGCGCTTTCAGGCCTATTTTGGAAAGGGAAATATCTTCCCGTAACAACTATGCAGAAGCATTCTCAGAAACTTGTTTGTGATGTGTGCCCTCTACTGACAGAGTTGAACCTTTCTTTTCATAGAGCAGTTTTGAAACACTCTTTTTGTAGAATCTGCAAGAGGATATTTGCATAGCTTTGAGGATTTCGTGGGAAACGGGATTGTCTTCAGGTAAAATCTAGACAGAAGCATTCTCAGAAACTTCTTTGGGATGTTTGCATTCAAGTCACAGAGTAGAACATTCCCTTTGGTAGAGCAGGTTTGAAACACTCTTTTTGTAGTATCTGGAAGTGGACATTTGGAGCGCTTTCAGGCCCATGTTGGAAAGGGAAATATCTTCCCGTAACAACTAGGCAGAAGCATTCTCAGAAACTTATTTGAGATGTGTGTACTCAACTAAGAGAATTGAACCACCGTTTTGAAGGAGCAGTTTTGAAACACTCTTTTTCTGGAATCTGCAAGAGGATATTTGCCTAGCCTTGAGGATTTCGTTGGAAACGGGATTGTCTTCAGAGAAAATCTAGACAGAAGCATTCTCAGAAACTTCTTTGGGATGCTTGCATTCAAGTCACAGAGTAGAACATTCCCTTTGGTAGAGCAGGTTTGAAACACTCTTTTTGTAGTATCTGGAAGTGGACATTTGGAGCGCTTTCAGGCCTACGTTGGAAAAGGAAATATCTTCCCATAACAACTAGACAGAAGCATTCTCAGAAACTAGTTTCTGATGTGTGTCCTCAACTAACACAGTTGAACATTTCTTTAGACAGAACAGTTTTGAAACACTCTTTTTGTGGAATCTGCAAGTGGCTATTTGGCTAGATTTGAGGATTTCGTTGGAAACGGGATTACATATAAAAAGCAGTCAGCAGCATTCTCAGAAAGTTCTTTGTGATGATTGCATTCAAGTCACAGAATTGAACATTCCCTTTCACAGAGCAGGTTTGAAACACTCTTTTTGTAGTGTGTGTAAGTGGACATTTGGAGCACTTACCGGCCTAAGGTGAAAAAGGAAATAATCTTCCCATAAAAACTAGACAGAAGCATTCTCAGAAACTTACTCGTGATGTGTGTCCTCAACTAAAGGAGTAGAACCTTTCTTTTCATAGAGAAGTTTTGAAACGCTCTTTTTGTGGAATCTGCAAGTGGATATTTGGCTAGTTTTGAGGATTTCGTTGGAAGCGGGAATTCATACAAATTGCAGACTGCAGCGTTCTGAGAAACATCTTTGTGATGTTTGTATTCAGGACACAGAGTTGAACATTCCCTATCATAGAGCAGGTTGGAATCACTCCTTTTGTAGTATCTGGAAGTGGACATTTGGAGCGCTTTCAGGCCTATGTTGGAAAAGGAAATATCTTCCCATAACAACTAGACAGAAGCATTCTCAGAAACTTATTTGAGATGTGTGTACTCAACTAAGAGAATTGAACCACCGTTTTGAAGGAGCAGTTTTGAAACTCTCTTTTTCTGGAATCTGCAAGTGGATATTTGGCTAGCTTTGGGGATTTCGCTGGAAGCGGGAATACATATAAAAAGCACACAGCAGCGTTCTGAGAAACTGCTTTCTGATGTTTGCATTCAAGTCAAAAGTTGAACACTCCCTTTCATAGAGCAGTCTTGAAACACCCCTTTTGTAGTATCTGGAACTGGACTTTTGGAGCGATTTCAGGGCTAAGGTGAAAAAGGAAATATCTTACCATAAAAACTGGACAGAAGCATTCTCAGAAACTTGGTTATGCTGTATCTACTCAACTAACAAAGTTGAACCTTTCTTTTGATAGAGCAGTTTTGAAATGGTCTTTTTGTGGAATCTGCAAGTGGATATTTGGCTAGTTTTGAGGATTTCGTTGGAAGCGGGAATTCATACAAATTGCAGACTGCAGCGTGTTCTGAGAAACATCTTTGTGATGTTTGTATTCAGGACACAGAGTTGAACATTCCCTATCATAGAGCAGGTTGGAATCACTCCTTTTGTAGTATCTGGAAGTGGACATTTGGAGCGCTTTCAGGCCTATTTTGGAAAGGGAAATATCTTCCCGTAACAACTATGCAGAAGCATTCTCAGAAACTTGTTTGTGATGTGTGCCCTCTACTGACAGAGTTGAACCTTTCTTTTCATAGAGCAGTTTTGAAACACTCTTTTTGTAGAATCTGCAAGAGGATATTTGCATAGCTTTGAGGATTTCGTGGGAAACGGGATTGTCTTCAGGTAAAATCTAGACAGAAGCATTCTCAGAAACTTCTTTGGGATGTTTGCATTCAAGTCACAGAGTAGAACATTCCCTTTGGTAGAGCAGGTTTGAAACACTCTTTTTGTAGTATCTGGAAGTGGACATTTGGAGCGCTTTCAGGCCTATGTTGGAAAGGGAAATATCTTCCCGTAACAACTAGGCAGAAGCATTCTCAGAAACTTATTTGAGATGTGTGTACTCAACTAAGAGAATTGAACCACCGTTTTGAAGGAGCAGTTTTGAAACACTCTTTTTCTGGAATCTGCAAGAGTATATTTGCCTAGCCTTGAGGATTTCGTTGGAAACGGGATTGTCTTCAGAGAAAATCTAGACAGAAGCATTCTCAGAAACTTCTTTGGGATGTTTGCATTCAAGTCACAGAGTAGAACATTCCCTTTGGTAGAGCAGGTTTGAAACACTCTTTTTTTAGTATATGGAAGTGGACATTTGGAGCGCTTTCAGGCCTACGTTGGAAAAGGAAATATCTTCCCATAACAACTAGACAGAAGCATTCTCAGAAACTAGTTTCTGATGTGTGTCCTCAACTAACACAGTTGAACATTTCTTTAGACAGAACAGTTTTGAAACACTCTTTTTGTGGAATCTGCAAGTGGCTATTTGGCTAGATTTGAGGATTTCGTTGGAAACGGGATTACATATAAAAAGCAGTCAGCAGCATTCTCAGAAAGTTCTTTGTGATGATTGCATTCAAGTCACAGAATTGAACATTCCCTTTCACAGAGCAGGTTTGAAACACTCTTTTTGTAGTGTGTGTAAGTGGACATTTGGAGCACTTTCCGGCCTAAGGTGAAAAAGGAAATATCTTCCCTTAAAAACTAGACAGAAGCATTCTCAGAAACTTACTCGTGATGTGTGTCCTCAACTAAAGGAGTAGAACCTTTCTTTTCATAGAGAAGTTTTGAAACGCTCTTTTTGTGGAATCTGCAAGTGGATATTTGGCTAGTTTTGAGGATTTCGTTGGAAGCGGGAATTCATACAAATTGCAGACTGCAGCGTTCTGAGAAACATCTTTGTGATGTTTGTATTCAGGACAGAGAGTTGAACATTCCCTATCATAGACCAGGTTGGAATCCCTCCTTTTGTAGTATCTGGAAGTGGACATTTGGAACGCTTTCAGGCCTATGTTGGAAAAGGAAATATCTTCCCATAACAACTAGACACAAGCATTCTCAGAAACTTGTTTGTGATGTGTGCCCTCTACTGACAGAGTTGAACCTTTCTTTTCATAGAGCAGTTTTGAAACACTCTTTTTGTAGAATCTGCAAGAGGATATTTGCATAGCTTTGAGGATTTCGTGGGAAACGGGATTGTCTCAGGAAAAATCTAGACAGAAGCATTCTCAGAAACTTCTTTGGGATGTTTGCATTCAAGTCACAGAGTAGAACATTCCCTTTGGTAGAGCAGGTTTGAAACACTCTTTTTGTAGTATCTGGAAGTGGACATTTGGAGCGCTTTCAGGCCTATGTTGGAAAGGGAAATATCTTCCCGTAACAACTAGGCAGAAGCATTCTCAGAAACTTATTTGAGATGTGTGTACTCAACTAAGAGAATTGAACCACCGTTTTGAAGGAGCAGTTTTGAAACACTCTTTTTCTGGAATCTGCAAGAGGATATTTGCCTAGCCTTGAGGATTTCGTTGGAAACGGGATTGTCTTCAGATCAAATCTAGACAGAAGCATTCTCAGAAACTTCTTTGGGATGTTTGCATTCAAGTCACAGAGTAGAACATTCCCTTTGGTAGAGCAGGTTTGAAACACTCTTTTTTTAGTATATGGAAGTGGACATTTGGAGCGCTTTCAGGCCTACGTTGGAAAAGGAAATATCTTCCCATAACAACTAGACAGAAGCATTCTCAGAAACTAGTTTCTGATGTGTGTCCTCAACTAACACAGTTGAACATTTCTTTAGACAGAACAGTTTTGAAACACTCTTTTTGTGGAATCTGCAAGTGGCTATTTGGCTAGATTTGAGGATTTCGTTGGAAACGGGATTACATATAAAAAGCAGACAGCAGCATTCTCAGAAAGTTCTTTGTGATGATTGCATTCAAGTCACAGAATTGAAAATTCCCTTTCACAGAGCAGGTTTGAAACACTCTTTTTGTAGTGTGTGTAAGTGGACATTTGGAGCACTTTCCAGCCTAAGGTGAAAAAGGAAATATCTTCCCATAAAAACTAGACAGAAGCATTCTCAGAAACTTACTCGTGATGTGTGTCTTCAACTAAAAGAGTAGAACCTTTCTATTCATAGAGAAGTTTTGAAACGCTCTTTTTGTGGAATCTGCAAGTGGATATTTGGCTAGATTTGAGGATTTCGTTGGAAGCGGGAATTCATACAAATTGCAGACTGCAGCATTCTCAGAAACTTATTTGAGATGTGTGTACTCAACTAAGAGAATTGAACCACCGTTTTGAAGGAGCAGTTTTGAAACACTCTTTTTCTGGAATCTGCAAGTGGATATTTGGCTAGCTTTGGGGATTTCGCTGGAAGCGGGAATACATATAAAAAGCACACAGCATCGTTCTGAGAAACTGCTTTCTGATGTTTGCATTCAAGTCAAAAGTTGAACACTCCCTTTCATAGAGCAGTCCTGAAACACTCCTTTTGCAGTATCTGGAACTGGACTTTTGGAGCGCTTTCAGGGCTAAGGTGAAAAAGGAAATATCTTCCCATAAAAAATGGACAGAAGCATTCTCAGAAACTTGTTTATGCTGTATCTACTCAACTAACAAAGTTGAACCTTTCTTTTGATAGAGCAGTTTTGAAATGCTCTTTTTGTGGAATCTGCAAGTGGATATTTGGCTAGTTTTGAGGATTTCGTTGGAAGCGGGAATTCATACAAATTGCAGACTGCAGCGTTCTGAGAAACATCTTTGTGATGTTTGTATTCAGGACACAGAGTTGAACATTCCCTATCATAGAGCAGGTTTGAATCACTCCTTTTGTAGTATCTGGAAGTGGACATTTGGAGCGCTTTCAGGCCTATGTTGGAAAAGGAAATATCTTCCCATAACAACTAGACAGAAGCATTCCCAGAAACTTATTTGAGATGTGTGTACTCAACTAAGAGAATTGAACCACCGTTTTGAAGGAGCAGTTTGGAAACACTCTTTTTCTGGAATCTGCAAGTGGATATTTGGCTAGCTATGGGGATTTCGCTGGAAGCGGGAATACATATAAAAAGCACACAGCAGCATTCTCAGAAACTTATTTGAGATGTGTGTACTCAACTAAGAGAATTGAACCACCGTTTTGAAGGAGCAGTTTTGAAACACTCTTTTTCTGGAATCTGCAAGTGGATATTTGGCTAGCTTTGGGGATTTCGCTGGAGGCGGGAATACATATAAAAAGCACACAGCAGCGTTCTGAGAAACTGCTTTCTGATGTTTGCATTCAAGTCAAAAGTTGAACACTCCCTTTCATAGAGCAGTCCTGAAACACTCCTTTTGTAGTATCTGGAACTGGAGTTTTGGAGCGCTTTCAGGGCTAAGGTGAAAAAGGAAATATCTTCCCATAAAAACTGGACAGAAGCATTCTCAGAAACTTGTTTATGCTGTATCTACTCAACTAACAAAGTTGAACCTTTCTTTTGATAGAGCAGTTTTGAAATGCTCTTTTTGTGGAATCTGCAAGTGGATATTTGGCTAGTTTTGAGGATTTCGTTGGAAGCGGGAATTCATACAAATTGCAGACTGCAGCGTTCTGAGAAACATCTTTGTGATGTTTGTATTCAGGACACTGAGTTGAACATTCCCTATCATAGAGCAGGTTGGAATCACTCCTTTTGTAGTATCTGGAAGTGGACATTTGGAGCGCTTTCAGGCCTATGTTGGAAAAGGAAATATCTTCCCATAACAACTAGACAGAAGCATTCTCAGAAACTTGTTTGTGATGTGTGCCCTCTACTGACAGAGTTGAACCTTTCTTTTCATAGAGCAGTTTTGAAACACTCTTTTTGTAGAATCTGCAAGAGGATATTTGCATAGCTTTGAGGATTTCGTGGGAAACGGGATTGTCTTCAGGTAAAATCTAGACAGAAGCATTCTCAGAAACTTCTTTGGGATGTTTGCATTCAAGTCACAGAGTAGAACATTCCCTTTGGTAGAGCAGGTTTGAAACACTCTTTTTGTAGTATCTGGAAGTGGACATTTGGAGCGCTTTCAGGCCCATGTTGGAAAGGGAAATATCTTCCCGTAACAACTAGGCAGAAGCATTCTCAGAAACTTATTTGAGATGTGTGTACTCAACTAAGAGAATTGAACCACCGTTTTGAAGGAGCAGTTTTGAAACACTCTTTTTCTGGAATCTGCAAGAGTATATTTGCCTAGCCTTGAGGATTTCGTTGGAAACGGGATTGTCTTCAGAGAAAATCTAGACAGAAGCATTCTCAGAAACTTCTTTGGGATGTTTGCATTCAAGTCACAGAGTAGAACATTCCCTTTGGTAGAGCAGGTTTGAAACACTCTTTTTGTAGTATCTGGAAGTGGACATTTGGAGCGCTTTCAGGCCCATGTTGGAAAAGGAAATATCTTCCCATAACAACTAGACAGAAGCATTCTCAGAAACTAGTTTCTGATGTGTGTCCTCAACTAACACAGTTGAACATTTCTTTAGACAGAACAGTTTTGAAACACTCTTTTTGTGGAATCTGCAAGTGGCTATTTGGCTAGATTTGAGGATTTCGTTGGAAACGGGATTACATATAAAAAGCAGTCAGCGGCATTCTCAGAAAGTTCTTTGTGATGATTGCATTCAAGTCACAGAATTGAACATTCCCTTTCACAGAGCAGGTTTGAAACACTCTTTTTGTAGTGTGTGTAAGTGGACATTTGGAGCACTTACCGGCCTAAGGTGAAAAAGGAAATATCTTCCCATAAAAACTAGACAGAAGCATTCTCAGAAACTTACTCGTGATGTGTGTCCTCAACTAAAGGAGTAGAACCTTTCTTTTCATAGAGAAGTTTTGAAACGCTCTTTTTGTGGAATCTGCAAGTGGATATTTGGCTAGTTTTGAGGATTTCGTTGGAAGCGGGAATTCATACAAATTGCAGACTGCAGCGTTCTGAGAAACTTCTTTGTGATGTTTGTATTCAGGACACAGAGTTGAACATTCCCTATCATAGAGCAGGTTGGAATCACTCCTTTTGTAGTATCTGGAAGTGGACATTTGGAGCGCTTTCAGGCCTATGTTGAAAAAGGAAATATCTTCCCATAACAAGTAGACACAAGCATTCTCAGAAACTTATTTGAGATGTGTGTACTCAACTAAGAGAATTGAACCACCGTTTTGAAGGAGCAGTTTTGAAACTCTCTTTTTCTGGAATCTGCAAGTGGATATTTGGCTAGCTTTGGGGATTTCGCTGGAAGCGGGAATACATATAAAAAGCACACAGCAGCGTTCTGAGAAACTGCTTTCTGATGTTTGCATTCAAGTCAAAAGTTGAACACTCCCTTTCATAGAGCAGTCCTGAAACACCCCTTTTGTAGTATCTGGAACTGGACTTTTGGAGCGATTTCAGGGCTAAGGTGAAAAAGGAAATATCTTCCCATAAAAACTGGACAGAAGCATTCTCAGAAACTTGTTTATGCTGTATCTACTCAACTAACAAAGTTGAACCTTTCTTTTGATAGAGCAGTTTTGAAATGGTCTTTTTGTGGAATCTGCAAGTGGATATTTGGCTAGTTTTGAGGATTTCGTTGGAAGCGGGAATTCATACAAATTGCAGACTGCAGCGTTCTGAGAAACATCTTTGTGATGTTTGTATTCAGGACACAGAGTTGAACATTCCCTATCATAGAGCAGGTTGGAATCACTCCTTTTGTAGTATCTGGAAGTGGACATTTGGAGCGCTTTCAGGCCTATTTTGGAAAGGGAAATATCTTCCCGTAACAACTATGCAGAAGCATTCTCAGAAACTTGTTTGTGATGTGTGCCCTCTACTGACAGAGTTGAACCTTTCTTTTCATAGAGCAGTTTTGAAACACTCTTTTTGTAGAATCTGCAAGAGGATATTTGCATAGCTTTGAGGATTTCGTGGGAAACGGGATTGTCTTCAGGTAAAATCTAGACAGAAGCATTCTCAGAAACTTCTTTGGGATGTTTGCATTCAAGTCACAGAGTAGAACATTCCCTTTGGTAGAGCAGGTTTGAAACACTCTTTTTGTAGTATCTGGAAGTGGACATTTGGAGCGCTTTCAGGCCCATGTTGGAAAGGGAAATATCTTCCCGTAACAACTAGGCAGAAGCATTCTCAGAAACTTATTTGAGATGTGTGTACTCAACTAAGAGAATTGAACCACCGTTTTGAAGGAGCAGTTTTGAAACACTCTTTTTCTGGAATCTGCAAGAGTATATTTGCCTAGCCTTGAGGATTTCGTTGGAAACGGGATTGTCTCAGAGAAAATCTAGACAGAAGCATTCTCAGCAAACTTCTTTGGGATGTTTGCATTCAAGTCACAGAGTAGAACATTCCCTTTGGTAGAGCAGGTTTGAAACACTCTTTTTTTAGTATATGGAAGTGGACATTTTGATCGTTTTCAGGCCTACGTTGGAAAAGGAAATATCTTCCCATAACAACTAGACAGAAGCATTCTCAGAAACTAGTTTCTGATGTGTGTCCTCAACTAACACAGTTGAACATTTCTTTAGACAGAACAGTTTTGAAACACTCTTTTTGTGGAATCTGCAAGTGGCTATTTGGCTAGATTTGAGGATTTCGTTGGAAACGGGATTACATATAAAAAGCAGTCAGCAGCATTCTCAGAAAGTTCTTTGTGATGATTGCATTCAAGTCACAGAATTGAACATTCCCTTTCACAGAGCAGGTTTGAAACACTCTTTTTGTAGTGTGTGTAAGTGGACATTTGGAGCACTTACCGGCCAAAGGTGAAAAAGGAAATATCTTCCCATAAAAACTAGACAGAAGCATTCTCAGAAACTTACTCGTGATGTGTGCCCTCAACTAAAGGAGTAGAACCTTTCTTTTCATAGAGAAGTTTTGAAACGCTCTTTTTGTGGAATCTGCAAGTGGATATTTGGCTAGTTTTGAGGATTTCGTTGGAAGCGGGAATTCATACAAATTGCAGACTGCAGCGTTCTGAGAAACATCTTTGTGATGTTTGTATTCAGGACACAGAGTTGAACATTCCCTATCATAGAGCAGGTTTGAATCACTCCTTTTGTAGTATCTGGAAGTGGACATTTGGAGCGCTTTCAGGCCTATGTTGGAAAAGGAAATATCTTCCCATAACAACTAGACAGAAGCATTCTCAGAAACTTATTTGAGATGTGTGTACTCAACTAAGAGAATTGAACCACCGTTTTGAAGGAGCAGTTTTGAAACTCTCTTTTTCTGGAATCTGCAAGTGGATATTTGGCTAGCTTTGGGGATTTCGCTGGAAGCGGGAATACATATAAAAAGCACACAGCAGCGTTCTGAGAAACTGCTTTCTGATGTTTGCATTCAAGTCAAAAGTTGAACACTCCCTTTCATAGAGCAGTCCTGAAACACCCCTTTTGTAGTATCTGGAACTGGACTTTTGGAGCGATTTCAGGGCTAAGGTGAAAAAGGAAATATCTTCCCATAAAAACTGGACAGAAGCATTCTCAGAAACTTGTTTATGCTGTATCTACTCAACTAACAAAGTTGAACCTTTCTTTTGATAGAGCAGTTTTGAAATGGTCTTTTTGTGGAATCTGCAAGTGGATATTTGGCTAGTTTTGAGGATTTCGTTGGAAGCGGGAATTCATACAAATTGCAGACTGCAGCGTTCTGAGAAACATCTTTGTGATGTTTGTATTCAGGACACAGAGTTGAACATTCCCTATCATAGAGCAGGTTGGAATCACTCCTTTTGTAGTATCTGGAAGTGGACATTTGGAGCGCTTTCAGGCCTATTTTGGAAAGGGAAATATCTTCCCGTAACAACTATGCAGAAGCATTCTCAGAAACTTGTTTGTGATGTGTGCCCTCTACTGACAGAGTTGAACCTTTCTTTTCATAGAGCAGTTTTGAAACACTCTTTTTGTAGAATCTGCAAGAGGATATTTGCATAGCTTTGAGGATTTCGTGGGAAACGGGATTGTCTTCAGGTAAAATCTAGACAGAAGCATTCTCAGAAACTTCTTTGGGATGTTTGCATTCAAGTCACAGAGTAGAACATTCCCTTTGGTAGAGCAGGTTTGAAACACTCTTTTTGTAGTATCTGGAAGTGGACATTTGGAGCGCTTTCAGGCCCATGTTGGAAAGGGAAATATCTTCCCGTAACAACTAGGCAGAAGCATTCTCAGAAACTTATTTGAGATGTGTGTACTCAACTAAGAGAATTGAACCACCGTTTTGAAGGAGCAGTTTTGAAACACTCTTTTTCTGGAATCTGCAAGAGTATATTTGCCTAGCCTTGAGGATTTCGTTGGAAACGGGATTGTCTTCAGATAAAATCTAGACAGAAGCATTCTCAGAAACTTCTTTGGGATGTTTGCATTCAAGTCACAGAGTAGAACATTCCCTTTGGTAGAGCAGGTTTGAAACACTCTTTTTAGTATATGGAAGTGGACATTTGGAGCGCTTTCAGGCCTACGTTGGAAAAGGAAATATCTTCCCATAACAACTAGACAGAAGCATTCTCAGGAACTAATTTCTGATGTGTGTCCTCAACTAACACAGTTGAACATTTCTTTAGACAGAACAGTTTTGAAACACTCTTTTTGTGGAATCTGCAAGTGGATATTGGGCTAGATTTGAGGATTTCGTTGGAAACGGGATTACGTATAAAAAGCAGTCAGCAGCATTCTCAGAAAGTTCTTTGTGATGATTGCATTCAAGTCACAGAATTGAACATTCCCTTTCACAGAGCAGGTTTGAAACACTCTTTTTGTAGTGTGTGTAAGTGGACATTTGGAGCACTTACCGGCCTAAGGTGAAAAAGGAAATATCTTCCCATAAAAACTAGACAGAAGCATTCTCAGAAACTTACTCGTGATGTGTGTCCTCAACTAAAGGAGTAGAACCTTTCTTTTCATAGAGAAGTTTTGAAACGCTCTTTTTGTGGAATCTGCAAGTGGATATTTGGCTAGTTTTGAGGATTTCGTTGGAAGCGGGAATTCATACAAATTGCAGACTGCAGCGTTCTGAGAAACATCTTTGTGATGTTTGTATTCAGGACACAGAGTTGAACATTCCCTATCATAGAGCAGGTTGGAATCACTCCTTTTGTAGTATCTGGAAGTGGACATTTGGAGCGCTTTCAGGCCTATGTTGGAAAAGGAAATATCTTCCCATAACAACTAGACAGAAGCATTCTCAGAAACTTATTTGAGATGTGTGTACTCAACTAAGAGAATTGAACCACCGTTTTGAAGGAGCAGTTTTGAAACACTCTTTTTCTGGAATCTGCAAGTGGATATTTGGCTAGCTTTGGGGATTTCGCTGGAAGCGGGAATACATATAAAAAGCACACAGCAGCGTTCTGAGAAACTGCTTTCTGATGTTTGCATTCACGTCAAAAGTTGAACACTCCCTTTCATAGAGCAGGCTTGAAACACCCCTTTTGTAGTATCTGGAAGTGGACATTTGGAGCGCTTTCAAGGCTAAGGTGAAAAAGGAAATATCTTCCCATAAAAACTGGACAGAAGCATTCTCAGAAACTTGTTTATGCTGTATCTACTCAACTAACAAAGTTGAACCTTTCTTTTGATAGAGCAGTTTTGAAATGCTCTTTTTGTGGAATCTGCAAGTGGATATTTGGCTAGTTTTGAGGATTTTCGTTGGAAGCCGGAATTCATACAAATTGCAGACTGCAGCGTTCTGAGAAACATCTTTGTGATGTTTGTATTCAGGACAGAGAGTTGAACATTCCCTATCATAGAGCAGGTTGGAATCACTCCTTTTGTAGTATCTGGAAGTGGACATTTGGAGCGCTTTCAGGCCTATGTTGAAAAAGGAAATATCTTCCCATAACAACTAGACACAAGCATTCTCAGAAACTTGTTTGTGATGTGTGCCCTCTACTGACACAGTTGAACCTTTCTTTTCATAGAGCAGTTTTGAAACACTCTTTTTGTAGAATCTGCAAGAGGATATTTGCATAGCTTTGAGGATTTCGTGGGAAACGGGATTGTCTTCAGGTAAAATCTAGACAGAAGCATTCTCAGAAACTTCTTTGGGATGTTTGCATTCAAGTCACAGAGTAGAACATTCCCTTTGGTAGAGCAGGTTTGAAACCCTCTTTTTGTAGTATCTGGAAGTGGACATTTGGAGCGCTTTCAGGCCCATGTTGGAAAGGGAAATATCTTCCCGTAACAACTAGGCAGAAGCATTCTCAGAAACTTATTTGAGATGTGTGTACTCAACTAAGAGAATTGAACCACCGTTTTGAAGGAGCAGATTTGAAACACTCTTTTTCTGGAATCTGCAAGAGTATATTTGCCTAGCCTTGAAGATTTCGTTGGAAACGGGATTGTCTTCAGATAAAATCTAGACAGAAGCATTCTCAGAAACTTCTTTGGGATGTTTGCATTCAAGTCACAGAGTAGAACATTCCCTTTGGTAGAGCAGGTTTGAAACACTCTTTTTTTAGTATATGGAAGTGGACATTTGGAGCGCTTTCAGGCCTACGTTGGAAAAGGAAATATCTTCCCATAACAACTAGACAGAAGCATTCTCAGAAACTAGTTTCTGATGTGTGTCCTCAACTAACACAGTTGAACTTTTCTTTAGACAGAACAGTTTTGAAACACTCTTTTTGTGGAATCTGCAAGTGGATATTTGGCTAGATTTGAGGATTTCGTTGGAAACGGGATTACATATAAAAAGCAGTCAGCAGCATTCTCAGAAAGATCTTTGTGATGATTGCATTCAAGTCACAGAATTGAACATTCCCTTTCACAGAGCAGGTTTGAAACACTCTTTTTGTAGTGTGTGTAAGTGGACATTTGGAGCACTTTCCGGCCTAAGGTGAAAAAGGAAATATCTTCCCATAAAAACTAGACAGAAGCATTGTCAGAAACTTACTCGTGATGTGTGTCCTCAACTAAAGGAGTAGAACCTTTCTATTCATAGAGAAGGTTTGAAACGCTCTTTTTGTGGAATCTCCAAGTGGATATTTGGCTAGTTTTGAGGATTTCGTTGGATGCGGGAATTCATACAAATTGCAGACTGCAGCGTTCTGAGAAACATCTTTGTGATGTTTGTATTCAGGACACAGAGATGAACATTCCCTATCATAGAGCAGGTTGGAATCACTCCTTTTGTAGTTTCTGGAAGTGGACATTTGGAGCGCTTTCAGGCCTATGTTGAAAAAGGAAATATCTTCCCATAACAACTAGACACAAGCATTCTCAGAAACTTGTTTGTGATGTGTGCCCTCTGCTGACAGAGTTGAACCTTTCTTTTCATAGAGCAGTTTTGAAACACTCTTTTTGTAGAATCTGCAAGAGGATATTTGCATAGCTTTGAGGATTTCGTGGGAAACGGGATTGTCTTCAGGTAAAATCTAGACAGAAGCATTCTCAGAAACTTCTTTGGGATGTTTGCATTCAAGTCACAGAGTAGAACATTCCCTTTGGTAGAGCAGGTTTGAAACCCTCTTTTCGTAGTATCTGGAAGTGGACATTTGGAGCGCTTTCAGGCCCATGTTGGAAAGGGAAATATCTTCCCGTAACAACTAGGCAGAAGCATTCTCAGAAACTTATTTGAGATGTGTGTACTCAACTAAGAGAATTGAACCACCGTTTTGAAGGAGCAGATTTGAAACACTCTTTTTCTGGAATCTGCAAGAGTATATTTGCCTAGCCTTGAAGATTTCGTTGGAAACGGGATTGTCTTCAGATAAAATCTAGACAGAAGCATTCTCAGAAACTTCTTTGGGATGTTTGCATTCAAGTCACAGAGTAGAACATTCCCTTTGGTAGAGCAGGTTTGAAACACTCTTTTTTTAGTATATGGAAGTGGACATTTGGAGCGCTTTCAGGCCTACGTTGGAAAAGGAAATATCTTCCCATAACAACTAGACAGAAGCATTCTCAGAAACTAGTTTCTGATGTGTGTCCTCAACTAACACAGTTGAACTTTTCTTTAGACAGAACAGTTTTGAAACACTCTTTTTGTGGAATCTGCAAGTGGATATTTGGCTAGATTTGAGGATTTCGGTGGAAACGGGATTACATATAAAAAGCAGTCAGCAGCATTCTCAGAAAGATCTTTGTGATGATTGCATTCAAGTCACAGAATTGAACATTCCCTTTCACAGAGCAGGTTTGAAACACTCTTTTTGTAGTGTGTGTAAGTGGACATTTGGAGCACTTTCCGGCCTAAGGTGAAAAAGGAAATATCTTCCCATAAAAACTAGACAGAAGCATTCTCAGAAACTTACTCGTGATGTGTGTCCTCAACTAAAGGAGTAGAACCTTTCTATTCATAGAGAAGGTTTGAAACGCTCTTTTTGTGGAATCTCCAAGTGGATATTTGGCTAGTTTTGAGGATTTCGTTGGATGCGGGAATTCATACAAATTGCAGACTGCAGCGTTCTGAGAAACATCTTTGTGATGTTTGTATTCAGGACACAGAGATGAACATTCCCTATCATAGAGCAGGTTGGAATCACTCCTTTTGTAGTATCTGGAAGTGGACATTTGGAGCGCTTTCAGGCCTATGTTGAAAAAGGAAATATCTTCCCATAACAACTAGACACAAGCATTCTCAGAAACTTGTTTGTGATGTGTGCCCTCTGCTGACAGAGTTGAACCTTTCTTTTCATAGAGCAGTTTTGAAACACTCTTTTTGTAGAATCTGCAAGAGGATATTTGCATAGCTTTGAGGATTTCGTGGGAAACGGGATTGTCTTCAGGTAAAATCTAGACAGAAGCATTCTCAGAAAATTCTTTGGGATGTTTGCATTCAAGTCACAGAGTAGAACATTCCCTTTGGTAGAGCAGGTTTGAAACCCTCTTTTTGTAGTATCTGGAAGTGGACATTTGGAGCGCTTTCAGGCCTATTTTGGAAAGGGAAATATCTTCCCGTAACAACTAGGCAGAAGCATTCTCAGAAACTTATTTGAGATGTGTGTACTCAACTAAGAGAATTGAACCACCGTTTTGAAGGAGCAGATTTGAAACACTCTTTTTCTGGAATCTGCAAGAGTATATTTGCCTAGCCTTGAAGATTTCGTTGGAAACGGGATTGTCTTCAGATAAAATCTAGACAGAAGCATTCTCAGAAACTTCTTTGGGATGTTTGCATTCAAGTCACAGAGTAGAACATTCCCTTTGGTAGAGCAGGTTTGAAACACTCTTTTTTTCGTATATGGAAGTGGACATTTGGAGCGCTTTCAGGCCTACGTTGGAAAAGGAAATATCTTCCCATAACAACTAGACAGAAGCATTCTCAGAAACTAGTTTCTGATGTGTGTCCTCAACTAACACAGTTGTACATTTCTTTAGACAGAACAGTTTTGAAACACTCTTTTTGTGGAATCTGCAAGTGGCTATTTGGCTAGATTTGAGGATTTCTTTGGAAACGGGATTACATATAAAAAGCTGACAGCAGCATTCTCAGAAAGTTCTTTGTGATGATTGCATTCAAGTCACAGAATTGAACATTCCCTTTCACAGAGCAGGTTTGAAACACACTTTTTGTAGTGTGTGTAAGTGGACATTTGGAGCGCTTTCCGGCCTAAGGTGAAAAAGGAAATATCTTCCCATAAAAACTAGACAGAAGCATTCTCAGAAACTTACTCGTGATGTGTGTCCTCAACTAAAGGAGTAGAACCTTTCTTTTCATAGAGAAGTTTTGAAACGCTCTTTTTGTGGAATCTGCAAGTGGATATTTGGCTAGTTTTGAGGATTTCGTTGGAAGCGGGAATTCATACAAATTGCAGACTGCAGCGTTCTGAGAAACATCTTTGTGATGTTTGTATTCAGGACACAGAGTTGAACATTCCCTATCATAGAGCAGGTTTGAATCACTCCTTTTGTAGTATCTGGAAGTGGACATTTGGAGCGCTTTCAGGCCTATGTTGGAAAAGGAAATATCTTCCCATAACAACTAGACAGAAGCATTCTCAGAAACTTATTTGAGATGTGTGTACTCAACTAAGAGAATTGAACCACCGTTTTGAAGGAGCAGTTTTGAAACTCTCTTTTTCTGGAATCTGCAAGTGGATATTTGGCTAGCTTTGGGGATTTCGCTGGAAGCGGGAATACATATAAAAAGCACACAGCAGCGTTCTGAGAAACTGCTTTCTGATGTTTGCATTCAAGTCAAAAGTTGAACACTCCCTTTCATAGAGCAGTCCTGAAACACCCCTTTGGTAGTATCTGGAACTGGACTTTTGGAGCGATTTCAGGGCTAAGGTGAAAAAGGAAATATCTTCCCATAAAAACTGGACAGAAGCATTCTCAGAAACTTGTTTATGCTGTATCTACTCAACTAACAAAGTTGAACCTTTCTTTTGATAGAGCAGTTTTGAAATGGTCTTTTTGTGGAATCTGCAAGTGGATATTTGGCTAGTTTTGAGGATTTCGTTGGAAGCGGGAATTCATACAAATTGCAGACTGCAGCGTTCTGAGAAACATCTTTGTGATGTTTGTATTCAGGACACAGAGTTGAACATTCCCTATCATAGAGCAGGTTGGAATCACTCCTTTTGTAGTATCTGGAAGTGGACATTTGGAGCGCTTTCAGGCCTATTTTGGAAAGGGAAATATCTTCCCGTAACAACTATGCAGAAGCATTCTCAGAAACTTGTTTGTGATGTGTGCCCTCTACTGACAGAGTTGAACCTTTCTTTTCATAGAGCAGTTTTGAAACACTCTTTTTGTAGAATCTGCAAGAGGATATTTGCATAGCTTTGAGGATTTCGTGGGAAACGGGATTGTCTTCAGGTAAAATCTAGACAGAAGCATTCTCAGAAACTTCTTTGGGATGTTTGCATTCAAGTCACAGAGTAGAACATTCCCTTTGGTAGAGCAGGTTTGAAACACTCTTTTTGTAGTATCTGGAAGTGGACATTTGGAGCGCTTTCAGGCCCATGTTGGAAAGGGAAATATCTTCCCGTAACAACTAGGCAGAAGCATTCTCAGAAACTTATTTGAGATGTGTGTACTCAACTAAGAGAATTGAACCACCGTTTTGAAGGAGCAGTTTTGAAACACTCTTTTTCTGGAATCTGCAAGAGTATATTTGCCTAGCCTTGAGGATTTCGTTGGAAACGGGATTGTCTTCAGAGAAAATCTAGACAGAAGCATTCTCAGAAACTTCTTTGGGATGTTTGCATTCAAGTCACAGAGTAGAACATTCCCTTTGGTAGAGCAGGTTTGAAACACTCTTTTTTTAGTATCTGGAAGTGGACATTTGGAGCGCTTTCAGGCCTACGTTGGAAAAGGAAATATCTTCCCATAACAACTAGACAGAAGCATTCTCAGAAACTAGTTTCTGATGTGTGTCCTCAACTAACACAGTTGAACATTTCTTTAGACAGAACAGTTTTGAAACACTCTTTTTGTGGAATCTGCAAGTGGCTATTTGGCTAGATTTGAGGATTTCGTTGGAAACGGGATTACATATAAAAAGCAGTCAGCAGCATTCTCAGAAAGTTCTTTGTGATGATTGCATTCAAGTCACAGAATTGAACATTCCCTTTCACAGAGCAGGTTTGAAACACTCTTTTTGTAGTGTGTGTAAGTGGACATTTGGAGCACTTACCGGCCTAAGGTGAAAAAGGAAATATCTTCCCATAAAAACTAATAGAAGCATTCTCAGAAACTTACTCGTGATGTGTGTCCTCAACTAAAGGAGTAGAACCTTTCTTTTCATAGAGAAGTTTTGAAACGCTCTTTTTGTGGAATCTGCAAGTGGATATTTGGCTAGTTTTGAGGATTTCGTTGGAAGCGGGAATTCATACAAATTGCAGACTGCAGCGTTCTGAGAAACATCTTTGTGATGTTTGTATTCAGGACACAGAGTTGAACATTCCCTATCATAGAGCAGGTTGGAATCACTCCTTTTGTAGTATCTGGAAGTGGACATTTGGAGCGCTTTCAGGCCTATGTTGGAAAAGGAAATATCTTCCCATAACAACTAGACAGAAGCATTCTCAGAAACTTATTTGAGATGTGTGTACTCAACTAAGAGAATTGAACCACCGTTTTGAAGGAGCAGTTTTGAAACTCTCTTTTTCTGGAATCTGCAAGTGGATATTTGGCTAGCTTTGGGGATTTCGCTGGAAGCGGGAATACATATAAAAAGCACACAGCAGCGTTCTGAGAAACTGCTTTCTGATGTTTGCATTCAAGTCAAAAGTTGAACACTCCCTTTCATAGAGCAGTCTTGAAACACCCCTTTTGTAGTATCTGGAACTGGACTTTTGGAGCGATTTCAGGGCTAAGGTGAAAAAGGAAATATCTTCCCATAAAAACTGGACAGAAGCATTCTCAGAAACTTGGTTATGCTGTATCTACTCAACTAACAAAGTTGAACCTTTCTTTTGATAGAGCAGTTTTGAAATGGTCTTTTTGTGGAATCTGCAAGTGGATATTTGGCTAGTTTTGAGGATTTCGTTGGAAGCGGGAATTCATACAAATTGCAGACTGCAGCGTTCTGAGAAACATCTTTGTGATGTTTGTATTCAGGACACAGAGTTGAACATTCCCTATCATAGAGCAGGTTGGAATCACTCCTTTTGTAGTATCTGGAAGTGGACATTTGGAGCGCTTTCAGGCCTATTTTGGAAAGGGAAATATCTTCCCGTAACAACTATGCAGAAGCATTCTCAGAAACTTGTTTGTGATGTGTGCCCTCTACTGACAGAGTTGAACCTTTCTTTTCATAGAGCAGTTTTGAAACACTCTTTTTGTAGAATCCGCAAGAGGATATTTGCATAGCTTTGAGGATTTCGTGGGAAATGGGATTGTCTTCAGGTAAAATCTAGACAGAAGCATTCTCAGAAACTTCTTTGGGATGTTTGCATTCAAGTCACAGAGTAGAACATTCCCTTTGGTAGAGCAGGTTTGAAACACTCTTTTTGTAGTATCTGGAAGTGGACATTTGGAGCGCTTTCAGGCCCATGTTGGAAAGGGAAATATCTTCCCGTAACAACTAGGCAGAAGCATTCTCAGAAACTTATTTGAGATGTGTGTACTCAACTAAGAGAATTGAACCACCGTTTTGAAGGAGCAGTTTTGAAACACTCTTTTTCTGGAATCTGCAAGAGTATATTTGCCTAGCCTTGAGGATTTCGTTGGAAACGGGATTGTCTTCAGAGAAAATCTAGACAGAAGCATTCTCAGAAACTTCTTTGGGATGCTTGCATTCAAGTCACAGAGTAGAACATTCCCTTTGGTAGAGCAGGTTTGAAACACTCTTTTTGTAGTATCTGGAAGTGGACATTTGGAGCGCTTTCAGGCCTACGTTGGAAAAGGAAATATCTTCCCATAACAACTAGACAGAAGCATTCTCAGAAACTCGTTTCTGATGTGTGTCCTCAACTAACACAGTTGAACATTTCTTTAGACAGAACAGTTTTGAAACACTCTTTTTGTGGAATCTGCAAGTGGCTATTTGGCTAGATTTGAGGATTTCGTTGGAAACGGGATTACATATAAAAAGCAGTCAGCAGCATTCTCATAAAGTTCTTTGTGATGATTGCATTCAAGTCACAGAATTGAACATTCCCTTTCACAGAGCAGGTTTGAAACACTCTTTTTGTAGTGTGTGTAAGTGGACATTTGGAGCACTTACCTGCCTAAGGTGAAAAAGGAAATATCTTCCCATAAAAACTAGACAGAAGCATTCTCAGAAACTTACTCGTGATGTGTGTCCTCAACTAAAGGAGTAGAACCTTTCTTTTCATAGAGAAGTTTTGAAACGCTCTTTTTGTGGAATCTGCAAGTGGATATTTGGCTAGTTTTGAGGATTTCGTTGGAAGCGGGAATTCATACAAATTGCAGACTGCAGCGTTCTGAGAAACATCTTTGTGATGTTTGTATTCAGGACACAGAGTTGAACATTCCCTATCATAGAGCAGGTTGGAATCACTCCTTTTGTAGTATCTGGAAGTGGACATTTGGAGCGCTTTCAGGCCTATGTTGGAAAAGGAAATATCTTCCCATAACAACTAGACAGAAGCATTCTCAGAAACTTATTTGAGATGTGTGTACTCAACTAAGAGAATTGAACCACCGTTTTGAAGGAGCAGTTTTGAAACACTCTTTTTCTGGAATCTGCAAGTGGATATTTGGCTAGCTTTGGGGATTTCGCTGGAAGCGGGAATACATATAAAAAGCACACAGCAGCGTTCTGAGAAACTGCTTTCTGATGTTTGCATTCAAGTCAAAAGTTGAACACTCCCTTTCACAGAGCAGTCCTGAAACACTCCTTTTGTAGTATCTGGAACTGGACTTTTGGAGCGCTTTCAGGGCTAAGGTGAAAAAGGAAATATCTTCCCATAAAAACTGGACAGAAGCATTCTCAGAAACTTGTTTATGCTGTATCTACTCAACTAACAAAGTTGAACCTTTCTTTTGATAGAGCAGTTTTGAAATGCTCTTTTTGTGGAATCTGCAAGTGGATATTTGGCTAGTTTTGAGGATTTCGTTGGAAGCGGGAATTCATACAAATTGCAGACTGCAGTGTTCTGAGAAACATCTTTGTGATGTTTGTATTCAGGACAGAGAGTTGAACATTCCCTATCATAGAGCAGGTTGGAATCACTCCTTTTGTAGTATCTGGAAGTGGACATTTGGAGCGCTTTCAGGCCTATGTTGAAAAAGGAAATATCTTCCCATAACAACTAGACACAAGCATTCTCAGAAACTTATTTGAGATGTGTGTACTCAACTAAGAGAATTGAACCACCGTTTTGAAGGAGCAGTTTTGAAACACTCTTTTTCTGGAATCTGCAAGTGGATATTTGGCTAGCTTTGGGGATTTCGCTGGAAGCGGGAATACATATAAAAAGCACACAGCAGCGTTCTGAGAAACTGCTTTCTGATGTTTGCATTCAAGTCAAAAGTTGAACACTCCCTTTCATAGAGCAGTCTTGAAACACCCGTTTTGTAGTATCTGGAACTGGACTTTTGGAGCGATTTCAGGGCTAAGGTGAAAAAGGAAATATCTTCCCATAAAAACTGGACAGAAGCATTCTCAGAAACTTGTTTATGCTGTAACTACTCAACTAACAAAGTTGAACCTTTCTTTTGATAGAGCAGTTTTGAAATGGTCTTTTTGTGGAATCTGCAAGTGGATATTTGGCTAGTTTTGAGGATTTCGTTGGAAGCGGGAATTCATACAAATTGCAGACTGCAGCGTTCTGAGAAACATCTTTGTGATGTTTGTATTCAGGACACAGAGTTGAACATTCCCTATCATAGAGCAGGTTGGAATCACTCCTTTTGTAGTATCTGGAAGTGGACATTTGGAGCGCTTTCAGGCCTATTTTGGAAAGGGAAATATCTTCCCGTAACAACTATGCAGAAGCATTCTCAGAAACTTGTTTGTGATGTGTGCCCTCTACTGACAGAGTTGAACCTTTCTTTTCATAGAGCAGTTTTGAAACACTCTTTTTGTAGAATCTGCAAGAGGATATTTGCATAGCTTTGAGGATTTCGTGGGAAACGGGATTGTCTTCAGGTAAAATCTAGACAGAAGCATTCTCAGAAACTTCTTTGGGATGTTTGCATTCAAGTCACAGAGTAGAACATTCCCTTTGGTAGAGCAGGTTTGAAACACTCTTTTTGTAGTATCTGGAAGTGGACATTTGGAGCGCTTTCAGGCCCATGTTGGAAAGGGAAATATCTTCCCGTAACAACTAGGCAGAAGCATTCTCAGAAACTTATTTGAGATGTGTGTACTCAACTAAGAGAATTGAACCACCGTTTTGAAGGAGCAGTTTTGAAACACTCTTTTTCTGGAATCTGCAAGAGTATATTTGCCTAGCCTTGAGGATTTCGTTGGAAACGGGATTGTCTTCAGAGAAAATCTAGACAGAAGCATTCTCAGAAACTTCTTTGGGATGCTTGCATTCCAGTCACAGAGTAGAACATTCCCTTTGGTAGAGCAGGTTTGAAACACTCTTTTTTTAGTATCTGGAAGTGGACATTTGGAGCGCTTTCAGGCCTACGTTGGAAAAGGAAATATCTTCCCATAACAACTAGACAGAAGCATTCTCAGAAACTAGTTTCTGATGTGTGTCCTCAACTAACACAGTTGAACATTTCTTTAGACAGAACAGTTTTGAAACACTCTTTTTGTGGAATCTGCAAGTGGCTATTTGGCTAGATTTGAGGATTTCGTTGGAAACGGGATTACATATAAAAAGCAGTCAGCAGCATTCTCAGAAAGTTCTTTGTGATGATTGCATTCAAGTCACAGAATTGAACATTCCCTTTCACAGAGCAGGTTTGAAACACTCTTTTTGTAGTGTGTGTAAGTGGACATTTGGAGCACTTACCGGCCTAAGGTGAAAAAGGAAATATCTTCCCATAAAAACTAGACAGAAGCATTCTCAGAAACTTACTCGTGATGTGTGTCCTCAACTAAAGGAGTAGAACCTTTCTTTTCATAGAGAAGTTTTGAAATGCTCTTTTTGTGGAATCTGCAAGTGGATATTTGGCTAGTTTGGAGGATTTCGTTGGAAGCGGGAATTCATACAAATTGCAGACTGCAGCGTTCTGAGAAACATCTTTGTGATGTTTGTATTCAGGACACAGAGTTGAACATTCCCTATCATAGAGCAGGTTGGAATCACTCCTTTTGTAGTATCTGGAAGTGGACATTTGGAGCGCTTTCAGGCCTATGTTGGAAAAGGAAATATCTTCCCATAACAACTAGACAGAAGCATTCTCAGAAACTTATTTGAGATGTGTGTACTCAACTAAGAGAATTGAACCACCGTTTTGAAGGAGCAGTTTTGAAACTCTCTTTTTCTGGAATCTGCAAGTGGATATTTGGCTAGCTTTGGGGATTTCGCTGGAAGCGGGAATACATATAAAAAGCACACAGCAGCGTTCTGAGAAACTGCTTTCTGATGTTTGCATTCAAGTCAAAAGTTGAACACTCCCTTTCATAGAGCAGTCTTGAAACACCCGTTTTGTAGTATCTGGAACTGGACTTTTGGAGCGATTTCAGGGCTAAGGTGAAAAAGGAAATATCTTCCCATAAAAACTGGACAGAAAGCATTCTCAGAAACTTATTTGAGATGTGTGTACTCAACTAAGAGAATTGAACCACCGTTTTGAAGGAGCAGTTTTGAAACTCTCTTTTTCTGAAATCTGCAAGTGGATATTTGGCTAGCTTTGGGGATTTCGCTGGAAGCGGGAATACATATAAAAAGCACACAGCAGCGTTCTGAGAAACTGCTTTCTGATGTTTGCATTCAAGTCAAAAGTTGAACACTCCCTTTCATAGAGCAGTCTTGAAACACCCCTTTTGTAGTATCTGGAACTGGACTTTTGGAGCGATTTCAGGGCTAAGGTGAAAAAGGAAATATCTTCCCATAAAAACTGGACAGAAGCATTCTCAGAAACTTGGTTATGCTGTATCTACTCAACTAACAAAGTTGAACCTTTCTTTTGATAGAGCAGTTTTGAAATGGTCTTTTTGTGGAATCTGCAAGTGGATATTTGGCTAGTTTTGAGGATTTCGTTGGAAGCGGGAATTCATACAAATTGCAGACTGCAGCGTTCTGAGAAACATCTTTGTGATGTTTGTATTCAGGACACAGAGTTGAACATTCCCTATCATAGAGCAGGTTGGAATCACTCCTTTTGTAGTATCTGGAAGTGGACATTTGGAGCGCTTTCAGGCCTATGTTGAAAAAGGAAATATCTTCCCATATCAAGTAGACACAAGCATTCTCAGAAACTTGTTTGTGATGTGTGCCCTCTACTGACAGAGTTGAACCTTTCTTTTCATAGAGCAGTTTTGAAACACTCTTTTTGTAGAATCTGCAAGAGGATATTTGCATAGCTTTGAGGATTTCGTGGGAAACGGGATTGTCTTCAGGTAAAATCTAGACAGAAGCATTCTCAGAAACTTCTTTGGGATGTTTGCATTCAAGTCACAGAGTAGAACATTCCCTTTGGTAGAGCAGGTTTGAAACACTCTTTTTGTAGTATCTGGAAGTGGACATTTGGAGCGCTTTCAGGCCTATGTTGGAAAGGGAAATATCTTCCCGTAACAACTAGGCAGAAGCATTCTCAGAAACTTATTTGAGATGTGTGTACTCAACTAAGAGAATTGAACCACCGTTTTGAAGGAGCAGTTTTGAAACACTCTGTTTCTGGAATCTGCAAGAGGATATTTGCCTAGCCTTGAGGATTTCGTTGGAAACGGGATTGTCTTCAGATCAAATCTAGACAGAAGCATTCTCAGAAACTTCTTTGGGATGTTTGCATTCAAGTCACAGAGTAGAACATTCCCTTTGGTAGAGCAGGTTTGAAACACTCTTTTTTTAGTATATGGAAGTGGACATTTGGAGCGCTTTCAGGCCTACGTTGGAAAAGGAAATATCTTCCCATAACAACTACACAGAAGCATTCTCAGAAACTAGTTTCTGATGTGTGTCCTCAACTAACACAGTTGAACTTTTCTTTAGACAGAACAGTTTTGAAACACTCTTTTTGTGGAATCTGCAAGTGGCTATTTGGCTAGATTTGAGGATTTCGTTGGAAACGGGATTACATATAAAAAGCAGACAGCAGCATTCTCAGAAAGTTCTTTGTGATGATTGCATTCAAGTCACAGAATTGAACATTCCCTTTCACAGAGCAGGTTTGAAACACTCTTTTTGTAGTGTGTGTAAGTGGACATTTGGAGCGCTTTCCGGCCTAAGGTGAAAAAGGAAATATCTTCCCATAAAAACTAGACAGAAGCATTCTCAGAAACTTACTCGTGAAGTGTTTCCTCAACTAAAGGAGTAGAACCTTTCTATTCATAGAGAAGTTTTGAAACGCTCTTTTTGTGGAATCTCCAAGTGGATATTTGGCTAGTTTTGAGGATTTCGTTGGAAGCGGGAATTCATCCAAATTGCACACTGCAGCGTTCTGAGGAACATCTTTGTGATGTTTGTATTCAGGACACAGAGATGAACATTCCCTATCATAGAGCAGGTTGGAATCACTCCTTTTGTAGTATCTGGAAGTGGACATTTGGAGCGCTTTCAGGCCTATGTTGAAAAAGGAAATATCTTCCCATAACAACTAGACACAAGCATTCTCAGAAACTTGTTTGTGATGTGTGCCCTCTACTGACAGAGTTGAACCTTTCTTTTCATAGAGCAGTTTTGAAACACTCTTTTTGTAGAATCCGCAAGAGGATATTTGCATAGCTTTGAGGATTTCGTGGGAAACGGGATTGTCTTCAGGTAAAATCTAGACAGAAGCATTCTCAGAAACTTCTTTGGGATGTTTGCATTCAAGTCACAGAGTAGAACATTCCCTTTGGTAGAGCAGGTTTGAAACACTCTTTTTGTAGTATCTGGAAGTGGACATTTGGAGCGCTTTCAGGCCTATGTTGGAAAGGGAAATATCTTCCCGTAACAACTAGGCAGAAGCATTCTCAGAAACTTATTTGAGATGTGTGTACTCAACTAAGAGAATTGAACCACCGTTTTGAAGGAGCAGTTTTGAAACACTCTTTTTCTGGAATCTGCAAGAGGATATTTGCCTAGCCTTGAGGATTTCGTTGGAAACGGGATTGTCTTCAGATCAAATCTAGACAGAAGCATTCTCAGAAACTTCTTTGGGATGTTTGCATTCAAGTCACAGAGTAGAACATTCCCTTTGGTAGAGCAGGTTTGAAACACTCTTTTTTTAGTATATGGAAGTGGACATTTGGAGCGCTTTCAGGCCTACGTTGGAAAAGGAAATATCTTCCCATAACAACTAGACAGAAGCATTCTCAGAAACTAGTTTCTGATGTGTGTCCTCAACTAACACAGTTGAACATTTCTTTAGACAGAACAGTTTTGAAACACTCTTTTTGTGGAATCTGCAAGTGGCTATTTGGCTAGATTTGAGGATTTCGTTGGAAACGGGATTACATATAAAAAGCAGACAGCAGCATTCTCAGAAAGTTCTTTGTGATGATTGCATTCAAGTCACAGAATTGAACATTCCCTTTCACAGGGCAGGTTTGAAACACTCTTTTTGTAGTGTGTGTAAGTGGACATTTGGAGCACTTTCCGGCCTAAGGTGAAAAAGGAAATATCTTCCCATAAAAACTAGACAGAAGCATTCTCAGAAACTTACTCGTGATGTGTGTCCTCAACTAAAGGAGTAGAACCTTTCTTTTCATAGAGAAGTTTTGAAACGCTCTTTTTGTGGAATCTGCAAGTGGATATTTGGCTAGTTTTGAGGATTTCGTTGGAAGCGGGAATTCATACAAATTGCAGACTGCAGCGTTCTGAGAAACATCTTTGTGATGTTTGTATTCAGGACACAGAGTTGAACATTCCCTATCATAGAGCAGGTTTGAATCACTCCTTTTGTAGTATCTGGAAGTGGACATTTGGAGCGCTTTCAGGCCTATGTTGGAAAAGGAAATATCTTCCCATAACAACTAGACAGAAGCATTCTCAGAAACTTATTTGAGATGTGTGTACTCAACTAAGAGAATTGAACCACCGTTTTGAAGGAGCAGTTTTGAAACACTCTTTTTCTGGAATCTGCAAGTGGATATTTGGCTAGCTTTGGGGATTTCGCTGGAAGCGGGAATACATATAAAAAGCACACAGCAGCGTTCTGAGAAACTGCTTTCTGATGTTTGCATTCAAGTCAAAAGTTGAACCCTCCCTTTCATAGTGCAGTCCTGAAACACTCCTTTTGTAGTATCTGGAACTGGACTTTTGGAGCGCTTTCAGGGCTAAGGTGAAAAAGGAAATATCTTCCCATAAAAACTGGACAGAAGCATTCTCAGAAACTTGTTTATGCTGTATCTACTCAACTAACAAAGTTGAACCTTTCTTTTGATAGAGCAGTTTTGAAATGCTCTTTTTGTGGAATCTGCAAGTGGATATTTGGCTAGTTTTGAGGATTTCGCTGGAAGCGGGAATTCATACAAATTGCAGACTGCAGCGTTCTGAGAAACATCTTTGTGATGTTTGTATTCAGGACAGAGAGTTGAACATTCCCTATCATAGAGCAGGTTGGAATCACTCCTTTTGTAGTATCTGGAAGTGGACATTTGGAGCGCTTTCAGGCCTATGTTGAAAAAGGAAATATCTTCCCATAACAACTAGACACAAGCATTCTCAGAAACTTGTTTGTGATGTGTGCCCTCTAGTGACAGAGTTGAACCTTTCTTTTCATAGAGCAGTTTTGAAACACTCTTTTTGTAGAATCTGCAAGAGGATATTTGAATAGCTTTGAGGATTTCGTGGGAAACGGGATTGTCTTCAGGTAAAATCTAGACAGAAGCATTCTCAGAAACTTCTTTGGGATGTTTGCATTCAAGTCACAGAGTAGAACATTCCCTTTGGTAGAGCAGGTTTGAAACACTCTTTTTGTAGTATCTGGAAGTGGACATTTGGAGCGCTTTCAGGCCTATGTTGGAAAGGGAAATATCTTCCCGTAACAACTAGGCAGAAGCATTCTCAGAAACTTATTTGAGATGTGTGTACTCAACTAAGAGAATTGAACCACCGTTTTGAAGGAGCAGTTTTGAAACACTCTTTTTCTGGAATCTGCAAGAGGATATTTGCCTAGCCTTGAGGATTTCGTTGGAAACGGGATTGTCTTCAGATCAAATCTAGACAGAAGCATTCTCAGAAACTTCTTTGGGATGTTTGCATTCAAGTCACAGAGTAGAACATTCCCTTTGGTAGAGCAGGTTTGAAACACTCTTTTTTTAGTATATGGAAGTGGACATTTGGAGCGCTTTCAGGCCTACGTTGGAAAAGGAAATATCTTCCCATAACAACTAGACAGAAGCATTCTCAGAAACTAGTTTCTGATCTGTGTCCTCAACTAACACAGTTGAACATTTCTTTAGACAGAACAGTTTTGAAACACTCTTTTTGTGGAATCTGCAAGTGGCTATTTGGCTAGATTTGAGGATTTCGTTGGAAACGGGATTACATATAAAAAGCAGACAGCAGCATTCTCAGAAAGTTCTTTGTGATGATTGCATTCAAGTCACAGAATTGAACATTCCCTTTCACAGAGCAGGTTTGAAACACTCTTTTTGTAGTGTGTGTAAGTGGACATTTGGAGCACTTTCCGGCCTAAGGTGAAAAAGGAAATATCTTCCCATAAAAACTAGACAGAAGCATTCTCAGAAGCTTACTCGTGATGTGTGTCCTCAACTAAAGGAGTAGAACCTTTCTTTTCATAGAGAAGTTTTGAAACGCTCTTTTTGTGGAATCTGCAAGTGGATATTTGGCTAGTTTGGAGGATTTCGTTGGAAGCGGGAATTCATACAAATTGCAGACTACAGCATTCTCAGAAACTTGTTTATGCTGTATCTATTCAACTAACAAAGTTGAACCTTTCTTTTGATAGAGCAGTTTTGAAATGCTCTTTTTGTGGAATCTGCAAGTGGATATTTCGCTAGTTTTGAGGATTTCGTTGGAAGCGGGAATTCATACAAATTGCAGACTGCAGCGTTCTGAGAAACATCTTTGTGATGTTTGTATTCAGGACACAGAGTTGAACATTCCCTATCATAGAGCAGGTTGGGATCACTCCTTTTGTAGTATCTGGAAGTGGACATTTGGAGCGCTTTCAGGCCTATGTTGAAAAAGGAAAAATCTTCCCATAACAACTAGACAGAAGCATTCTCAGAAACTTGTTGGTGATGTGTTTCCTCTACTGACAGAGTTGAACCTTTCTTTTCATAGAGCAGTTTCGAAACACTCTTTTTGTAGAATCTGCAAGAGGATATTTGCATAGCTCTGAGGATTTCGTGGGAAACGGGATTGTCTTCAGGTAAAATCTAGACAGAAGCATTCTCAGAAACTTCTTCGGGATGTTTGCATTCAAGTCACAGAGTAGAACATTCCCTTTGGTAGAGCAGGTTTGAAACACTCTTTTTGTCGTATCTGGAAGTGGACATTTGTTGCGCTTTCAGGCCTATGTTGGAAAGGGAAATATCTTCCCGTAACAACTAGGCAGAAGCATTCTCAGAAACTTATTTGAGATGTGTGTACTCAACTAAGAGAATTGAACCACCGTTTTGAAAGAGCAGTTTGGAAACACTCTTTTTCTGGAATCTGCAAGAGGATATTTGCCTAGCTTTGAGGATTTCGTTGGAAAAGGGATTGTCTTCAGATCAAATCTAGACAGAAGCATTCTCAGAAACTTCTTTGGGATGTTTGCATTCAAGTCACAGAGTAGAACATTCCTTTGGTAGAGCAGGTTTGAAACACTCTTTTTTTAGTATATGGAAGTGGACATTTGGAGCGCTTTCAGGCCTACGTTGGAAAAGGAAATATCTTCCCATAACAACTAGACAGAAGCATTCTCAGAAACTAGTTTCTGATGTGTGTCCTCAACTAACACAGTTGAACATTTCTTTAGACAGAACAGTTTTGAAACACTCTTTTTGTGGAATCTGCAAGTGGCTATTTGGCTAGATTTGAGGATTTCGTTGGAAACGGGATTACATATAAAAAGCAGACAGCAGCATTCTCAGAAACTTCTTTGTGATGATTGCATTCAAGTCACAGAATTGAACATTCCCTTTCACAGAGCAGGTTTGAAACACTCTTTTTGTAGTGTGTGTAAGTGGACATTTGGAGCGCTTTCCGGCCTAAGGTGAACAAGGAAATATCTTCCCATAAAAACTAGACAGAAGCATTCTCAGAAACTTACTCGTGATGTGTGTCCTCAACTAAAGGAGTAGAACCTTTCTTTTCATAGAGAAGTTTTGAAACGCTCTTTTTGTGGAATCTGCAAGTGGATATTTGGCTAGTTTGGAGGATTTCGTTGGAAGCGGGAATTCATACAAATTGCAGACTGCAGCGTTCTGAGAAACATCTTTGTGATGTTTGTATTCAGGACACAGAGTTGAACATTCCCTATCATAGAGCAGGTTGGAATCACTCCTTTTGTAGTATCTGGAAGTGGACATTTGGAGCGCTTTCAGGCCTATGTTGGAAAAGGAAATATCTTCCCATAACAACAACACAGAAGCATTCTCAGAAACTTATTTGAGATGTGTGTACTCAACTAAGAGAATTGAACCACCGTTTTGAAGGAGCAGTTTTGAAACACTCTTTTTCTGGAATCTGCAAGTGGATATTTGGCTAGCTTTGGGGATTTCGCTGGAAGCGGGAATACATATAAAAAGCACACAGCAGCGTTCTGAGAAACTGCTTTCTGATGTTTGCATTCAAGTCAAAAGTTGAACACTCCCTTTCATAGTGCAGTCCTGAAACACTCCTTTTGTAGTATCTGGAACTGGACTTTTGGAGCGCTTTCAGGGCTAAGGTGAAAAAGGAAATATCTTCCCATAAAAACTGGACAGAAGCATTCTCAGAAACTTGTTTATGCTGTATCTACTCAACTAACAAAGTTGAACCTTTCTTTTGATAGAGCAGTTTTGAAATGGTCTTTTTGTGGAATCTGCAAGTGGATATTTGGCTAGTTTTGAGGATTTCGTTGGAAGCGGGAATTCATACAAATTGCAGACTGCAGCGTTCTGAGAAACATCTTTGTGATGTTTGTATTCAGGACACAGAGTTGAACATTCCCTATCATAGAGCAGGTTGGAATCACTCCTTTTGTAGTATCTGGAAGTGGACATTTGGAGCGCTTTCAGGCCTATGTTGGAAAGGGAAATATCTTCCCATAACAACTAGACAGAAGCATTCTCAGAAACTTATTTGAGATGTGTGTACTCAACTAAGAGAATTGAACCACCGTTTTGAAGGAGCAGTTTTGAAACTCTCTTTTTCTGGAATCTGCAAGTGGATATTTGGCTAGCTTTGGGGATTTCGCTGGAAGCGGGAATACATATAAAAAGCACACAGCAGCGTTCTGAGAAACTGCTTTCTGATGTTTGCATTCAAGTCAAAAGTTGAACACTCCCTTTCATAGAGCAGTCTTGAAACACCCCTTTTGTAGTATCTGGAACTGGACTTTTGGAGCGATTTCAGGGCTAAGGTGAAAAAGGAAATATCTTCCCATAAAAACTGGACAGAAGCATTCTCAGAAACTTGGTTATGCTGTATCTACTCAACTAACAAAGTTGAACCTTTCTTTTGATAGAGCAGTTTTGAAATGGTCTTTTTGTGGAATCTGCAAGTGGATATTTGGCTAGTTTTGAGGATTTCGTTGGAAGCGGGAATTCATACAAATTGCAGACTGCAGCGTTCTGAGAAACATCTTTGTGATGTTTGTATTCAGGACACAGAGTTGAACATTCCCTATCATAGAGCAGGTTGGAATCACTCCTTTTGTAGTATCTGGAAGTGGACATTTGGAGCGCTTTCAGGCCTATTTTGGAAAGGGAAATATCTTCCCGTAACAACTATGCAGAAGCATTCTCAGAAACTTGTTTGTGATGTGTGCCCTCTACTGACAGAGTTGAACCTTTCTTTTCATAGAGCAGTTTTGAAACACTCTTTTTGTAGAATCTGCAAGAGGATATTTGCATAGCTTTGAGGATTTCGTGGGAAACGGGATTGTCTTCAGGTAAAATCTAGACAGAAGCATTCTCAGAAACTTCTTTGGGATGTTTGCATTCAAGTCACAGAGTAGAACATTCCCTTTGGTAGAGCAGGTTTGAAACACTCTTTTTGTAGTATCTGGAAGTGGACATTTGGAGCGCTTTCAGGCCCATGTTGGAAAGGGAAATATCTTCCCGTAACAACTAGGCAGAAGCATTCTCAGAAACTTATTTGAGATGTGTGTACTCAACTAAGAGAATTGAACCACCGTTTTGAAGGAGCAGTCTTGAAACACTCTTTTTCTGGAATCTGCAAGAGTATATTTGCCTAGCCTTGAGGATTTCGTTGGAAACGGGATTGTCTTCAGAGAAAATCTAGACAGAAGCATTCTCAGAAACTTCTTTGGGATGCTTGCATTCAAGTCACAGAGTAGAACATTCCCTTTGGTAGAGCAGGTTTGAAACACTCTTTTTTTAGTATCTGGAAGTGGACATTTGGAGCGCTTTCAGGCCTACGTTGGAAAAGGAAATATCTTCCCATAACAACTAGACAGAAGCATTCTCAGAAACTAGTTTCTGATGTGTGTCCTCAACTAACACAGTTGAACATTTCTTTAGACAGAACAGTTTTGAAACACTCTTTTTGTGGAATCTGCAAGTGGCTATTTGGCTAGATTTGAGGATTTCGTTGGAAACGGGATTACATATAAAAAGCAGTCAGCGGCATTCTCAGAAAGTTCTTTGTGATGATTGCATTCAAGTCACAGAATTGAACATTCCCTTTCACAGAGCAGGTTTGAAACACTCTTTTTGTAGTGTGTGTAAGTGGACATTTGGAGCACTTACCGGCCTAAGGTGAAAAAGGAAATATCTTCCCATAAAAACTAGACAGAAGCATTCTCAGAAACTTACTCGTGATGTGTGTCCTCAACTAAAGGAGTAGAACCTTTCTTTTCATAGAGAAGTTTTGAAACGCTCTTTTTGTGGAATCTGCAAGTGGATATTTGGCTAGTTTGGAGGATTTCGTTGGAAGCGGGAATTCATACAAATTGCAGACTGCAGCGTTCTGAGAAACATCTTTGTGATGTTTGTATTCAGGACACAGAGTTGAACATTCCCTATCATAGAGCAGGTTGGAATCACTCCTTTTGTAGTATCTGGAAGTGGACATTTGGAGCGCTTTCAGGCCTATGTTGGAAAAGGAAATATCTTCCCATAACAACTAGACAGAAGCATTCTCAGAAACTTATTTGAGATGTGTGTACTCAACTAAGAGAATTGAACCACCGTTTTGAAGGAGCAGTTTTGAAACACTCTTTTTCTGGAATCTGCAAGTGGATATTTGGCTAGCTTTGGGGATTTCGCTGGAAGCGGGAATACATATAAAAAGCACACAGCAGCGTTCTGAGAAACTGCTTTCTGATGTTTGCATTCAAGTCAAAAGTTGAACACTCCCTTTCATAGAGCAGTCCTGAAACACTCCTTTTGTAGTATCTGGAACTGGACTTTTGGAGCGCTTTCAGGGCTGAGGTGAAAAAGGAAATATCTTCCCATAAAAACTGGACAGAAGCATTCTCAGAAACTTGTTTATGCTGTATCTACTCTACTAACAAAGTTGAACCTTTCTTTTGATAGAGCAGTTTTGAAATGCTCTTTTTGTGGAATCTGCAAGTGGATATTTGGCTAGATTTGAGGATTTCGTTGGAAGCTGGAATTCATACAAATTGCAGACTGCAGCGTTCTGAGAAACATCTTTGTGATGTTTGTATTCAGGACACAGAGTTGAACATTCCCTATCATAGAGCAGGTTGGAATCACTCCTTTTGTAGTATCTGGAAGTGGACATTTGGAGCGCTTTCAGGCCTATGTTGAAAAAGGAAATATCTTCCCATAACAACTAGACACAAGCATTCTCAGAAACTTGTTTGTGATGTGTGCCATCTACTGACAGAGTTGAACCTTTCTTTTCATAGAGCAGTTTTGAAACACTCTTTTTGTAGAATCTGCAAGAGGATATTTGCATAGCTTTGAGGATTTCGTGGGAAACGGGATTGTCTTCAGGTAAAATCTAGACAGAAGCATTCTCAGAAACTTTTTTGGGATGTTTGCATTCAAGTCACAGAGTAGAACATTCCCTTTGGTAGAGCAGGTTTGAAACACTCTTTTTGTAGTATCTGGAAGTGGACATTTGGAGCACTATCAGGCCCATGTTGGAAAGGGAAATATCTTCCCGTAACAACTAGGCAGAAGCATTCTCAGAAACTTATTTGAGATGTGTGTACTCAACTAAGAGAATTGAACCACCGTTTTGAAGGAGCAGTTTTGAAACACTCTTTTTCTGGAATCTGCAAGAGGATATTTGCCTAGCTTTGAGGATTTCGTTGGAAACGGGATTGTCTTCAGATCAAATCTAGACAGAAGCATTCTCAGAAACTTCTTTGGGATGTTTGCATTCAAGTCACAGAGTAGAACATTCCCTTTGGTAGAGCAGGTTTGAAACACCCTTTTTTTAGTATATGGAAGTGGACATTTGGAGCGCTTTCAGGTCTACGTTGGAAAAGGAAATATCTTCCCATAACAACTAGACAGAAGCATTCTCAGAAACTAGTTTCTGATGTGTGTCCTCAACTAACACAGTTGAACATTTCTTTAGACAGAACAGTTTTGAAACACTCTTTTTGTGGAATCTGCAAGTGGCTATTTGGCTAGATTTGAGGATTTCGTTGGAAACGGGATTACATATAAAAAGCAGACAGCAGCATTCTCAGAACTTTCTTTGTGATGATTGCATTCAAGTCACAGAATTGAACATTCCCTTTCACAGAGCAGGTTTGAAACACTCTTTTTGTAGTGTGTGTAAGTGGACATTTGGAGCACTTTCCGGCCTAAGGTGAAAAAGGAAATATCTTCCCATAAAAACTAGACAGAAGCATTCTCAGAAACTTACTCGTGATGTGTGTCCTCAACTAAAGGAGTAGAACCTTTCTTTTCATAGAGAAGTTTTGAAACGCTCTTTTTGTGGAATCTGCAAGTGGATATTTGGCTAGTTTGGAGGATTTCGTTGGAAGCGGGAATTCATACAAATTGCAGACTGCAGCGTTCTGAGAAACATCTTTGTGATGTTTGTATTCAGGACACAGAGTTGAACATTCCCTATCATAGAGCAGGTTTGAATCACTCCTTTTGTAGTATCTGGAAGTGGACATTTGGAGCGCTTTCAGGCCTATGTTGGAAAAGGAAATATCTTCCCATAACAACTAGACAGAAGCATTCTCAGAAACTTATTTGAGATGTGTGTACTCAACTAAGAGAATTGAACCACCGTTTTGAAGGAGCAGTTTTGAAACACTCTTTTTCTGGAATCTGCAAGTGGATATTTGGCTAGCTTTGGGGATTTCGCTGGAAGCGGGAATACATATAAAAAGCACACAGCAGCGTTCTGAGAAACTGCTTTCTGATGTTTGCATTCAAGTCAAAAGTTGAACACTCCCTTTCATAGAGCAGTCTTGAAACACCCCTTTTGTAGTATCTGGAACTGGACTTTTGGAGCGATTTCAGGGCTAAGGTGAAAAAGGAAATATCTTCCCATAAAAACTGGACAGAAGCATTCTCAGAAACTTGTTTATGCTGTATCTACTCAACTAACAAAGTTGAACCTTTATTTTGATAGAGCAGTTTTGAAATGCTCTTTTTGTGGAATCTGCAAGTGGATATTTGGCTAGTTTTGAGGATTTCGTTGGAAGCGGGAATTCATACAAATTGCAGACTGCAGCGTTCTGAGAAACATCTTTGTGATGTTTGTATTCAGGACACAGAGTTGAACATTCCCTATCATAGAGCAGGTTTGAATCACTCCTTTTGTAGTATCTGGAAGTGGACATTTGGAGCGCTTTCCGGCCTCAGGTGAAAAAGGAAATATCTTCCCATAAAAACTAGACAGAAAGCATTCTCAGCAAACTTGTTTGTGATGTGTGCCCTCTACTGACAGAGTTGAACCTTTCTTTTCATAGAGCAGTTTTGAAACACTCTTTTTGTAGAATCTGCAAGAGGATATTTGCATAGCTTTGAGGATTTCGTGGGAAACGGGATTGTCTTCAGGTAAAATCTAGACAGAAGCATTCTCAGAAACTTCTTTTGGATGTTTGCATTCAAGTCACAGAGTAGAACATTCTCTTTGGTAGAGCAGGTTTGAAACACTCTTTTTGTAGTATCTGGAAGTGGACATTTGGAGCGCTTTCAAGCCCATGTTGGAAAGGGAAATATCTTCCCGTAACAACTAGGCAGAAGCATTCTCAGAAACATATTTGAGATGTGTGTACTCAACTAAGAGAATTGAACCACCGTTTTGAAGGAGCAGTTTTGAAACACTCTTTTTCTGGAATCTGCAAGAGTATATTTGCCTAGCCTTGAGGATTTCGTTGGAAACGGGATTGTCTTCAGATAAAATCTAGACAGAAGCATTCTCAGAAACTTCTTTGGGATGTTTGCATTCAAGTCACAGAGTAGAACATTCCCTTTGGTAGAGCAGGTTTGAAACAATCTTTTTTTAGTATATGGAAGTGGACATTTGGAGCGCTTTCAGGCCTACGTTGGAGAAGGAAATATCATCCCATAACAACTAGACCGAAGCATTCTCAGAAACTAGTTTCTGATGTGTGTCCTCAACTAACACAGTTGAACATTTCTTTAGACAGAACAGTTTTGAAACACTCTTTTTGTGGAATCTGCAAGTGGATATTTGGCTAGATTTGAGGATTTCGTTGGAAACGGGATTACATATAAAAAGCAGACAGCAGCATTCTCAGAAACTTCTTTGTGATGATTGCATTCAAGTCACAGAATTGAACATTCCCTTTCACAGAGCAGGTTTGAAACACTCTTTTTGTAGTGTGTGTAAGTGGACATTTGGAGCGCTTTCCGGCCTAAGGTGAACAAGGAAATATCTTCCCATAAAAACTAGACAGAAGCATTCTCAGAAACTTACTCGTGATGTGTGTCCTCAACTAAAGGAGTAGAACCTTTCTTTTCATAGAGAAGTTTTGAAACGCTCTTTTTGTGGACTCTGCAAGTGGATATTTGGCTAGTTTGGAGGATTTCGTTGGAAGCGGGAATTCATACAAATTGCAGACTGCAGCGTTCTGAGAAACATCTTTGTGATGTTTGTATTCAGGACACAGAGTTGAACATTCCCTATCATAGAGCAGGTTGGAATCACTCCTTTTGTAGTATCTGGAAGTGGACATTTGGAGCGCTTTCAGGCCTATGTTGAAAAAGGAAATATCTTCCCATAACAACTAGACAGAAGCATTCTCAGAAACTTGTTTGTGATGTGTGCCCTCTACTGACACAGTTGAACCTTTCTTTTCATAGAGCACTTTCGAAACACTCTTTTTGTAGAATCTGCAAGAGGATATTTGCATAGGTTTGAGGATTTCGTGGGAAACGGGATTGTCTTCAGGTAAAATCTAGACAGAAGCATTCTCAGAAACTTCTTTGGGATGTTTGCATTCAAGTCACAGAGTAGAACATTCCCTTTGGTAGAGCAGGTTTGAAACACTCTTTTTGTAGTATCTGGAAGTGGACATTTGGAGCGCTTTCAGGCCCATGTTGGAAAGGGAAATATCTTCCCGTAACAACTAGGCAGAAGCATTCTCAGAAACTTATTTGAGATGTGTGTACTCAACTAAGAGAATTGAACCACCGTTTTGAAGGAGCAGTTTTGAAACACTCTTTTTCTGGAATCTGCAAGAGTATATTTGCCTAGCCTTGAGGATTTCGTTGGAAACGGGATTGTCTTCAGAGAAAATCTAGACAGAAGCATTCTCAGAAACTTCTTTGGGATGTTTGCATTCAAGTCACAGAGTAGAACATTCCCTTTGGTAGAGCAGGTTTGAAACACTCTTTTTTTAGTATATGGAAGTGGACATTTGGAGCGCTTTCAGGCCTACGTTGGAAAAGGAAATATCTTCCCATAACAACTAGACAGAAGCATTCTCAGAAACTAGTTTCTGATGTGTGTCCTCAACTAACACAGTTGAACATTTCTTTAGACAGAACAGTTTTGAAACACTCTTTTTGTGGAATCTGCAAGTGGCTATTTGGCTAGATTTGAGGATTTCGTTGGAAACGGGATTACATATAAAAAGCAGTCAGCAGCATTCTCAGAAAGTTCTTTGTGATGATTGCATTCAAGTCACAGAATTGAACATTCCCTTTCACAGAGCAGGTTTGAAACACTCTTTTTGTAGTGTGTGTAAGTGGACATTTGGAGCACTTACCGGCCTAAGGTGAAAAAGGAAATATCTTCCCATAAAAACTAGACAGAAGCATTCTCAGAAACTTACTCGTGATGTGTGTCCTCAACTAAAGGAGTAGAACCTTTCTTTTCATAGAGAAGTTTTGAAACGCTCTTTTTGTGGAATCTGCAAGTGGATATTTGGCTAGTTTTGAGGATTTCGTTGGAAGCGGGAATTCATACAAATTGCAGACTGCAGCGTTCTGAGAAACATCTTTGTGATGTTTGTATTCAGGACACAGAGTTGAACATTCCCTATCATAGAGCAGGTTGGAATCACTCCTTTTGTAGTATCTGGAAGTGGACATTTGGAGCGCTTTCAGGCCTATGTTGGAAAAGGAAATATCTTCCCATAACAACTAGACAGAAGCATTCTCAGAAACTTATTTGAGATGTGTGTACTCAACTAAGAGAATTGAACCACCGTTTTGAAGGAGCAGTTTTGAAACACTCTTTTTCTGGAATCTGCAAGTGGATATTTGGCTAGCTTTGGGGATTTCGCTGGAAGCGGGAATACATATAAAAAGCACACAGCAGCGTTCTGAGAAACTGCTTTCTGATGTTTGCATTCAAGTCAAAAGTTGAACACTCCCTTTCATAGAGCAGTCCTGAAACACTCCTTTTGTAGTATCTGGAACTGGACTTTTGGAGCGCTTTCAGGGCTAAGGTGAAAAAGGAAATATCTTCCCATAAAAACTGGACAGAAGCATTCTCAGAAACTTGTTTATGCTGTATCTACTCAACTAACAAAGTTGAACCTTTCTTTTGATAGAGCAGTTTTGAAATGCTCTTTTTGTGGAATCTGCAAGTGGATATTTGGCTAGTTTTGAGGATTTCGTTGGAAGCGGGAATTCATACAAATTGCAGACTGCAGCGTTCTGAGAAACATCTTTGTGATGTTTGTATTCAAGACACAGAGATGAACATTCCCTACCATAGAGCATGTTGGAATCACTCCTTTTGTAGTATCTGGAAGTGGACATTTGGAGCGCTTTCAGGCCTATGTTGAAAAAGGAAATATCTTCCCATAACAACTAGACACAAGCATTCTTAGAAACTTGTTTGTGATGTGTGCCCTCTACTGACAGAGTTGAACCTTTCTTTTCATAGAGCAGTTTTGAAACACTCTTTTTGTAGAATCCGCAAGAGGATATTTGCATAACTTTGAGGATTTCGTGGGAAACGGGATTGTCTTCAGGTAAAATCTAGACAGAAGCATTCTCAGAAACTTCTTTGGGATGTTTGCATTCAAGTCACAGAGTAGAACATTCCCTTTGGTAGAGCAGGTTTGAAACACTCTTTTTGTAGTATCTGGAAGTGGACATTTGGAGCGCTTTCAGGCCCATGTTGGAAAGGGAAATATCTTCCCGTAACAACTAGGCAGAATCATTCTCAGAAACTTATTTGAGATGTGTGTACTCAACGAAGAGAATTGAACCACCGTTTTGAAGGAGCAGTTTTGAAACCCTCTTTTTCTGGAATCTGCAAGAGTATATTTGCCTAGCCTTGAGGATTTCGTTGGAAACGGGATTGTCTTCAGATAAAATCTAGACAAAAGCATTCTCAGAAACTTCTTTGGGATGTTTGCATTCAAGTCACAGAGTAGAACATTCCCTTTGGTAGAGCAGGTTTGAAACACTCTTTTTTTAGTATATGGAAGTGGACATTTGGAGCGCTTTCAGGCCTACGTTGGAAAAGGAAATATCTTCCCATAACAACTAGACAGAAGCATTCTCAGAAACTAGTTTCTGATGTGTGTCCTCAAGTAACACAGTGGAACATTTCTTTAGACAGAACAGTTTTGAAACACTCTTTTTGTGGAATCTGCAAGTGGCTATTTGGCTAGATTTTAGGATTTCTTTGGAAACGGGATTACATATAAAAAGCTGACAGCAGCATTCTCAGAAAGTTCTTTGTGATGATTGCATTCAAGTCACAGAATTGAACATTCCCTTTCACAGAGCAGGTTTGAAACACTCTTTTTGTAGTGTGTGTAAGTGGACATTTGGAGCACTTTCCAGCCTAAGGTGAAAAAGGAAATATCTTCCCATAAAAAATAGACAGAAGCATTCTCAGAAACTTACTCGTGATGTGTGTCCTCAACTAAAGGAGTAGAACCTTTCTTTTCATAGAGAAGTTTTGAAACGCTCTTTTTGTGGAATCTGCAAGTGGATATTTGGCTAGTTTGGAGGATTTCGTTGGAAGCGGGAATTCATACAAATTGCAGACTGCAGCGTTCTGAGAAACATCTTTGTGATGTTTGTATTCAGGACACAGAGTTGAACATTCCCTATCATAGAGCAGGTTGGAATCACTCCTTTTGTAGTATCTGGAAGTGGACATTTGGAGCGCTTTCAGGCCTATGTTGGAAAAGGAAATATCTTCCCATAACAACTAGACAGAAGCATTCTCAGAAACTTATTTGAGATGTGTGTACTCAACTAAGAGAATTGAACCACCGTTTTGAAGGAGCAGTTTTGAAACACTCTTTTTCTGGAATCTGCAAGTGGATATTTGGCTAGCTTTGGGGATTTCGCTGGAGGCGGGAATACATATAAAAAGCACACAGCAGCGTTCTGAGAAACTGCTTTCTGATGTTTGCATTCAAGTCAAAAGTTGAACACTCCCTTTCATAGAGCAGTCCTGAAACACTCCTTTTGTAGTATCTGGAACTGGACTTTTGGAGCGCTTTCAGGGCTAAGGTGAAAAAGGAAATATCTTCCCATAAAAACTGGACAGAAGCATTCTCAGAAACTTTTTTATGCTGTATCTACTCAACTAACAAAGTTGAACCTTTCTTTTGATAGAGCAGTTTTGAAATGCTCTTTTTGTGGAATCTGCAAGTGGATATTTGGCTAGTTTTGAGGATTTCGTTGGAAGCGGGAATTCATACAAATTGCAGACTGCAGCGTTCTGAGAAACATCTTTGTGATGTTTGTATTCAGGACACAGAGTTGAACATTCCCTATCATAGAGCAGGTTGGAATCACTCCTTTTGTAGTATCTGGAAGTGGACATTTGGAGCGCTTTCAGGCCTATTTTGGAAAGGGAAATATCTTCCCGTAACAACTATGCAGAAGCATTCTCAGAAACTTGTTTGTGATGTGTGCCCTCTACTGACAGAGTTGAACCTTTCTTTTCATAGAGCAGTTTTGAAACACTCTTTTTGTAGAATCTGCAAGAGGATATTTGCATAGCTTTGAGGATTTCGTGGGAAACGGGATTGTCTTCAGGTAAAATCTAGACAGAAGCATTCTCAGAAACTTCTTTGGGATGTTTGCATTCAAGTCACAGAGTAGAACATTCCCTTTGGTAGAGCAGGTTTGAAACACTCTTTTTGTAGTATCTGGAAGTGGACATTTGGAGCGCTTTCAGGCCCATGTTGGAAAGGGAAATATCTTCCCGTAACAACTAGGCAGAAGCATTCTCAGAAACTTATTTGAGATGTGTGTACTCAACTAAGAGAATTGAACCACCGTTTTGAAGGAGCAGTTTTGAAACCCTCTTTTTCTGGAATCTGCAAGAGCATATTTGCCTAGCCTTGAGGATTTCGTTGGAAACGGGATTGTCTTCAGATAAAATCTAGACAGAAGCATTCTCAGAAACTTCTTTGGGATGTTTGCATTCAAGTCACAGAGTAGAACATTCCCTTTGGTAGAGCAGGTTTGAAACACTCTTTTTGTAGTATCTGGAAGTGGACATTTGGAGCGCTTTCAGGCCTACGTTGGAAAAGGAAATATCTTCCCATAACAACTAGACAGAAGCATTCTCAGAAACTAGTTTCTGATGTGTGTCCTCAACTAACACAGTTGAACATTTCTTTAGACAGAACAGTTTTGAAACACTCTTTTTGTGGAATCTGCAAGTGGCTATTTGGCTAGATTTGAGGATTTCGTTGGAAACGGGATTACATATAAAAAGCAGTCAGCAGCATTCTCAGAAAGTTCTTTGTGATGATTGCATTCAAGTCACAGAATTGAACATTCCCTTTCACAGAGCAGGTTTGAAACACTCTTTTTGTAGTGTGTGTAAGTGGACATTTGGAGCACTTACCGGCCTAAGGTGAAAAAGGAAATATCTTCCCATAAAAACTAGACAGAAGCATTCTCAGAAACTTACTCGTGATGTGTGTCCTCAACTAAAGGAGTAGAACCTTTCTTTTCATAGAGAAGTTTTGAAACGCTCTTTTTGTGGAATCTGCAAGTGGATATTTGGCTAGTTTTGAGGATTTCGTTGGAAGCGGGAATTCATACAAATTGCAGACTGCAGCGTTCTGAGAAACATCTTTGTGATGTTTGTATTCAGGACACAGAGTTGAACGTTCCCTATCATAGAGCAGGTTTGAATCACTCCTTTTGTAGTATCTGGAAGTGGACATTTGGAGCGCTTTCCGGCCTCAGGTGAAAAAGGAAATATCTTCCCATAAAAACTAGACAGAAGCATTCTCAGAAACTTATTTGAGATGTGTGTACTCAACTAAGAGAATTGAACCACCGTTTTGAAGGAGCAGTTTTGAAACACTCTTTTTCTGGAATCTGCAAGTGGATATTTGGCTAGCTTTGGGGATTTCGCTGGAAGCGGGAATACATATAAAAAGCACACAGCAGCGTTCTGAGAAACTGCTTTCTGATGTTTGCATTCAAGTCAAAAGTTGAACACTCCCTTTCACAGAGCAGTCCTGAAACACTCCTTTTGTAGTATCTGGAACTGGACTTTTGGAGCGCTTTCAGGGCAAAGGTGAAAAAGGAAATATCTTCCCATAAAAACTGGACAGAAGCATTCTCAGAAACTTGTTTATGCTGTATCTACTCAACTAACAAAGTTGAACCTTTCTTTTGATAGAGCAGTTTTGAAATGCTCTTTTTGTGGAATCTGCAAGTGGATATTTGGCTAGTTTTGAGGATTTCGTTGGAAGCTGGAATTCATACAAATTGCAGACTGCAGCGTTCTGAGAAACATCTTTGTGATGTTTGTATTCAGGACACAGAGTTGAACATTCCCTATCATAGAGCAGGTTGGAATCACTCCTTTTGTAGTATCTGGAAGTGGACATTTGGAGCGCTTTCAGGCCTATGTTGAAAAAGGAAATATCTTCCCATAACAACTAGACACAAGCATTCTCAGAAACTTGTTTGTGATGTGTGCCCTCTACTGACAGAGTTGAACCTTTCTTTTCATAGAGCAGTTTTCAAACACTCTTTTTGTAGAATCTGCAAGAGGATATTTGCATAGCTTTGAGGATTTCGTGGGAAACGGGATTGTCTTCAGGTAAAATCTAGACAGAAGCATTCTCAGCAAACTTCTTTGGGATGTTTGCATTCAAGTCACAGAGTAGAACATTCCCTTTGGTAGAGCAGGTTTGAAACCCTCTTTTTGTAGTATCTGGAAGTGGACATTTGGAGCGCTTTCAGGCCCATGTTGGAAAGGGAAATATCTTCCCGTAACAACTAGGCAGAAGCATTCTCAGAAACTTATTTGAGATGTGTGTACTCAACTAAGAGAATTGAACCACCGTTTTGAAGGAGCAGTTTTGAAACACTCTTTTTCTGGAATCTGCAAGAGTATATTTGCCTAGCCTTGAGGATTTCGTTGGAAACCGGATTGTCTTCAGATAAAATCTAGACAAATGCATTCTCAGAAACTTCTTTGGGATGTTTGCATTCAAGTCACAGAGTAGAACATTCCCTTTGGTAGAGCAGGTTTGAAACACTCTTTTTTTCGTATATGGAAGTGGACATTTGGAGCGCTTTCAGGCCTACGTTGGAAAAGGAAATATCTTCCCATAAGAACTAGACAGAAGCATTCTCAGAAACTAGTTTCTGATGTGTGTCCTCAACTAACACAGTTGTACATTTCTTTAGACAGAACAGTTTTGATACACTCGTTTTGTGGAACCTTCAGGTGGATATTTTGGCTACATTTGAGGATTTCGTTGGAAACGGGATTACATATAAAAAGCAGTCAGCAGCATTCTCAGAAAGTTCTTTGTGATGATTGCATTCAAGTCACAGAATTGAACATTCCCTTTCACAGAGCAGGTTTGAAACACTCTTTTTGTAGTGTGTGTAAGTGGACATTTGGAGCGCTTTCTGGCCTAAGGTGAAAAAGGAAATATCTTCCCATAAAAACTAGACAGAAGCATTCTCAGAAACTTACTCGTGATGTGTGTCCTCAACTAAAGGAGTAGAACCTTTCTTTTCATAGAGAAGTTTTGAAACGCTCTTTTTGTGGAATCTGCAAGTGGATATTTGCCTAGTTTTGAGGATTTCGTTGGAAGCGGGAATTCATACAAATTGCAGACTGCAGCGTTCTGAGAAACATATTTGTGATGTTTGTATTCAGGACACAGAGATGAACATTCCCTATCATAGAGCAGGTTGGAATTACTCCTTTTGTAGTATCTGGAAGTGGACATTTGGAGCGCTTTCAGGCCTATGTTGAAAAAGGAAATATCTTCCCATAACAACTAGACACAAGCATTCTCAGAAACTTGTTTGTGATGTGTGCCCTCTACTGACAGAGTTGAACCTTTCTTTTCATAGAGCAGTTTTGAAACACTCTTTTTGTAGAATCTGCAAAAGGATATTTGCATAGCTTTGAGGATTTCGTGGGAAACGGGATTGTCTTCAGGTAAAATCTAGACAGAAGCATTCTCAGAAACTTCTCTGAGATGTTTGCATTCAAGTCACACAGTAGAACATTCCCTTTGGTAGAGCAGGTTTGAAACACTCTTTTTGTAGTATCTGGAAGTGGACATTTGGAGCGCTTTCAGGCCCATGTTGGAAAGGGAAATATCTTCCCGTAACAACTAGGCAGAAGCATTCTCAGAAACATATTTGAGATGTGTGTACTCAACTAAGAGAATTGAACCACCGTTTCGAAGGAGCAGTTTTGAAACACCCTTTTTCTGGAATCTGCAAGAGTATATTTGCCTAGCCTTGAGGATTTCGTTGGAAACGGGATTGTCTTCAGATCAAATCTAGACAGAAGCATTCTCAGAAACTTCTTTGGGATGTTTGCATTCAAGTCACAGAGTAGAACATTCCCTTTGGTAGAGCAGGTTTGAAACACTCTTTTTTTAGTATATGGAAGTGGACATTTGGAGCGCTTTCAGGCCTACGTTGGAAAAGGAAATATCTTCCCATAACAACTAGACAGAAGCATTCTCAGAAACTAGTTTCTGATGTGTGTCCTCAACTAACACAGTTGAACATTTCTTTAGACAGAACAGTTTTGAAACTCTCTTTTTGTGGAATCTGCAAGTGGCTATTTGGCTAGATTTGAGGATTTCGTTGGAAACGGGATTACATATAAAAAGCAGACAGCAGCATTCTCAGAAAGTTCTTTGTGATGATTGCATTCAAGTCACAGAATTGAACATTCCCTTTCACAGAGCAGGTTTGAAACACTCTTTTTATAGTGTGTGTAAGTGGACATTTGGAGCACTTTCCGGCCTAAGGTGAAAAAGGAAATATCTTCCCATAAAAACTAGACAGAAGCATTCTCAGAAACTTACTCGTGATGTGTGTCCTCAACTAAAGGAGTAGAACCTTTGTTTTCATAGAGAAGTTTTGAAACGCTCTTTTTGTGGAATCTGCAAGTGGATATTTGGCTAGTTTGCAGGATTTCGTTGGAAGCGGGAATTCATACAAATTGCAGACTGCAGCGTTCTGAGAAACATCTTTGTGATGTTTGTATTCAGGACACAGAGTTGAACATTCCCTATCATAGAGCAGGTTTGAATCACTCCTTTTGTAGTATCTGGAAGTGGACATTTGGAGCGCTTTCAGGCCTATGTTGGAAAAGGAAATATCTTCCCATAACAACTAGACAGAAGCATTCTCAGAAACTTATTTGAGATGTGTGTACTCAACTAAGAGAATTGAACCACCGTTTTGAAGGAGCAGTTTTGAAACACTCTTTTTCTGGAATCTGCAAGTGGATATTTGGCTAGCTTTGGGGATTTCGCTGGAAGCGGGAATACATATAAAAAGCACACAGCAGCGTTCTGAGAAACTGCTTTCTGATGTTTGCATTCAAGTCAAAAGTTGAACACTCCCTTTCATAGAGCAGTCCTGAAACACCCCTTTTGTAGTATCTGGAACTGGACTTTTGGAGAGCTTTCAGGGCTAAGGTGAAAAAGGAAATATCTTCCCATAAAAACTGGACAGAAGCATTCTCAGAAACTTGTTTATGCTGTATCTACTCAACTAACAAAGTTGAACCTTTCTTTTGATAGAGCAGTTTTGAAATGCTCTTTTTGTGGAATCTGCAAGTGGATATTTGGCTAGTTTTGAGGATTTCGTTGGAAGCGGGAATTCATACAAATTGCAGACTGCAGCGTTCTGAGAAACATCTTTGTGATGTTTGTATTCAGGACAGAGAGTTGAACATTCCCTATCATAGAGCAGGTTGGAATCACTCCTTTTGTAGTATCTGGAAGTGGATATTTGGAGCGCTTTCAGGCCTATGTTGAAAAAGGAAATATCTTCCCATAACAACTAGACACAAGCATTCTCAGAAACTTATTTGAGATGTGTGTACTCAACTAAGAGAATTGAACCACCGTTTTGAAGGAGCAGTTTTGAAACACTCTTTTTCTGGAATCTGCAAGTGGATATTTGGCTAGCTTTGGGGATTTCGCTGGAGGCGGGAATACATATAAAAAGCACACAGCAGCGTTCTGAGAAACTGCTTTCTGATGTTTGCATTCAAGTCAAAAGTTGAACACTCCCTTTCATAGAGCAGTCCTGAAACACCCCTTTTGTAGTATCTGGAACTGGACTTTTGGAGCGATTTCAGGGCTAAGGTGAAAAAGGAAATATCTTCCCATAAAAACTGGACAGAAGCATTCTCAGAAACTTGTTTATGCTGTATCTACTCAACTAACAAAGTTGAACCTTTCTTTTGATAGAGCAGTTTTGAAATGGTCTTTTTGTGGAATCTGCAAGTGGATATTTGGCTAGTTTTGAGGATTTCGTTGGAAGCGGGAATTCATACAAATTGCAGACTGCAGCGTTCTGAGAAACATCTTTGTGATGTTTGTATTCAGGACACAGAGTTGAACATTCCCTATCATAGAGCAGGTTGGAATCACTCCTTTTGTAGTATCTGGAAGTGGACATTTGGAGCGCTTTCAGGCCTATTTTGGAAAGGGAAATATCTTCCCGTAACAACTATGCAGAAGCATTCTCAGAAACTTGTTTGTGATGTGTGCCCTCTACTGACAGAGTTGAACCTTTCTTTTCATAGAGCAGTTTTGAAACACTCTTTTTGTAGAATCTGCAAGAGGATATTTGCATAGCTTTGAGGATTTCGTGGGAAACGGGATTGTCTTCAGGTAAAATCTAGACAGAAGCATTCTCAGAAACTTCTTTGGGATGTTTGCATTCAAGTCACAGAGTAGAACATTCCCTTTGGTAGAGCAGGTTTGAAACACTCTTTTTGTAGTATCTGGAAGTGGACATTTGGAGCGCTTTCAGGCCCATGTTGGAAAGGGAAATATCTTCCCGTAACAACTAGGCAGAAGCATTCTCAGAAACTTATTTGAGATGTGTGGACTCAACTAAGAGAATTGAACCACCGTTTTGAAGGAGCAGTTTTGAAACACTCTTTTTCTGGAATCTGCAAGAGTATATTTGCCTAGCCTTGAGGATTTCGTTGGAAACGGGATTGTCTTCAGATAAAATCTAGACAGAAGCATTCTCAGAAACTTCTTTGGGATGTTTGCATTCAAGTCACAGAGTAGAACATTCCCTTTGGTAGAGCAGGTATGAAACACTCTTTTTTTAGTATATGGAAGTGGACATTTGGAGCGCTTTCAGGCCTACGTTGGAAAAGGAAATATCTTCCCATAACAACTAGACAGAAGCATTCTCAGAAACTAGTTTCTGATGTGTGTCCTCAACTAACACAGTTGAACTTTTCTTTAGACAGAACAGTTTTGAAACACTCTTTTTGTGGAATCTGCAAGTGGATATTGGGCTAGATTTGAGGATTTCGTTGGAAACGGGATTACATATAAAAAGCAGACAGCAGCATTCTCAGAAAGTTCTTTGTGATGATTGCATTCAAGTCACAGAATTGAACATTCCCTTTCACAGAGCAGGTTTGAAACACTCTTTTTGTAGTGTGTGTAAGTGGACATTTGGAGCGCTTTCCGGCCTAAGGTGAAAAAAGAAATATCTTCCCATAAAAACTAGACAGAAGCATCCTCAGAAACTTACTCGTGATGTGTTTCCTCAACTAAAGGAGTAGAACCTTTCTATTCATAGAGAAGTTTTGAAACGCTCTTTTTGTGGAATCTCCAAGTGGATATTTGGATAGTTTTGAGGATTTCGTTGGAAGCGGGAATTCATACAAATTGCAGACTGCAGCGTTCTGAGAAACTGCTTTCTGATGTTTGCATTCAAGTCAAAAGTTGAACACTCCCTTTCATAGAGCAGTCCTGAAACACTCCTTTTGTAGTATCTGGAACTGGACTTTTGGAGCGCTTTCAGGGCTAAGGTGAAAAAGGAAATATCTTCCCATAAAAACTGGACAGAAGCATTCTCAGAAACTTGTTTATGCTGTATCTACTCAACTAACAAATTTGAACCTTTCTTTTGATAGAGCAGTTTTGAAATGCTCTTTTTGTGGAATCTGCAAGTGGATATTTGGCTAGTTTTGAGGATTTCGTTGGAAGCGGGAATTCATACAAATTGCAGACTGCAGCGTTCTGAGAAACATCTTTGTGGTGTTTGTATTCAGGACAGAGAGTTGAACATTCCCTATCATAGAGCAGGTTGGAATCACTCCTTTTGTAGTATCTGGAAGTGGACATTTGGAGCGCTTTCAGGCCTATGTTGAAAAAGGAAATATCTTCCCATAACAACTAGACACAAGCATTCTCAGAAACTTGTTTGTGATGTGTGCCCTCTACTGACAGAGTTGAACCTCTCTTTTCATAGAGCAGTTTTGAAACACTCTTTTTGTAGAATCTGCAAGAGGATATTTGCATAGCTTTGAGGATTTCGTGGGAAACGGGATTGTCTTCAGGTAAAATCTAGACAGAAGCATTCTCAGAAACTTCTTTGGGATGTTTGCATTCAAGTCACAGAGTAGAACATTCCCTTTGGTAGAGCAGGTTTGAAACACTCTTTTTGTAGTATCTGGAAGTGGACATTTGGAGCGCTTTCAGGCCTATGTTGGAAAGGGAAATATCTTCCCGTAACAACTAGGCAGAAGCATTCTCAGAAACTTATTTGAGATGTGTGTACTCAACTAAGAGAATTGAACCACCGTTTTGAAGGAGCAGTTTTGAAACACTCTTTTTCTGGAATCTGCAAGAGTATATTTGCCTAGCCTTGAGGATTTCGTTGGAAACGGGATTGTCTTCAGAGAAAATCTAGACAGAAACATTCTCAGAAACTTCTTTGGGATGCTTGCATTCCAGTCACAGAGTAGAACATTCCCTTTGGTAGAGCAGGTTTGAAACACTCTTTTTGTAGTATCTGGAAGTGGACATTTGGAGCGCTTTCAGGCCTACGTTGGAAAAGGAAATATCTTCCCATAACAACTAGACAGAAGCATTCTCAGAAACTAGTTTCTGATGTGTGTCCTCAACTAACACAGTTGAACATTTCTTTAGACAGAACAGTTTTGAAACACTCTTTTTGTGGAATCTGCAAGTGGCTATTTGGCTAGATTTGAGGATTTCGTTGGAAACGGGATTACATATAAAAAGCAGTCAGCGGCATTCTCAGAAAGTTCTTTGTGATGATTGCATTCAAGTCACAGAATTGAACATTCCCTTTCACAGAGCAGGTTTGAAACACTCTTTTTGTAGTGTGTGTAAGTGGACATTTGGAGCACTTACCGGCCTAAGGTGAAAAAGGAAATAATCTTCCCATAAAAACTAGACAGAAGCATTCTCAGAAACTTACTCGTGATGTGTGTCCTCAACTAAAGGAGTAGAACCTTTCTTTTCATAGAGAAGTTTTGAAACGCTCTTTTTGTGGAATCTGCAAGTGGATATTTGGCTAGTTTTGAGGATTTCGTTGGAAGCGGGAATTCATACAAATTGCAGACTGCAGCGTTCTGAGAAACATCTTTGTGATGTTTGTATTCAGGACACAGAGTTGAACATTCCCTATCATAGAGCAGGTTTGAATCACTCCTTTTGTAGTATCTGGAAGTGGACATTTGGAGCGCTTTCAGGCCTATGTTGGAAAAGGAAATATCTTCCCATAACAACTAGACAGAAGCATTCTCAGAAACTTATTTGAGATGTGTGTACTCAACTAAGAGAATTGAACCACCGTTTTGAAGGAGCAGTTTTGAAACTCTCTTTTTCTGGAATCTGCAAGTGGATATTTGGCTAGCTTTGGGGATTTCGCTGGAAGCGGGAATACATATAAAAAGCACACAGCAGCGTTCTGAGAAACTGCTTTCTGATGTTTGCATTCAAGTCAAAAGTTGAACACTCCCTTTCATAGAGCAGTCTTGAAACACCCCTTTTGTAGTATCTGGAACTGGACTTTTGGAGCGATTTCAGGGCTAAGGTGAAAAAGGAAATATCTTCCCATAAAAACTGGACAGAAGCATTCTCAGAAACTTGTTTATGCTGTATCTACTCAACTAACAAAGTTGAACCTTTCTTTTGATAGAGCAGTTTTGAAATGGTCTTTTTGTGGAATCTGCAAGTGGATATTTGGCTAGTTTTGAGGATTTCGTTGGAAGCGGGAATTCATACAAATTGCAGACTGCAGCGTTCTGAGAAACATCTTTGTGATGTTTGTATTCAGGACACAGAGTTGAACATTCCCTATCATAGAGCAGGTTGGAATCACTCCTTTTGTAGTATCTGGAAGTGGACATTTGGAGCGCTTTCAGGCCTATTTTGGAAAGGGAAATATCTTCCCGTAACAACTATGCAGAAGCATTCTCAGAAACTTGTTTGTGATGTGTGCCCTCTACTGACAGAGTTGAACCTTTCTTTTCATAGAGCAGTTTTGAAACACTCTTTTTGTAGAATCTGCAAGAGGATATTTGCATAGCTTTGAGGATTTCGTGGGAAACGGGATTGTCTTCAGGTAAAATCTAGACAGAAGCATTCTCAGAAACTTCTTTGGGATGTTTGCATTCAAGTCACAGAGTAGAACATTCCCTTTGGTAGAGCAGGTTTGAAACACTCTTTTTGTAGTATCTGGAAGTGGACATTTGGAGCGCTTTCAGGCCCATGTTGGAAAAGGAAATATCTTCCCGTAACAACTAGGCAGAAGCATTCTCAGAAACTTATTTGAGATGTGTGTACTCAACTAAGAGAATTGAACCACCGTTTTGAAGGAGCAGTTTTGAAACACTCTTTTTCTGGAATCTGCAAGAGTATATTTGCCTAGCCTTGAGGATTTCGTTGGAAACGGGATTGTCTTCAGAGAAAAATCTAGACAGAAGCATTCTCAGAAACTTCTTTGGGATGCTTGCATTCAAGTCACAGAGTAGAACATTCCCTTTGGTAGAGCAGGTTTGAAACACTCTTTTTGTAGTATCTGGAAGTGGACATTTGGAGCAGCTTTCAGGCCTACGTTGGAAAAGGAAATATCTTCCCATAACAACTAGACAGAAGCATTCTCAGAAACTAGTTTCTGATGTGTGTCCTCAACTAACACAGTTGAACATTTCTTTAGACAGAACAGTTTTGAAACACTCTTTTTGTGGTATCTGCAAGTGGCTATTTGGCTAGATTTGAGGATTTCGTTGGAAACGGGATTCCATATAAAAAGCAGACAGCAGCATTCTCAGAAACTTCTTTGTGATGATTGCATTCAAGTCACAGTATTGAACATTCCCTTTCACAGAGCAGGTTTGAAACACTTTGTATAGTGTGTGTAAGTGGACATTTGGAGCACTTTCCGGCCTAAGGTGAAAAAGGAAATATCTCTCCATAAAAACTAGACAGAAGCATTCTCAGGAACTTACTCGTGATGTGTGTCCTCAACTAAAGAAGTAGAACCTTTCTTTTCATAGATAAGTTTTGAAACGCTCTTTTTGTGGAATCTGCAAGTGGATGTTTGGCTAGTTTTGAGGATTTCGTTGGAAGCGGGAATTCATACAAATTGCAGACTGCAGCGTTCTGAGAAACATCTTTGTGATGTTTGTATTCAGGACACAGAGTTGAACATTCCCTATCATAGAGCAGGTTTGAATCACTCCTTTTGTAGTATCTGGAAGTGGACATTTGGAGCGCTTTCAGGCCTATGTTGGAAAAGGAAATATCTTCCCATAACAACTAGACAGAAGCATTCTCAGAAACTTATTTGAGATGTGTGTACTCAACTAAGAGAATTGAACCACCGTTTTGAAGGAGCAGTTTTGAAACACTCTTTTTCTGGAATCTGCAAGTGGATATTTGGCTAGCTTTGGGGATTTCGCTGGAAGCGGGAATACATATAAAAAGCACACAGCAGCGTTCTGAGAAACTGCTTTCTGATGTTTGCATTCAAGTCAAAAGTTGAACACTCCCTTTCATAGAGCAGTCCTGAAACACTCCTTTTGTAGTATCTGGAACTGGACTTTTGGAGCGCTTTCAGGGCTAAGGTGAAAAAGGAAATATCTTCCCATAAAAACTGGACAGAAGCATTCTCAGAAACTTGTTTATGCTGTATCTACTCAACTAACAAAGTTGAACCTTTCTTTTGATAGAGCAGTTTTGAAATGCTCTTTTTGTGGAATCTGCAAGTGGATATTTGGCTAGTTTTGAGGATTTCGCTGGAAGCGGGAATTCATACAAATTGCAGACTGCAGCGTTCTGAGAAACATCTTTGTGATGTTTGTATTCAGGACAGAGAGTTGAACATTCCCTATCATAGAGCAGGTTGGAATCACTCCTTTTGTAGTATCTGGAAGTGGACATTTGGAGCGCTTTCAGGCCTATGTTGAAAAAGGAAATATCTTCCCATAACAACTAGACACAAGCATTCTCAGAAACTTGTTTGTGATGTGTGCCCTCTACTGACAGAGTTGAACCTTTCTTTTCATAGAGCAGTTTTGAAACACTCTTTTTGTAGAATCTGCAAGAGGATATTTGCATAGCTTTGAGGATTTCGTGGGAAACGGGATTGTCTTCAGGTAAAATCTAGACAGAAGCATTCTCAGAAACTTCTTTGGGATGTTTGCATTCAAGTCACAGAGTAGAACATTCCCTTTGGTAGAGCAGGTTTGAAACACTCTTTTTGTAGTATCTGGAAGTGGACATTTGGAGCGCTTTCAGGCCTATGTTGGAAAGGGAAATATCTTCCCGTAACAACTAGGCAGAAGCATTCTCAGAAACTTATTTGAGATGTGTGTACTCAACTAAGAGAATTGAACCACCGTTTTGAAGGAGCAGTTTTGAAACACTCTTTTTCTGGAATCTGCAAGAGTATATTTGCCTAGCCTTGAGGATTTCGTTGGAAACGGGATTGTCTTCAGATAAAATCTAGACAGAAGCATTCTCAGAAACTTCTTTGGGATGTTTGTATTCAAGTCACAGAGTAGAACATTCCCTTTGGTAGAGCAGGTTTGAAACACTCTTTTTTTAGTATATGGAAGTGGACATTTTGATCGCTTTCAGGCCTACGTTGGAAAGGGAAATATCTTCCCATAACAACTAGACAGAAGCATTCTCAGAAACTAGTTTCTGATGTGTGTCCTCAACTAACACAGTTGAACATTTCTATAGACAGAACAGTTTTGAAACACTCTTTTTGTGCAATCTGCAAGTGGCTATTTGGCTAGATTTGAGGATTTCGTTGGAAACGGGATTACATATAAAAAGCAGTCAGCAGCATTCTCAGAAAGTTCTTTGTGATGATTGCATTCAAGTCACAGAATTGAACATTCCCTTTCACAGAGCAGGTTTGAAACACTCTTTTTGTAGTGTGTGTAAGTGGACATTTGGAACCCTTACCGGCCTAAGGTGAAAAAGGAAATATCTTCCCATAAAAACTAGACAGAAGCATTCTCAGAAACTTACTCGTGATGTGTGCCCTCAGCTAAAGGAGTAGAACCTTTCTTTTCATAGAGAAGTTTTGAAACGCTCTTTTTGTGGAATCTGCAAGTGGATATTTGGCTAGTTTTGAGGATTTCGTTGGAAGCGGGAATTCATACAAATTGCAGACTGCAGCATTCTCAGAAACTTATTTGAGATGTGTCTACTCAACTAAGAGAATTGAACCACCGTTTTGAAGGAGCAGTTTTGAAACACTCTTTTTCTGGAATCTGCAAGTGGATATTTGGCTAGCTTTGGGGATTTCGCTGGAAGCGGGAATACATATAAAAAGCACACAGCAGCGTTCTGAGAAACTGCTTTCTGATGTTTGCATTCAAGTCAAAAGTTGAACACTCCCTTTCATAGAGCAGTCTTGAAACACCCCTTTTGTAGTATCTGGAACTGGACTTTTGGAGCGATTTCAGGGCTAAGGTGAAAAAGGAAATATCTTCCCATAAAAACTGGACAGAAGCATTCTCAGAAACTTGTTTATGCTGTATCTACTCAACTAACAAAGTTGAACCTTTCTTTTGATAGAGCAGTTTTGAAATGGTCTTTTTGTGGAATCTGCAAGTGGATATTTGGCTAGTTTTGAGGATTTCGTTGGAAGCGGGAATTCATACAAATTGCAGACTGCAGCGTTCTGAGAAACATCTTTGTGATGTTTGTATTCAGGACAGAGAGTTGAACATTCCCTATCATAGAGCAGGTTGGAATCACTCCTTTTGTAGTATCTGGAAGTGGACATTTGGAGCGCTTTCAGGCCTATGTTGAAAAAGGAAATATCTTCCCATAACAACTAGACACAAGCATTCTCAGAAACTTGTTTGTGATGTGTGCCCTCTACTGACAGAGTTGAACCTTTCTTTTCATAGAGCAGTTTTGAAACACTCTTTTTGTAGAATCTGCAAGAGGATATTTGCATAGCTTTGAGGATTTCGTGGGAAACGGGATTGTCTTCAGGTAAAATCTAGACAGAAGCATTCTCAGAAACTTCTTTGGGATGTTTGCATTCAAGTCACAGAGCAGAACATTCCCTTTGGTAGAGCAGGTTTGAAACACTCTTTTTGTAGTATCTGGAAGTGGACATTTGGAGCGCTTTCAGGTCTATGTTGGAAAGGGAAATATCTTCCCGTAACAACTAGGCAGAAGCATTCTCAGAAACTTATTTGAGATGTGTGGACTCAACTAAGAGAATTGAACCACCGTTTTGAAGGAGCAGTTTTGAAACACTCTTTTTCTGGAATCTGCAAGAGGATATTTGCCTAGCCTTGAGGATTTCGTTGGAAACGGGATTGTCTTCAGATCAAATCTAGACAGAAGCATTCTCAGAAACTTCTTTGGGATGTTTGCATTCAAGTCACAGAGTAGAACATTCCCTTTGGTAGAGCAGGTTTGAAACACTCTTTTTTTAGTATATGGAAGTGGACATTTGGAGCGCTTTCAGGCCTACGTTGGAAAAGGAAATATCTTCCCATAACAACTAGACAGAAGCATTCTCAGAAACTAGTTTCTGATGTGTGTCCTCAACTAACACAGTTGAACTTTTCTTTAGACAGAACAGTTTTGAAACACTCTTTTTGTGGAATCTGCAAGTGGCTATTTGGCTAGATTTGAGGATTTCGTTGGAAACGGGATTACATATAAAAAGCAGTCAGCAGCATTCTCAGAAAGTTCTTTGTGATGATTGCATTCAAGTCACAGAATTGAACATTCCCTTTCACAGAGCAGGTTTGAAACACTCTTTTTGTAGTGTGTGTAAGTGGACATTTGGAGCACTTACCGGCCTAAGGTGAAAAAGGAAATATCTTCCCATAAAAACTAGACAGAAGCATTCTCAGAAACTTACTCGTGATGTGTGTCCTCAACTAAAGGAGTAGAACCTTTCTTTTCATAGAGAAGTTTTGAAACGCTCTTTTTGTGGAATCTGCAAGTGGATATTTGGCTAGTTTTGAGGATTTCGTTGGAAGCGGGAATTCATACAAATTGCAGACTGCAGCGTTCTGAGAAACATCTTTGTGATGTTTGTATTCAGGACACAGAGTTGAACATTCCCTATCATAGAGCAGGTTTGAATCACTACTTTTGTAGTATCTGGAAGTGGACATTTGGAGCGCTTTCAGGCCTATGTTGGAAAAGGAAATATCTTCCCATAACAACTAGACAGAAGCATTCTCAGAAACTTATTTGAGATGTGTGTACTCAACTAAGAGAATTGAACCACCGTTTTGAAGGAGCAGTTTTGAAACACTCTTTTTCTGGAATCTGCAAGTGGATATTTGGCTAGCTTTGGGGATTTCGCTGGAAGCGGGAATACATATAAAAAGCACACAGCAGCGTTCTGAGAAACTGCTTTCTGATGTTTGCATTCAAGTCAAAAGTTGAACACTCCCTTTCATAGAGCAGTCTTGAAACACCCCTTTTGTAGTATCTGGAACTGGACTTTTGGAGCGATTTCAGGGCTAAGGTGAAAAAGGAAATATCTTACCATAAAAACTGGACAGAAGCATTCTCAGAAACTTGGTTATGCTGTATCTACTCAACTAACAAAGTTGAACCTTTCTTTTGATAGAGCAGTTTTGAAATGGTCTTTTTGTGGAATCTGCAAGTGGATATTTGGCTAGTTTTGAGGATTTCGTTGGAAGCGGGAATTCATACAAATTGCAGACTGCAGCGTTCTGAGAAACATCTTTGTGATGTTTGTATTCAGGACACAGAGTTGAACATTCCCTATCATAGAGCAGGTTGTAATCACTCCTTTTGTAGTATCTGGAAGTGGACATTTGGAGCGCTTTCAGGCCTAGTTTGGAAAGGGAAATATCTTCCCGTAACAACTATGCAGAAGCATTCTCAGAAACTTGTTTGTGATGTGTGCCCTCTACTGACAGAGTTGAACCTTTCTTTTCATAGAGCAGTTTTGAAACACTCTTTTTGTAGAATCTGCAAGAGGATATTTGCATAGCTTTGAGGATTTCGTGGGAAACGGGATTGTCTTCAGGTAAAATCTAGACAGAAGCATTCTCAGAAACTTCTTTGGGATGTTTGCATTCAAGTCACAGAGTAGAACATTCCCTTTGGTAGAGCAGGTTTGAAACACTCTTTTTGTAGTATCTGGAAGTGGACATTTGGAGCGCTTTCAGGCCCATGTTGGAAAGGGAAATATCTTCCCGTAACAACTAGGCAGAAGCATTCTCAGAAACTTTTTTGAGATGTGTGTACTCAACTAAGAGAATTGAACCACCGTTTTGAAGGAGCAGTTTTGAAACACTCTTTTTCTGGAATCTGCAAGAGTATATTTGCCTAGCCTTGAGGATTTCGTTGGAAACGGGATTGTCTTCAGAGAAAATCTAGACAGAAGCATTCTCAGAAACTTCTTTGGGATGTTTGCATTCAAGTCACAGAGTAGAACATTCCCTTTGGTAGAGCAGGTTTGAAACACTCTTTTTTTAGTATATGGAAGTGGACATTTGGAGCGCTTTCAGGCCTACGTTGGAAAAGGAAATATCTTCCCATAACAACTAGACAGAAGCATTCTCAGAAACTAGTTTCTGATGTGTGTCCTCAACTAACACAGTTGAACTTTTCTTTAGACAGAACAGTTTTGAAACACTCTTTTTGTGGAATCTGCAAGTGGATATTGGGCTAGATTTGAGGATTTCGTTGGAAACGGGATTACATATAAAAAGCAGACAGCAGCATTCTCAGAAAGTTCTTTGTGATGATTGCATTCAAGTCACAGAATTGAACATTCCCTTTCACAGAGCAGGTTTGAAACACTCTTTTTGTAGTGTGTGTAAGTGGACATTTGGAGCGCTTTCCGGCCTAAGGTGAAAAAGGACATATCTTCCCATAAAAACTAGACAGAAGCATTCTCAGAAACTTAATCGTGATGTGTGTCCTCAACTAAAGGAGTAGAACCTTTCTATTCATAGAGAAGTTTTGAAACGCTCTTTTTGTGGAATCTCCAAGTGGATATTTGGCTAGTTTTGAGGATTTCGTTGGAAGCGGGAATTCATACAAATTGCAGACTGCAGCGTTCTGAGAAACATCTTTGTGATGTTTGTATTCAGGACACAGAGTTGAACATTCCCTATCATAGAGCAGGTTTGAATCACTCCTTTTGTAGTATCTGGAAGTGGACATTTGGAGCGCTTTCAGGCCTATGTTGGAAAAGGAAATATCTTCCCATAACAACTAGACAGAAGCATTCTCAGAAACTTATTTGAGATGTGTGTACTCAACTAAGAGAATTGAACCACCGTTTTGAAGGAGCAGTTTTGAAACACTCTTTTTCTGGAATCTGCAAGTGGATATTTGGCTAGCTTTGGGGATTTCGCTGGAAGCGGGAATACATATAAAAAGCACACAGCAGCGTTCTGAGAAACTGCTTTCTGATGTTTGCATTCAAGTCAAAAGTTGAACACTCCCTTTCATAGAGCAGTCCTGAAACACTCCTTTTGTAGTATCTGGAACTGGACTTTTGGAGCGCTTTCAGGGCTAAGGTGAAAAAGGAAATATCTTCCCATAAAAACTGGACAGAAGCATTCTCAGAAACTTGTTTATGCTGTATCTACTCAACTAACAAAGTTGAACCTTTCTTTTGATAGAGCAGTTTTGAAATGCTCTTTTTGTGGAATCTGCAAGTGGATATTTGGCTAGTTTTGAGTATTTCATTGGAAGCGGGAATTCATACAAATTGCAGACTGCAGCGTTCTGAGAAACATCTTTGTGATGTTTGTATTCAGGACACAGAGTTGAACATTCCCTATCATAGAGCAGGTTGGAATCACTCCTTTTGTAGTATCTGGAAGTGGACATTTGGAGCGCTTTCAGGCCTATGTTGGAAAAGGAAATATCTTCCCATAACAACTAGACAGAAGCATTCTCAGAAACTTATTTGAGATGTGTGTACTCAACTAAGAGAATTGAACCACCGTTTTGAAGGAGCAGTTTTGAAACACTCTTTTTCTGGAATCTGCAAGTGGATATTTGGCTAGCTTTGGGGATTTCGCTGGAAGCGGGAATACATATAAAAAGCACACAGCAGCGTTCTGAGAAACTGCTTTCTGATGTTTGCATTCAAGTCAAAAGTTGAACACTCCCTTTCATAGAGCAGTCTTGAAACACCCCTTTTGTAGTATCTGGAACTGGACTTTTGGAGCGATTTCAGGGCTAAGGTGAAAAAGGAAATATCTTCCCATAAAAACTGGACAGAAGCATTCTCAGAAACTTGTTTATGCTGTATCTACTCAACTAACAAAGTTGAACCTTTCTTTTGATAGAGCAGTTTTGAAATGGTCTTTTTGTGGAATCTGCAAGTGGATATTTGGCTAGTTTTGAGGATTTCGTTGGAAGCGGGAATTCATACAAATTGCAGACTGCAGCGTTCTGAGAAACATCTTTGTGATGTTTGTATTCAGGACACAGAGTTGAACATTCCCTATCATAGAGCAGGTTGGAATCACTCCTTTTGTAGTATCTGGAAGTGGACATTTGGAGCGCTTTCAGGCCTATGTTGGAAAAGGAAATATCTTCCCATAACAACTAGACAGAAGCATTCTCAGAAACTTATTTGAGATGTGTGTACTCAACTAAGAGAATTGAACCACCGTTTTGAAGGAGCAGTTTTGAAACACTCTTTTTCTGGAATCTGCAAGTGGATATTTGGCTAGCTTTGGGGATTTCGCTGGAAGCGGGAATACATATAAAAAGCACACAGCAGCGTTCTGAGAAACTGCTTTCTGATGTTTGCATTCAAGTCAAAAGTTGAACACTCCCTTTCATAGAGCAGTCTTGAAACACCCCTTTTGTAGTATATGGAACTGGACATTTGGAGCGCTTTCAGGGCTAAGGTGAAAAAGGAAATACCTTCCCATAAAAACTGGACAGAAGCATTCTCAGAAACTTGTTTATGCTGTATCTACTCAACTAACAAAGTTGAACCTTTCTTTTGATAGAGCAGTTTTGAAATGGTCTTTTTGTGGAATCTGCAAGTGGATATTTGGCTAGTTTTGAGGATTTCGTTGGAAGCGGGAATTCATACAAATTGCAGACTGCAGCGTTCTGAGAAACATCTTTGTGATGTTTGTATTCAGGACACAGAGTTGAACATTCCCTATCATAGAGCAGGTTGGAATCACTCCTTTTGTAGTATCTGGAAGTGGACATTTGGAGCGCTTTCAGGCCTATGTTGGAAAAGGAAATATCTTCCCATAAACAACTAGACAGAAGCATTCTCAGAAACTTATTTGAGATGTGTGTACTCAACTAAGAGAATTGAACCACCGTTTTGAAGGAGCAGTTTTGAAACACTCTTTTTCTGGAATCTGCAAGTGGATATTTGGCTAGCTTTGGGGATTTCGCTGGAGGCGGGAATACATATAAAAAGCACACAGCAAGCGTTCTGAGAAACTGCTTTCTGATGTTTGCATTCAAGTCAAAAGTTGAACACTCCCTTTCATAGAGCAGTCCTGAAACACTCCTTTTGTAGTATCTGGAACTGGACTTTTGGAGCGCTTTCAGGGCTAAGGTGAAAAAGGAAATATCTTCCCATAAAAACTGGACAGAAGCATTCTCAGAAACTTGTTTATGCTGTATCTACTCAACTAACAAAGTTGAACCTTTCTTTTGATAGAGCAGTTTTGAAATGCTCTTTTTGTGGAATCTGCAAGTGGATATTTGGCTAGTTTTGAGGATTTCGTTGGAAGCGGGAATTCATACAAATTGCAGACTGCAGCGTTCTGAGAAACATCTTTGTGATGTTTGTATTCAGGACACAGAGTTGAACATTCCCTATCATAGAGCAGGTTGGAATCACTCCTTTTGTAGTATCTGGAAGTGGACATTTGGAGCGCTTTCAGGCCTATGTTGAAAAAGGAAATATCTTCCCATAACAACTAGACACAAGCATTCTCAGAAACTTGTTTGTGATGTGTGCCCTCTACTGACAGAGTTGAACCTTTCTTTTCATAGAGCAGTTTTGAAACACTCTTTTTGTAGAATCTGCAAGAGGATATTTGCATAGCTTTGAGGATTTCGTGGGAAACGGGATTGTCTTCAGGTAAAATCTAGACAGAAGCATTCTCAGAAACTTCTTTGGGATGTTTGCATTCAAGTCACAGAGCAGAACATTCCCTTTGGTAGAGCAGGTTTGAAACACTCTTTTTGTAGTATCTGGAAGTGGACATTTGGAGCGCTTTCAGGCCTATGTTGGAAAGGGAAATATCTTCCCGTAACAACTAGGCAGAAGCATTCTCAGAAACTTATTTGAGATGTGTGTACTCAACTAAGAGAATTGAACCACCGTTTTGAAGGAGCAGTTTTGAAACACTCTTTTTCTGGAATCTGCAAGAGGATATTTGCCTAGCCTTGAGGATTTCGTTGGAAACGGGATTGTCTTCAGATCAAATCTAGACAGAAGCATTCTCAGAAACTTCTTTGGGATGTTTGCATTCAAGTCACAGAGTAGAACATTCCCTTTGGTAGAGCAGGTTTGAAACACTCTTTTTTTAGTATATGGAAGTGGACATTTGGAGCGCTTTCAGGCCTACGTTGGAAAAGGAAATATCTTCCCATAACAACTAGACAGAAGCATTCTCAGAAACTAGTTTCTGATGTGTGTCCTCAACTAACACAGTTGAACATTTCTTTAGACAGAACAGTTTTGAAACACTCTTTTTGTGGAATCTGCAAGTGGCTATTTGGCTAGATTTGAGGATTTCGTTGGAAACGGGATTACATATAAAAAGCAGACAGCAGCATTCTCAGAAAGTTCTTTGTGATGATTGCATTCAAGTCACAGAATTGAACATTCCCTTTCACAGAGCAGGTTTGAAACACTCTTTTTGTAGTGTGTGTAAGTGGACATTTGGAGCACTTTCCGGCCTAAGGTGAAAAAGGAAATATCTTCCCATAAAAACTGGACAGAAGCATTCTCAGAAACTTGTTTATGCTGTATCTACTCAACTAACAAAGTTGAACCTTTCTTTTGATAGAGCAGTTTTGAAATGCTCTTTTTGTGGAATCTGCAAGTGGATATTTGGCTAGTTTTGAGGATTTCGTTGGAAGCGGGAATTCATACAAATTGCAGACTGCAGCGTTCTGAGAAACATCTTTGTGATGTTTGTATTCAGGACACAGAGTTGAACATTCCCTATCATAGAGCAGGTTGGGATCACTCCTTTTGTAGTATCTGGAAGTGGACATTTGGAGCGCTTTCAGGCCTATGTTGGAAAAGGAAATATCTTCCCATAACAACTAGACAGAAGCATTCCCAGAAACTTATTTGAGATGTGTGTACTCAACTAAGAGAATTGAACCACCGTTTTGAAGGAGCAGTTTGGAAACACTCTTTTTCTGGAATCTGCAAGTGGATATTTGGCTAGCTTTGGGGATTTCGCTGGAAGCGGGAATACATATAAAAAGCACACAGCAGCGTTCTGAGAAACTGCTTTCTGATGTTTGCATTCAAGTCAAAAGTTGAACACTCCCTTTCATAGAGCAGTCTTGAAACACCCCTTTTGTAGTATCTGGAACTGGAAATTTGGAGCGCCTTCAGGGCTAAGGTGAAAAAGGAAATATCTTCCCATAAAAACTGGACAGAAGCATTCTCAGAAACTTGTTTATGCTGTATCTACTCAACTAACAAAGTTGAACCTTTCTTTTGATAGAGCAGTTTTGAAATGCTCTTTTTGTGGAATCTGCAAGTGGATATTTGGCTAGTTTTGAGGATTTCGTTGGAAGCGGGAATTCATACAAATTGCAGACTGCAGCGTTCTGAGAAACATCTTTGTGATGTTTGTATTCAGGACACAGAGTTGAACATTCCCTATCATAGAGCAGGTTGGGATCACTCCTTTTGTAGTATCTGGAAGTGGACATTTGGAGCGCTTTCAGGCCTATGTTGAAAAAGGAAAAATCTTCCCATAACAACTAGACAGAAGCATTCTCAGAAACTTGTTGGTGATGTGTTTCCTCTACTGACAGAGTTGAACCTTTCTTTTCATAGAGCAGTTTCGAAACACTCTTTTTGTAGAATCTGCAAGAGGATATTTGCCTAGCTTTGAGGATTTCGTTGGAAAAGGGATTGTCTTCAGATCAAATCTAGACAGAAGCATTCTCAGAAACTTCTTTGGGATGTTTGCATTCAAGTCACAGAGTAGAACATTCCCTTTGGTAGAGCAGGTTTGAAACACTCTTTTTTTAGTATCTGGAAGTGGACATTTGGAGCGCTTTCAGGCCTATGTTGGAAAGGGAAATATCTTCCCGTAACAACTAGGCAGAAGCATTCTCAGAAACTTATTGGAGATGTGTGTACTCAACTAAGAGAATTGAACCACCGTTTTGAAGGAGCAGTTTTGAAACACTCTTTTTCTGGAATCTGCAAGAGGATATTTGCCTAGCTTTGAGGATTTCGTTGGAAACGGGATTGTCTTCAGATCAAATCTAGACAGAAGCATTCTCAGAAACTTCTTTGGGATGTTTGCATTCAAGTCACAGAGTAGAACATTCCCTTTGGTAGAGCAGGTTTGAAACACTCTTTTTTTAGTATATGGAAGTGGACATTTGGAGCGCTTTCAGGCCTACGTTGGAAAAGGAAATATCTTCCCATAACAACTAGACAGAAGCATTCTCAGAAACTAGTTTCTGATGTGTGTCCTCAACTAACACAGTTGAACATTTCTTTAGACAGAACAGTTTTGAAACTCTCTTTTTGTGGAATCTGCAAGTGGCTATTTGGCTAGATTTGAGGATTTCGTTGGAAACGGGATTACATATAAAAAGCAGACAGCAGCATTCTCAGAAAGTTCATTGTGATGATTGCATTCAAGTCACAGAATTGAACATTCCCTTTCACAGAGCAGGTTTGAAACACTCTTTTTATAGTGTGTGTAAGTGGACATTTGGAGCACTTTCCGGCCTAAGGTGAAAAAGGAAATATCTTCCCATAAAAACTAGACAGAAGCATTCTCAGAAACTTACTCGTGATGTGTGTCCTCAACTAAAGGAGTAGAACCTTTCTTTTCATAGAGAAGTTTTGAAACGCTCTTTTTGTGGAATCTGCAAGTGGATATTTGGCTAGTTTGGAGGATTTCGTTGGAAGCGGGAATTCATACAAATTGCAGACTGCAGCGTTCTGAGAAACATCTTTGTGATGTTTGTATTCAGGACACAGAGTTGAACATTCCCTATCATAGAGCAGGTTTGAATCACTCCTTTTGCAGTATCTGGAAGTGGACATTTGGAGCGCTTTCAGGCCTATGTTGGAAAAGGAAATATCTTCCCATAACAACTAGACAGAAGCATTCTCAGAAACTTATTTGAGATGTGTGTACTCAACTAAGAGAATTGAACCACCGTTTTGAAGGAGCAGTTTTGAAACACTCTTTTTCTGGAATCTGCAAGTGGATATTTGGCTAGCTTTGGGGATTTCGCTGGAAGCGGGAATACATATAAAAAGCACACAGCAGCGTTCTGAGAAACTGCTTTCTGATGTTTGCATTCAAGTCAAAAGTTGAACACTCCCTTTCATAGAGCAGTCTTGAAACACCCCTTTTGTAGTATCTGGAACTGGACTTTTGGAGCGATTTCAGGGCTAAGGTGAAAAAGGAAATATCTTCCCATAAAAACTGGACAGAAGCATTCTCAGAAACTTGTTTATGCTGTATCTACTCAACTAACAAAGTTGAACCTTTCTTTTGATAGAGCAGTTTTGAAATGGTCTTTTTGTGGAATCTGCAAGTGGATATTTGGCTAGTTTTGAGGATTTCGTTGGAAGCGGGAATTCATACAAATTGCAGACTGCAGCGTTCTGAGAAACATCTTTGTGATGTTTGTATTCAGGACACAGAGTTGAACATTCCCTATCATAGAGCAGGTTGGAATCACTCCTTTTGTAGTATCTGGAAGTGGACATTTGGAGCGCTTTCAGGCCTATGTTGGAAAAGGAAATATCTTCCCATAACAACTAGACAGAAGCATTCTCAGAAACTTATTTGAGATGTGTGTACTCAACTAAGAGAATTGAACCACCGTTTTGAAGGAGCAGTTTTGAAACTCTCTTTTTCTGGAATCTGCAAGTGGATATTTGGCTAGCTTTGGGGATTTCGCTGGAAGTGGGAATACATATAAAAAGCACACAGCAGCGTTCTGAGAAACTGCTTTCTGATGTTTGCACTCAAGTCAAAAGTTGAACACTCCCTTTCATAGAGCAGTCTTGAAACACCCCTTTTGTAGTATCTGGAACTGGACTTTTGGAGCGATTTCAGGGCTAAGGTGAAAAAGGAAATATCTTCCCATAAAAACTGGACAGAAGCATTCTCAGAAACTTGTTTATGCTGTATCTACTCAACTAACAAAGTTGAACCTTTCTTTTGATAGAGCAGTTTTGAAATGGTCTTTTTGTGGAATCTGCAAGTGGATATTTGGCTAGTTTTGAGGATTTCGTTGGAAGCGGGAATTCATACAAATTGCAGACTGCAGCGTTATGAGAAACATCTTTGTGATGTTTGTATTCAGGACACAGAGTTGAACATTCCCTATCATAGAGCAGGTTGGAATCACTCCTTTTGTAGTATCTGGAAGTGGACATTTGGAGCGCTTTCAGGCCTATTTTGGACAGGGAAATATCTTCCCATAACAACTATGCAGAAGCATTCTCAGAAACTTGTTTGTGATGTGTGCCCTCTACTGACAGAGTTGAACCTTTCTTTTCTTAGAGCAGTTTTGAAACACTCTTTTTGTAGAATCTGCAAGAGGATATTTGCATAGCTTTGAGGATTTCGTGGGAAACGGGATTGTCTTCAGGTAAAATCTAGACAGAAGCATTCTCAGAAACTTCTTTGGGATGTTTGCATTCAAGACACAGAGTAGAACATTCCCTTTGGTAGAGCAGGTTTGAAACACTCTTTTTGTAGTATCTGGAAGTGGACATTTGGAGCGCTTTCAGGCCCATGTTGGAAAGGGAAATATCTTCCCGTAACAACTAGGCAGAAGCATTCTCAGAAACTTATTTGAGATGTGTGTACTCAACTAAGAGAATTGAACCACCGTTTTGAAGGAGCAGTTTTGAAACACTCTTTTTCTGGATTCTGCAAGAATATATTTGCCTAGCCTTGAGGATTTCGTTGGAAACGGGATTGTCTTCAGATAAAATCTAGACAGAAGCATTCTCAGAAACTTCTTTGGGATGTTTGCATTCAAGTCACAGAGTAGAACATTCTCTTTGGTAGAGCAGGTTTGAAACACTCTTTTTTTAGTATCTGGAAGTGGACATTTGGAGCGCTTTCAGGCCTACGTTGGAAAAGGAAATATCTTCCCATAACAACTAGACAGAAGCATTCTCAGAAACTAGTTTCTGATGTGTGTCCTCAACTAACACAGTTGTACATTTCTTTAGACAGAACAGTTTTGAAACACTCTTTTTGTGGAATCTGCAAGTGGATATTGGGCTAGATTTGAGGATTTCGTTGGAAACGGGATTACATATAAAAAGCAGTCAGCAGCATTCTCAGAAAGTTCTTTGTGATGATTGCATTCAAGTCACAGAATTGAACATTCCCTTTCACAGAGCAGGTTTGAAACACTCTTTTTGTAGTGTGTGTAAGTGGACATTTGGAGCGCTTTCCGGCCTAAGGTGAAAAAGGACATATCTTACCATAAAAACCAGACAGAAGCATTCTCAGAAACTTACTCGTGATGTGTGTCCTCAACTAAAGGAGTAGAAACTTTCTATTCATAGAGAAGTTTTGAAACGCTCTTTTTGTGGAATCTCCAAGTGGATATTTGGCTAGTTTTGAGGATTTCGTTGGAAGCGGGAATTCATACAAATTGCAGACTGCAGCGTTCTGAGAAACATCGTTGTGATGTTTGTATTCAGGACACAGAGTTGAACATTCCCTATCATAGAGCAGGTTTGAATCACTCCTTTTGTAGTATCTGGAAGTGGACATTTGGAGCGCTTTCAGGCCTATGTTGGAAAAGGAAATATCTTCCCATAAGAACTAGACAGAAAGCATTCTCAGAAACTTATTTGAGATGTGCGTACTCAACTAAGCAGAATTGAACCACCGTTTTGAAGGAGCAGTTTTGAAACACTCTTTTTCTGGAATCTGCAAGTGGATATCTGGCTAGCTTTGGGGATTTCGCTGGAAGCGGGAATACATATAAAAAGCACACAGCAGCGTTCTGAGAAACTGCTTTCTGATGTTTGCATTCAAGTCAAAAGTTGAACACTCCCTTTCATAGAGCAGTCTTGAAACACCCCTTTTGTAGTATCTGGAACTGGAAATTTGGAGCGCTTTCAGGGCTAAGGTGAAAAAGGAAATATCTTCCCATAAAAACTGGACAGAAGCATTCTCAGAAACTTGGTTATGCTGTATCTACTCAACTAACAAAGTTGAACCTTTCTTTTGATAGAGCAGTTTTGAAATGGTCTTTTTGTGGAATCTGCAAGTGGATATTTGGCTAGTTTTGAGGATTTCGTTGGAAGCGGGAATTCATACAAATTGCAGACTGCAGCGTTCTGAGAAACATCTTTGTGATGTTTGTATTCAGGACACAGAGTTGAACATTCCCTATCATAGAGCAGGTTGGAATCACTCCTTTTGTAGTATCTGGAAGTGGACATTTGGAGCGCTTTCAGGCCTATTTTGGAAAGGGAAATATCTTCCCGTAACAACTATGCAGAAGCATTCTCAGAAACTTGTTTGTGATGTGTGCCCTCTACTGACAGAGTTGAACCTTTCTTTTCATAGAGCAGTTTTGAAACACTCTTTTTGTAGAATCTGCAAGAGGATATTTGCATAGCTTTGAGGATTTCGTGGGAAACGGGATTGTCTTCAGGTAAAATCTAGACAGAAGCATTCTCAGAAACTTCTTTGGGATGTTTGCATTCAAGTCACAGAGTAGAACATTCCCTTTGGTAGAGCAGGTTTGAAACACTCTTTTTGTAGTATCTGGAAGTGGACATTTGGAGCGCTTTCAGGCCTATGTTTGAAAGGGAAATATCTTCCCGTAACAACTAGGCAGAAGCATTCTCAGAAACTTATTTGAGATGTGTGTACTCAACTAAGAGAATTGAACCACCGTTTTGAAGGAGCAGTTTTGAAACACTCTTTTTCTGGAATCTGCAAGAGTATATTTGCCTAGCCTTGAGGATTTCGTTGGAAACGGGATTGTCTTCAGAGAAAATCTAGACAGAAGCATTCTCAGAAACTTCTTTGGGATGTTTGCATTCAAGTCACAGAGTAGAACATTCCCTTTGGTAGAGCAGGTTTGAAACACTCTTTTTGTAGTATCTGGAAGTGGACATTTGGAGCGCTTTCAGGCCTACGTTGGAAAAGGAAATATCTTCCCATAACAACTAGACAGAAGCATTCTCAGAAACTAGTTTCTGATGTGTGTCCTCAACTAACACAGTTGAACATTTCTTTAGACAGAACAGTTTTGAAACACTCTTTTTGTGGAATCTGCAAGTGGCTATTTGGCTAGATTTGAGGATTTCGTTGGAAACGGGATTACATATAAAAAGCAGTCAGCAGCATTCTCAGAAAGTTCTTTGTGATGATTGCATTCAAGTCACAGAATTGAACATTCCCTTTCACAGAGCAGGTTTGAAACACTCTTTTTGTAGTGTGTGTAAGTGGACATTTGGAGCACTTACCGGCCTAAGGTGAAAAAGGAAATATCTTCCCATAAAAACTAGACAGAAGCATTCTCAGAAACTTACTCGTGATGTGTGTCCTCAACTAAAGGAGTAGAACCTTTCTTTTCATAGAGAAGTTTTGAAACGCTCTTTTTGTGGAATCTGCAAGTGGATATTTGGCTAGTTTTGAGGATTTCGTTGGAAGCGGGAATTCATACAAATTGCAGACTGCAGCGTTCTGAGAAACATCTTTGTGATGTTTGTATTCAGGACACAGAGTTGAACATTCCCTATCATAGAGCAGGTTTGAATCACTCCTTTTGTAGTATCTGGAAGTGGACATTTGGAGCGCTTTCAGGCCTATGTTGGAAAAGGAAATATCTTCCCATAACAACTAGACAGAAGCATTCTCAGAAACTTATTTGAGATGTGTGTACTCAACTAAGAGAATTGAACCACCGTTTTGAAGGAGCAGTTTTGAAACTCTCTTTTTCTGGAATCTGCAAGTGGATATTTGGCTAGCTTTGGGGATTTCGCTGGAAGCGGGAATACATATAAAAAGCACACAGCAGCGTTCTGAGAAACTGCTTTCTGATGTTTGCATTCAAGTCAAAAGTTGAACACTCCCTTTCATAGAGCAGTCCTGAAACACCCCTTTTGTAGTATCTGGAACTGGACTTTTGGAGCGATTTCAGGGCTAAGGTGAAAAAGGAAATATCTTCCCATAAAAACTGGACAGAAGCATTCTCAGAAACTTGTTTATGCTGTATCTACTCAACTAACAAAGTTGAACCTTTCTTTTGATAGAGCAGTTTTGAAATGGTCTTTTTGTGGAATCTGCAAGTGGATATTTGGCTAGTTTTGAGGATTTCGTTGGAAGCGGGAATTCATACAAATTGCAGACTGCAGCGTTCTGAGAAACATCTTTGTGATGTTTGTATTCAGGACACAGAGTTGAACATTCCCTATCATAGAGCAGGTTGGAATCACTCCTTTTGTAGTATCTGGAAGTGGACATTTGGAGCGCTTTCAGGCCTATTTTGGAAAGGGAAATATCTTCCCGTAACAACTATGCAGAAGCATTCTCAGAAACTTGTTTGTGATGTTGTGCCCTCTACTGACAGAGTTGAACCTTTCTTTTCATAGAGCAGTTTTGAAACACTCTTTTTGTAGAATCTGCAAGAGGATATTTGCATAGCTTTGAGGATTTCGTGGGAAACGGGATTGTCTTCAGGTAAAATCTAGACAGAAGCATTCTCAGAAACTTTTTTGGGATGTTTGCATTCAAGTCACAGAGTAGAACATTCCCTTTGGTAGAGCAGGTTTGAAACACTCTTTTTGTAGTATCTGGAAGTGGACATTTGGAGCACTATCAGGCCCATGTTGGAAAGGGAAATATCTTCCCGTAACAACTAGGCAGAAGCATTCTCAGAAACTTATTTGAGATGTGTGTACTCAACTAAGAGAATTGAACCACCGTTTTGAAGGAGCAGTTTTGAAACACTCTTTTTCTGGATTCTGCAAGAATATATTTGCCTAGCCTTGAGGATTTCGTTGGAAACGGGATTGTCTTCAGATAAAATCTAGACAGAAGCATTCTCAGAAACTTCTTTGGGATGTTTGCATTCAAGTCACAGAGTAGAACATTCTCTTTGGTAGAGCAGGTTTGAAACACTCTTTTTTTAGTATCTGGAAGTGGACATTTGGAGCGCTTTCAGGCCTACGTTGGAAAAGGAAATATCTTCCCATAACAACTAGACAGAAGCATTCTCAGAAACTAGTTTCTGATGTGTGTCCTCAACTAACACAGTTGTACATTTCTTTAGACAGAACAGTTTTGAAACACTCTTTTTGTGGAATCTGCAAGTGGATATTGGGCTAGATTTGAGGATTTCGTTGGAAACGGGATTACATATAAAAAGCAGTCAGCAGCATTCTCAGAAAGTTCTTTGTGATGATTACATTCAAGTCACAGAATTGAACATTCCCTTTCACAGAGCAGGTTTGAAACCCTCTTTTTGTAGTGTGTGTAAGTGGACATTTGGAGCGCTTTCCGGCCTAAGGTGAAAAAGGACATATCTTCCCATAAAAACTAGACAGAAGCATTCTCAGAAACTTACTCGTGATGTGTGTCCTCAACTAAAGGAGTAGAACCTTTCTATTCATAGAGAAGTTTTCAAACGCTCTTTTTGTGGAATCTCCAAGTGGATATTTGGCTAGTGTTGAGGATTTCGTAGGAAGCGGGAATTCATACAAATTGCAGACTGCAGCGTTCTGAGAAACATCTTTGTGATGTTTGTATTCAGGACACAGAGTTGAACATTCCCTATCATAGAGCAGGTTTGAATCACTCCTTTTGTAGTATCTGGAAGTGGACATTTGGAGCGCTTTCAGGCCTATGTTGGAAAAGGAAATATCTTCCCATAACAACTAGACAGAAGCATTCTCAGAAACTTATTTGAGATGTGTGTACTCAACTAAGAGAATTGAACCACCGTTTTGAAGGAGCAGTTTTGAAACACTCTTTTTCTGGAATCTGCAAGTGGATATTTGGCTAGCTTTGGGGATTTCGCTGGAAGCGGGAATACATATAAAAAGCACACAGCAGCGTTCTGAGAAACTGCTTTCTGATGTTTGCATTCAAGTCAAAAGTTGAACACTCCCTTTCATAGAGCAGTCTTGAAACACCCCTTTTGTAGTATCTGGAACTGGACTTTTGGAGCGATTTCAGGGCTAAGGTGAAAAAGGAAATATCTTCCCATAAAAACTGGACAGAAGCATTCTCAGAAACTTGTTTATGCTGTATCTACTCAACTAACAAAGTTGAACCTTTCTTTTGATAGAGCAGTTTTGAAATGGTCTTTTTGTGGAATCTGCAAGTGGATATTTGGCTAGTTTTGAGGATTTCGTTGGAAGCGGGAATTCATACAAATTGCAGACTGCAGCGTTCTGAGAAACATCTTTGTGATGTTTGTATTCAGGACACAGAGTTGAACATTCCCTATCATAGAGCAGGTTGGAATCACTCCTTTTGTAGTATCTGGAAGTGGACATTTGGAGCGCTTTCAGGCCTATTTTGGAAAGGGAAATATCTTCCCGTAACAACTATGCAGAAGCATTCTCAGAAACTTGTTTGTGATGTGTGCCCTCTACTGACAGAGTTGAACCTTTCTTTTCATAGAGCAGTTTTGAAACACTCTTTTTGTAGAATCTGCAAGAGGATATTTGCATAGCTTTGAGGATTTCGTGGGAAACGGGATTGTCTTCAGGTAAAATCTAGACAGAAGCATTCTCAGAAACTTCTTTGGGATGTTTGCATTCAAGTCACAGAGTAGAACATTCCCTTTGGTAGAGCAGGTTTGAAACACTCTTTTTGTAGTATCTGGAAGTGGACATTTGGAGCGCTTTCAGGCCCATGTTGGAAAGGGAAATATCTTCCCGTAACAACTAGGCAGAAGCATTCTCAGAAACTTATTTGAGATGTGTGTACTCAACTAAGAGAATTGAACCACCGTTTTGAAGGAGCAGTTTTGAAACACTCTTTTTCTGGAATCTGCAAGAGTATATTTGCCTAGCCTTGAGGATTTCGTTGGAAACGGGATTGTCTTCAGAGAAAATCTAGACAGAAGCATTCTCAGAAACTTCTTTGGGATGTTTGCATTCAAGTCACAGAGTAGAACATTCCCTTTGGTAGAGCAGGTTTGAAACACTCTTTTTGTAGTATCTGGAAGTGGACATTTGGAGCGCTTTCAGGCCTACGTTGGAAAAGGAAATATCTTCCCATAACAACTAGACAGAAGCCTTCTCAGAAACTAGTTTCTGATGTGTGTCCTCAACTAACAGAGTTGAACCTTTCTTTTGGCAGAACAGTTTTGAAACACTCTTTTTGAGGAACATGCAAGTGGATATTTGGCTAGATTTGAGGATTTCGATGGAAACGGGATTACATATAAAAAGCAGACAGCAGCATTCTCAGAAAGTTCTTTGTGATGATTGCATTCAAGTCACAGAATTGAACATTCCCTTTCACAGAGCAGGTTTGAAACACTCTTTTTGTAGTGTGTGTAAGTGGACATTTGGAGCACTTACCGGCCTAAGGTGAAAAAGGAAATATCTTCCCATAAAAACTAGACAGAAGCATTCTCAGAAACTTACTCGTGATGTGTGTCCTCAACTAAAGGAGTAGAACCTTTCTTTTCATAGAGAAGTTTTGAAACGCTCTTTTTGTGGAATCTGCAAGTGGATATTTGGCTAGTTTTGAGGATTTCGTTGGAAGCGGGAATTCATACAAATTGCAGACTGCAGCGTTCTGAGAAACATCTTTGTGATGTTTGTATTCAGGACACAGAGTTGAACATTCCCTATCATAGAGCAGGTTTGAATCACTCCTTTTGTAGTATCTGGAAGTGGACATTTGGAGCGCTTTCAGGCCTATGTTGGAAAAGGAAATATCTTCCCATAACAACTAGACAGAAGCATTCTCAGAAACTTATTTGAGATGTGTGTACTCAACTAAGAGAATTGAACCACCGTTTTGAAGGAGCAGTTTTGAAACTCTCTTTTTCTGGAATCTGCAAGTGGATATTTGGCTAGCTTGGGGATTTCGCTGGAAGCGGGAATACATATAAAAAGCACACAGCAGCGTTCTGAGAAACTGCTTTCTGATGTTTGCATTCAAGTCAAAAGTTGAACACTCCCTTTCATAGAGCAGTCTTGAAACACCCCTTTTGTAGTATCTGGAACTGGACTTTTGGAGCGATTTCAGGGCTAAGGTGAAAAAGGAAATATCTTCCCATAAAAACTGGACAGAAGCATTCTCAGAAACTTGTTTATGCTGTATCTACTCAACTAACAAAGTTGAACCTTTCTTTTGATAGAGCAGTTTTGAAATGGTCTTTTTGTGGAATCTGCAAGTGGATATTTGGCTAGTTTTGAGGATTTCGTTGGAAGCGGGAATTCATACAAATTGCAGACTGCAGCGTTCTGAGAAACATCTTTGTGATGTTTGTATTCAGGACACAGAGTTGAACATTCCCTATCATAGAGCAGGTTGGAATCACTCCTTTTGTAGTATCTGGAAGTGGACATTTGGAGCGCTTTCAGGCCTATTTTGGAAAGGGAAATATCTTCCCGTAACAACTATGCAGAAGCATTCTCAGAAACTTGTTTGTGATGTGTGCCCTCTACTGACAGAGTTGAACCTTTCTTTTCATAGAGCAGTTTTGAAACACTCTTTTTGTAGAATCTGCAAGAGGATATTTGCATAGCTTTGAGGATTTCGTGGGAAACGGGATTGTCTTCAGGTAAAATCTAGACAGAAGCATTCTCAGAAACTTCTTTGGGATGTTTGCATTCAAGTCACAGAGTAGAACATTCCCTTTGGTAGAGCAGGTTTGAAACACTCTTTTTGTAGTATCTGGAAGTGGACATTTGGAGCGCTTTCAGGCCCATGTTGGAAAGGGAAATATCTTCCCGTAACAACTAGGCAGAAGCATTCTCAGAAACTTATTTGAGATGTGTGTACTCAACTAAGAGAATTGAACCACCGTTTTGAAGGAGCAGTT